>NC_000008.11:142662013-142964090 GCF_000001405.40 Homo sapiens | reverse complement strand
CCCCAATACCTCTTGTTTCTTCTGAGCAACAGTCAGAGATCACTGGTTGATTCACAGGAATAAGCAGGGTTAGCCTAAATTGCAGAAACAAACTTAAAAACAACAGATAAGACTAGAATTTAACAACAAGTGCACCATAGTTCTTGAAACATAATATTTCTCTCTCCAGTTTTCCATTTTTACTAAAGACAAATTATGGTAAGACTGATTTGCTTTATTATATTTGGCCTGATTATTTGTATAAAGTGCAGCAAGAATAATTATTTTTCACATAAGCTGTTTTTAAATTGGCTTTGATGGAACTCTGTTTCATAAGGAATCTCAGATAAGACTTTTTTAAAGCTGAGCCCAGCCATGGGTTTGTACCTTTGTATATCTATGAGTTAGGTAAATTTTTTTTCCTCTTGATGTCCCAAGATAACCTGGGGCTCCTGGACCTGTCAGAAAGTGACATTCTTTACTCACCACAGGTTAGAAACCCTGCACAGGGACTGTTTTGGAAAGGTATAAGGTCAGTTCCCTAAAGAGATTTTATTGGCTCTATAAGTCAAGTTTAATTCCCTAAAGGAAAACACACTATTCCAGGCAAAGCCTTGACAAAAATCACCAATTTCTCCCATTGTGTCCTGTTACAAAAGAAAACAGTTTCTTATTGCAAATATAGTTATGCAAATAACTATATTGCCATAAGTTAAGAATACTCACAACTAGTTTACAAATTCTGGAGAAATTAGGTAGAGAGAAACAAATATGCTCCACATTTTGTTTATAGGTGGATACATACTTAACTGTTAAAAGCTGTAAACAGCTCAAAAGAAAAGTTTCCTTGACTTTGAAAAACAAAACAAAGGATCAGCAATGTTTTAAGCAAAGTTTAAAAGATTACTTCCGTTTTTTTATTGGTTTAGTGAATTTAGTTAACTCCTGTTTTGCTTGATATTTATGAACATTTTAGCTCTCCATGAGAGTCCTGCAAGTTTTTCCTCTATTCTGATGTTACAATTTCCAAAGTTATTAGAAAACCTACATTTAAGAATGCCTGTTAGGCCAGGCATGGTGGCTCACACCTGTAATCCCAGCACTCTGGGAGGCCGAGGCAGGGGGATCACTTGAGGTCAAGAGTTCAAGACCAGACTGTCCAACATGGTGAAACTCTACCTGTACAAAAAATACAAAAAAAAAATTAGTGAGGCATGGTGGTGCATGCCTCTAATCCCAGATACTCAGGAGGCTGAGGCAGGAGAATTGCTTGAACCTGGGAGGCGGAGGTTGCAGTGAGCTGAGATCACGCCACTGTACTCCAGCCTAGGCAACAGAGTAAGATTCTGTCTCAGAAAAACAAACAAACAAACAACAACAACAACAAAAAAGCCTGTTAGAGTTCTATAATTGATTTTAAACCACCTTTTAAAGAGGACTAAAACAAGGTAACAATTGTCTGTGGCCGACAAAATGTTTTAGGGCAGCCACAGTCAAATAAACAATTGACAAGGAAATTTGTTACCACTATGGTATACAATGATTTTAGGTAACGATTATAATTATTACTGCTAATGTACAGTGTCATATCTGGATTATAGGAGTTGCCCATAATTTTGGAATATATACCAATAACACATTTATACAAATACTGCCCAGATAAAACCATACAGGACAGGGCTTCCTGTAGGATTTTTGTACCAAAATAAGCCAAATGTCACTGTTGCATTAGTGCACTATTGATGCCAAACCCAATTCTTAATAAAACCTTATAAATAAGGTTTTATTTATAAAAATATGTCCAATCTTAATCAGTTTGACCATAAGGTAAGATTCTCATAAACCTTTTATAACCCTTTACAAGTTTTTGTTAAAGAGCAGATTATAAGCAGTTTTTTTGCTCTAAGAAAAACCTGTTGTGCTTTTATTTCAATGTTTAATTTATATAAAAATGGAATAATATCCCTTTAATTTAGCCAGTGCACACACACAGAATCTCTTTTACAATTAAGTTTTTACAAACTTTCCACAACTGTTCAAACCTTTACCTTTATTCTACTAACTTACAACAATTCTTTATCCCTTTAAGCAAAAAAATTCACATTCCCATGCCTTCTTATAACCTTGTACCAAAAGTACATTCTACTTTCCTTACACACCTTACATGTAAAGCTGTTTTTTTCAATAGTCTCAATTACGTGTTACAATGTTAACTTTTAGCGACGCTTACTTTTGGTGAAAACGCTGGTTAGTGAGCAATTTTAATTGTCTACTAGATGTGAAGCCTAGCCTAGGACATACCAGGCAGAAGTACAGATAAGGGCTGACTCTCCAGCATAGCTAGGGACGTGACTAACTCCACATGTCCCCAGGCCCTATCTTACTGAAGCAGGCAAATTGTATGGTAAGCGTCATGGTGGCATTTTACGAAGCATTTAAGAAGCCCAACCACCTTTGAATTGTAGAACATTTCTCGCACAAATTCCCTTTCACAAATCCTTTCACGACTTACACAGACCACATGAGGCATTTTTCGACTTTCTGACTTGCCGTAAACATCCCTCCTTTTAAACAACCAGTTATTTTACTTTAGGACAAGAATTTACCATACAAGATGCTTTCTCATATAACCTTTCTTTATAATCTTTGTACAGCTAGGGGGCATGGCTAATTCTACATGTCCCCCCAGGCCTTATCTAGAATCTAATGGCTTTAAGGTACATAAATTGAACAAATTTTAAAAGTTAAAGAAGCAGTTTACAACCTCAAAGCATTTAGCCAACTTAATATCTGACCTGCATACTTTAGACTAAATGGTTTTATCAACAATTATTAAAGCTGTTTTTATTTCCCAAAGATTTCTAAAGTTACATGAACTAAAAGACATTACGGTTTTCATTTTGGTTTCAAAATATTTGATGTAAGTGCTTATTTTTGTTTAAGCCAATTAATTAGTTTTTAAAAATATAAACGTTACACACAACACATATGTAGCTACACAGAAAGACAGAAGCAGATCACCACAGGGGTTGTAAGATTTTTCATTTGCCAGTTTTTAAGTTTTTTAATTGGATTACCAGCTTTAGGGTGGAGCGCTTGGAAGAACAGGGCCAGCAAAGGGTTCTCTGGTGCCTCCTGTTTTTCCCAGGGAGTCCAGGCTGTTAGAGCTTGAATATCCACTTTTAATTGAACTGATTTTAACCATAGCACTCTTTAATATTAAAGTCCTTCCGTGTCCGGAATTGGTGGGTTCTTGGTCTGACTTCAAGAATGAAGCCGCGGACCCTCGCAGTGAGTGTTACAGCTCTTAAGGTGGCGCATCTGGAGTCTGTCCCTTCTGATGTTCGGATGTGTTCGGAGTTTCTTCATTCTGGTGGGTTTGGTGGTCTCGCTGGCTCAGGAGTGAAGCTGCAGACCTTCACGGTGAGTGTTACAGCTCTTAAGGCGGCGCGTCTGGAGTTGTTCGTTCCTCCTGGTGGGCTCGTGGTCTCGCTGGCTTCAGGAGTGAAGCTGCAGACCTTCCCTGTGAGTGTGACAGCTCATAAAAGCAGTGTGGACCCAAAGAGTGAGCAATAGCAAGATTTATTGCAAAGAACAAAAGAACAAAGCTTCCACAGTGTGGAAGGGGACCCCAGCGGGTTGCCACTGCTGGCTCGGGCAGCCTGCTTTTATTCTCTTATCTGGCCCCACCCACGTCCTGCTGATTGGTAGAGCCGAGTGGCCTGTTTTGACAGGGCGCTGATTGGTTCGTTTACAATCCCTGAGCTAGATACAAAGGTTCTCCACGTCCCCATCAGATCAGTTAGATACAGAGTTTGGACACACAGGTTCTCCAAGGCCCCACCAGAGCAGCTAGATACAGAGTGTTGATTGGTGCACTCACAAACCTTGAGCTAAACACAGGGTGCTGATTGGTGTGTTTACAAACCTTGAGCCAGATACAGAGTGCCGATTGGTGTATTTACAATCCCTGAGCTAGACATAAAGGCTCTCCAAGGCCCCACCAGAGCAGCTAGATACAGAGTGTCAATTGGTGCATTCACAAACCTTGAGCTAAACACAGGGTGCTGATTGGTGTGTTACAAACCTTGAGCTAGACACAGAGTGCCGATTGGTGTATTTACAATCCCTGAGCTAGACATAAAGGTTCTCCAAGGCCCCACCAGACTCAGGAGCCCAGCTGGCTTCACCCAGTGGATCCCGCACCGGGGCTGCAGGTGCAGCTGCCTGCCAGTCCCGCACTGTGCGCTTGCACTCCTCAGCCTTTGGGTGGTCGATGGGACTGGGCGCCGTGGAGCAGGGGACGGCAGTCGTCGGGGAGGCTTGGGCTGCACAGGAGCCCACAGAGGCGGGGGAAGGCTCAGGCATGGCGGGCTGCAGGTCCCGAGGCTTGCCCTGCGGGAAGGCAGCTAAGGCCCGGGGAGAAATCGAGCGCAGCGCTGGGGGGCCAGCACTGCTGGGGGACCCAGTACACCCTCCGCAGCCGCTGGCCCGGGTGCCAAGTCCCTCACTGCCCAGGGCCGGCAGGGCCGGCCGTCTGCTCCGAGTGCGGGGCCGCCAAGCCCACGCCCACCCGGAACTCCAGCTGGCCCGCAAGCGCTGCACAGCCCCGGTTTCCCCTCGCGCCTCCACCTCCACACCTCCCTGCAAGCTGAGGGAGTCAGCTTCGGCCTTGGCCAGCCCAGAAAGGGGCTCCCACAGTGCAGCGGTGGGCTGAAGGGCTCCTCAAGTGCCGCCAAAGTGGGAGCCCAGGCGGAAGAGGCGCCGAGAGCCAGCGAGGGCTGTGAAGACTGCCAGCACACTGTCACCTCTCACTTTTAGAATTTCTTATGCCAAAAGGCCGATATTTCTGGCTTTTGAACTTACCAAAGGTAACCACCCAGGTGCTTAGAGAAAGGAAAATTTAAGACGTTCTGCAGAGGAGAAGAGAATAGACAAGATATTAAACCAGAAATGACTTATTTCTTATGGGGGAATTGAACCCCAACCGCCACTGTGAAAGTGCAAAGCCTTGGCTACTGAGCTACAGCACAAGGCAGTATCCAGTTCTTTTCCCAGAAGGAGTCTTGAGTAGTTAACTTTGATCTTGCAAAGGCTTTTAACTGTTTAATATGATTTTTAGAGCTAATTATGACATGAATCCTAAAATTCCTCTTCCCCGAAGGCAGAGACCAAAAGGAAGTACTGCCATATGGTTAAAAGGTCAAGCTCCCAAGGACATAAAATCTCCATCTCAAATGCCACAAACTATGGCTCCATGTAAGTAACCTTCCCAACATGACAAAACTGTAGTGATGGAGGACAGTTGAGAAGTTGCCAAGAGTTAGTGGTGTGCGAGGAGGGCAGCCATGTCCACAAAGGTGTAGCACAAGGGAGGGTGTCTGCAGTGATGGAAGGGCTCTGCATATTGAATGGGGTGATGGCTGCAGGAATGACACAGGCGTGGAGTTCCTGGAACTCCGAGCACATTGTATCATGTCAATTTCCTGATTATCACATTTTACTATAGAATGGAAGATGTAACCACTGGGGGAACTGGGATCTCTCTGGACAGTCTTTGCAACTTCCTATGTCAGAGGTGCATGAACCAGAGCAACTCTATCTTAAATAGGAGCTGGGATTACAGGCGTGAACCACCACGCCTGGCTCATGTACTTTGTTTTTAAAGAAAATGCCAAGCTGTTTTCCAGAGTAGTTGTACCGTTTCACATTCCCACCAGCGACGAATGAGCCATCCAGCCTCTCCACTTCTTCACCAGCATTTGGTGAGGTCGCTATTTTATTTTAGCCATTCTGATAGGTGTGTAGTAGGATCTTATTGCAGTTTTGATTTGCCTTTTTCCCTAATGGCTAATTCTGTTGACATCTCTTCATTGGCTTGTTCTCTGTATTTCCTCTTCAGTGAAGAGTTTTTCATGTTTCTTTTTCTGACAATTTTCTAATTGAATTGAGATTTTTTTTCTCTTGGGTTTAGAGAGTATATATAAGAGCTAGTATCTAGAATATAGAGCTCGCTATGGTTTCAATGTTTGTCCCCTCCAAAACTCATGTAATCTCCATTGAGGCAGTACAGAGCAGGGGGCCTTTAAGAGGTGATTGGATCACAAGGGCTAGGCTCTCTTGAATGGATTAACCCATTCATGGGTTAATGGATTACTAGATTAATGGGTTAATGAATTAGTGAGTTATCATGGAATGGGACTGGTGGCTTTATAAGAAGAGGAAGAGAAAACTGAACTAGCACAGAAGCACACTCAGCGCCCTCGCCCTCCCTGGGATGCCCTGCACTCCTTCGGGACCCTATAGAGAGTCCCCACCAGCCAGAAGGCCCTCACCAGATGTGGCCCCTTACCCTTAGACATCGAAGCCTCCATAACTTAAGAAAGGAATTCTTTTTTTTTTTTTTGAGATGGAGTTTCGCTCTTGTTGCGCAGGCTGGAGTGCAATGGCACGATCTCGGCTCACTGCAACCTCCGCCTCCCGGGTTCAAGTGATTCTCCTGCCTCAGCCTCCCGAGTAGCTGGGACTACAGGTGTGCACCACCACACCCGGCTAATTTGTGTATTTTTAGTAGAGACGGGGTTTCTCCATGTTGGCCAGGCTGGTCTCGAACTCCTGACCTCAGGTGATCCACCCGCCTCGGCCTCCCAAATTGCTGGGATTACAGGCATGAGCCACTGCACCTGGACAGGAATTCTTTTTCTTTATAAATTACCCAGTTTCAGGTATTCTGTTATAAACAACAGAAAACAGATTAAGACAGAGCTGCATTCTAGGTATTAGCTCTTTGCCAGATACGTGGTTTGCAAATATTTCAATAGTTCAGCATTTCCCATTTAAATCTAGGAGCTATTTTGAGTTAATTTTTCTATAAGTAGTTTAGGTCGAGGTTACCTATGGATATCTGATTGTTTCAGTACAGCTGTTAATATGACTCTCCTTCCTCCATTAAATTGCTTTTTACCTCTGCCAAGTATCCACCGGCTGCACTGTGAGGGGCTGTTTCTAGGCTCGCTGTTCTGTTCCATCCATCTATGGGTCTGTTCCTCTGCCAGGACCACAGTCTTCACTACAGTAGCTATATAGTAAGTCTTGAAACTAGATAGAACAATTCCTTCCATTTTTTAAAAGTTATTTTAGCTATTCTAGTTCCTTTGCCTTTTCATATACGTTTTAGAATAATCTCATCTATACGAAGAACAGCTTTTCCTGGGCTTTTGATAGGGATTGCATTAAAAGTATGTCAAGTTGGAGAGAACTGACACCTTTCCTATGTTGAGTCTTCCAATCCACTGACAGCCTATATCTCCATCGATTTAGGTTTTTTTTTTTTTTTTTTTTTTTACTTATTTCAATAGCATTTTATAATTTTCAATAGCATTTTATAATTTTCAGCATACAGATGCTGTACATGTTCCTTTTTTATTTCCTTTGGAGTAACTGCAAAAAGTATTATGCCTTTCACTTCTATTTCCTCTTATTCATTGTTAGTATATAAAACATCATTGAGTTTTGTGTGTTAATCTTGTGACATTGCTAGACTTACTAGTTCTAAGAATTTTTTTTTGTAGATTCATTGAACCAGCAGGCATGCCCCAGAACATCTCCCAGACTTACTCTCACACGTGAATTATGGAAAATTGACTTATTGGTTGCAGTGTTGTTGGAAAGGGCAAAAGACAGAAAACCACCAAAACGTCCATCGGTAGGAGACTAGTTAAATAAATTATCATCAGCCAGCCTGATGGTCAGCAATTTTAAAATAAGTTCTCCAAGATGTGCATTAAGTGACCCATGTACATAATGTGTGAAATTTGGAGCAAAATTGAAAATAAATTAGACTCCATACCCTTATGTGATTGCTTTCCCATAAAGGAACCTGGAAAGGATAAGAAGTCAGTACGCCTGACCGCTGGCGGCAGCTGCCCTGGCGAGTGCCTGGGAAGAGGTGTGTGCCTTTATTCCACTATTTGAAGCATTAAGTCACCTGAGATGGGAAGGACGGAAACCCCTGCCTGCAGGCCAGGGTCCCTGCTGCCCCTCCCACAGCCTGTCCCCAATGTGGGGCACTGCCCTCTCCCCTGTAGTCCTGCCCCCTCCCCACTCCACCTGCCAATGGGGAGCAGTGGTCCCCATTCCACCAGAAACATGGCCCCTCTTAGCTGCCCTGCAGCCTACTTGCTGCTCCTTGGAAGACCCAGACCAAAAAATTCAAAGGAGCACCCTGGCTGGATTCTGGAATGTTCCAGAGCTCTCTGGATGTGACTTCTTTCTGAGATGGTCCCCAGAGCTCTTGGAGGCCCACAGCTTCCCTAGTTTTGCAGGTGGCACCCCACAAGTTCCCATCTCTGGCCTCCTGGGTCAGGCCTCCTCCCTGGCAGCAGACTGCTGCCCACATGGGGTGAAGGTGCAGGTAGGGCAGGGGCCTAGCACCATCCACGGACCCTGGTCAGAGGTCACAGGTGGTGTTTTTCACCTGTGGCACCTTCCAGGTAGGGACTTCCTCCTCAGGGCCTCAGGGCGACACCTGCTCTCAGGAAGGGTCTCTTGACCTGGAATGAGGGGTGGGATTTCCTCCTTTGGGGGCTCCTGGATCAGGGATATGGGTCAATGAAAATGAAAGAAACACAGCCTTCTATTTTTTTCCCCCAAACTACAGATTTATTGCCCATGTGACTGTAAAACATAAATCAGATTATGAGCCTTCCTTCATTAAAGTCCCCCAGGAGGCCCTGTCTGTTCCGACAGCCTTGCCTGTGTCTGTTCTACTCTTTCAAAGGCCTGAAGTCATCCTGTGGCCTTGGCACTAATGGAGGAGTGTGACGTGGCCGTGCGCAGGGAGGCCAGTGCAGCCCCCCAGAGGAAAAGCAAACCCCTGGGCCCCTGGACCTGGGCCTGCGGCAAAGGAGGCTCAGGCTGAGAGGGGCAATGGGGGACTGGCCCAAGTGAGAAGCCTGTGGGGGTGGTGGGTGCGCCAGACGCAAAGCCAGAGACCCACAGAGTCCCAGGGCTCTCTCTGCCTGTGTTAGAGTCTGACCTGCCCATTAAGGGGCTTTCGAGCCCTCTCCTGTGAGGGTGTAAGGAAGGGGGTCCCCGATGGCCTCTCAGAACCCTGCCCCATCAGACGGGGTGCCCAGGCAAAGTTGAATTTCAGATGAACAACAAATAATTATTAGTACAAGCATGTCTCATGCAATATTTTAAAAATTCAAAATTAATGGGGTGTCCTGTGTCTCTTCACTTTTGCTAAGTCTGGCAACCCTGTCTCTCTGCCTCTGCACCTGGCACGGGCCCAGGGCCCGTCCAGTGAGTGGCGAAGGAAGCCCTCACAGTTCCCCTGCCAGCTGCCGCTCCCAAGCGTCATAGAGTGTCATAGAGCAGCTGGAGCACTCTGCTTTGCTGTGGGGAGAGCAGCACAGTAGGGCCGCTTTAGGGACGGTGTGGCCACATAAACCCAAGCTCAACAGGTGCCTTCCATGTCCAGCAATTCCACCCCTAGGTACACAGCCAGGGGAAGTGAAAATGTGTGTCCACAAAGAGACTTTTGTAAGTGTGTTCATCCCCAATCTGGAAATGACACAACTGTCCGTTGACAGAAGACAAGATAATAAGTTGTGGATATTCATCAAATGGAATGCTACTCGGCAACAGAAAAAGAACACGGTACCGACACGCACGTCAGCGTGGATGCACCCTGTAGAGAGGACGCTGAGCATGTGACAGAGGGCACCCTGTGTGATTCCACTGATATAAAAGTCAGAAGCAGAAAAGACTGTCAGCTAGCCATGGAAGTCAGAAGGGTGGTTACTCCAGGTGGGGGTGGCGCAAGGGAACCTAGGAGTGGTCGCATAGGTGTATACTGTTAGGGACAAACTGCCCCAAGCAGCTTCTTGGTGCTGCCCGCCCCTCTGCACTCTGCAACTCCTCTCTGTGCTGCCCCAAGCCTCTACATTTCTAAGCCCTTATCTAGACGCCATGGTGAAGCCAGCAGACTTTACCTATCAGACCTTGCTGCTATAAAGCAAATCCCAATTACAAACCATTGGGACCGCACAGGGGGAGGTCGTGGGAAGCACAAACAAACTTTGCCTACACCCTCTGGTAGCATAAACGTCACAAGGTGATATGTGGCAGAGTTAACCAACAAACACCCCAGGGTCTCTCTCCCCCATATCATAAGCTCAGGGCTGCCTCGTCTGTCTGTAATGGAGCAGCCGGCAGGTTCAATAAACTTACTTGCCTGAACTTGGGTCTCTCTCTCTCTTGTCCTTTCTCTCGGCTGACCTTACATATTCGTGTGCAAGAATTAAGGGAACTACACACTTGAGGTAAGGGCGTTGCAGGCACCATCTGCTCAGGTGTTATGCTTCACTTTTAAGTGGCGAAAAACACAAACTGGGGCAGCAAAAACAACGCATTCAAAACATGCATAAAGACAGAGAGAAGCCGGGTCCTCGAGGGCCCCGGATGTGTGACTGAAGACAACGGCATCTGGTGCTCATGACTGATGGGAAGGGCCTTTGCAGCTGAGCATGGCAGCCAAGTGGCCAGAGGTGCCCTGCAGCCTGGGATGGGAGGGGAGTGGGTGGGGTAGGCAAGGAGACCAGGGTAGACTGGGACCTGGTCCGAACAGAGATGGAGGGGCCTGAGCCTGGGCAGAGGCAGCAGGGGTGGGGAGGGGACAGGTGGGTCATGAGGTGGATTCAGGGCCGGCACATCCCCTGTAGCCTGTGGGGCTGTGGCACCAGAGGGTCTTGGCTGACAGTCGGGTCCATGGCGAGGTGCCGAGGGCATGCGGCTTGGAGCAGGAGAAAATTATAGCTGCTTTGGTTGAAGGTGGTTGGGCAACACCCTGGAGGGAATGATCCTGGGACACATCTTGGGAGGGAGAGTTGGAGGCCAAGATGGCGGAGGGAAGCGACAAGGGACTGGGGGTGACAGGAAGGGGAGGGGCTTAGCAGGGGATGCAGGGAGAGTGAGAAGCGAGGGAAGGAGAGGTGAGGAGAGAAGAGACAGAGCAGGCAGGCAGGGAAGAAAAAGAGAGGAACGTCTATAGGAGGACTTAGGGTACAATCATATCATAGTAATTAACACGTCTCTAGCACTGACTGAGCCAGGCTTTGTTCTAAGGGCTTTATAAATATCTCGTTGTTCCTCACAACGAGCATCAAAATAGAGACGCTGTCATTTTGCAGATGAGGAAACAGAGGCAGAGAAAGCACATAGACAGCGAGTGCCTGTGCCGGGGCTGGAGCACTGGCTGGTGCCCCATCATTCTGCTTTTCAGCCTCTGCATGCCCTTCCACTTCTAGGCAATGGGACCGGACTGTGGAGAAGATGGTTAGAGCTCTAGGAAGCTCAGGGGTGTCTGGATGGGCGACTGGGAGTAGAGGGGAACCTGGGGGATGGTGGCTCCCAGGGGAGAGACAGAGAAGAGCTTCCTAACTGTGCAGGAGAAGCTGAGGCATGGGGTGTGCTGCCGCGGCTTCAGGGCCCTTGGGCAGTCGTCTCATGGCTGCCTCTCACTCTCCACCCCCAGCCACCCCCTCAGCCACAGGGAAAGGGACGGATCCTACTGCCCGTGTCAACGGCCCCACTGCCTGGCCTGACTCTTCTATGGCATCGCCAGGGTCCAGAGTCCCCTGAGTGTGTGCTCACAGCCAGGTGCATGGCTGGGAGCCTGAGAAATAAGGTAGGGTGCAGCCAGGGCTACTGAGCTCAAGGCCCAGCTGGCCCTGTGGAGAGGCTGTGACTCACCAGCCGCTGGGGTGACTCAGGGGCCAAGGCTGTGCATTGCCATCACCACCACGAAAACTCTGACGCTGCTTGGCCATGCTGTTGGAAGACTCCAGTGCATCAGGCTGAAAGCACTCACCCGTAGGGTGCATGTGTGGGGCCTGAGAGCCTTGGATGGGCTGGGCCAGAGCCTGTGGTCCAGGGGAGGAGGCAGAAACCTGCCCAGATCATGATGCTGCAACACCATGATCTGAGCCAAGTGCTGGGAACATGGAGCAGCTGCTGGCCCAGCCTGGAAAAGGGGAGGTCCAGGAAGACAACCCACCCTCACCTTCCCACCACCAAGGGGGTCAGTGAGAATGTGGCCCTTGACATCCTCAAAATAAACCTGAGCCAGACAGAGAGCTTGAGCTCTGATGATGAAAATGGTAAACACTTACCTAGTGCGTGCCAGGCACCAGGTACAACTTTAAAGGATTTGTGTGTATTAAACCTGCCTGATCCTCCCCCATACCTTATGAGGTAGGTGCTATTATGAGGCCCAAATTACAGATAAGGACGTTGAGGCACAGGGAAGTTAAATAGCTTTCCCAAGGTCACACAGCTAGCAAGTGGCAGAGCTGGGATTAGAACCAGTACTCTGGATTTGGGTTTTCATCTCTAGTCACAGAGCAAAGGGATGATGACCTCAAAGCATGCAGTGTGACTAGAGTTTGACCTTCTTTAGTGGGAAATGGAGCACCAGGGAAGGCTTTGAGCCAAGAGTGGCATGAGCGAGTGTGGCTTGGAGGGTCAGCGTCTGCAGCAGGGGAAATGGTGGTGCAGTGCAATGGAAGTAGCTGGCATCACTGGCTGGGGCAAAGCCTGCATTGAGATGAGGCAGCAGGAACAGAGCATACAGGGGTGATTCTGGGTGGGCAGAACTTGAGAGACCAACTGGATGTAGAGAGAAGGAGATAAGGAATCAAAGGGGTGCAGGGATGTTTGGCTAATTTGGGTGTTCTTCTTAATACATGATGTGGGGATGCAGGTTTTGGTAAGGAAAGCCTCAGGGCAAAGAGAGCAGCTAAGCGGCCAAGTCTTTGGGACATACAGGGGGCATAAGTAGTCTTCAAAAAGAGTCGGGGAAAGGTGAACATTACGGATGGAACCTGTCTGACACTACCCACTTCGTGGAGTCACAGCCAAAGAGCAGGCGATGCTCTGCAAACTACAGTGGTGTCTCCAGGGAAAGACATACAAGAGGAAAAGGGGTGCAGGTTGCTGGGAAGAGTGTCCTGAGTTGAGGCAGAAGGGCAAAAGAAAGAGTATAAAGGCGGCAAACAGGTGGGTTATGACAGGTCACGGAGCTAGAACAGGACAGAAATAGTGAAAGTCTGGAGACATCAAACAGCCAGCAGGGATGCAAGTATGGGATGGGGTTGGGAGACTCGTGATTCTGGGTAAGTCATTCATGTCATTCCCGGGCTCAGCACATTGTGGTGGTTATCAAACCCCGCATTCCCCTCATGTGAGTCCTGTGATTCCCACTCCACTGGTGAGGTGAGTGAGGCAAACAGATGACTCATGTGGCCGCGGTCATGCAGTGAATAAGTGCTGGAGCTGAGAGTCAAGCCCAAGTGTGTAGGATTCTGAAGGTTGGGCCTTTAATCACAACTTGTTACTGACTCATGGCAGGAAAAACTGCAACACACTCTCCTCCACTTCCTTTGCCACCAATACTGCTAGCAAAACCACGGCCACCACTCTTATCCCCACCAATAACACCATCACCAGCACCATCATTACCCCTTCCATCACCACCACCATCATCACCACCACCACCACCATCTCCCTCATCATAACCACCACCACCAAGAACACCATCAACACCATCACCACCACCACTATCACCACCATCACAATATCACCATCATCATAGCCACCACCGCCACCACCACCACCACCTCCACCATCACCCGCATCATAACCACCACCACCACCAAGAACACCATCAACACCATCACTACCACCACTATCACCATCACAATATCACCGTCATCATAGCCACCACCACCACCATCATCACCACCACCACCACCACCACCACCATCACCCCCATCATAACCACCACCACCACCAAGAACACCATCAACACCATCACCACCACCATCACTACCACCACAATATCACCATCATCATAACCACCACCACCACCAAGAACACCATCACCATCAACACCATCACTACCACCACTATCACCACCACCACAATATCACTGTCATCATAGCCACCACCACCACCATCATAACTACCACCACCACCACCATCACCACCATCATCAACACCATCACTACCATCACTATCACCACCACCACCACAATCATCACCACCACCACCACCATCACCATCATTATCACCGTTACCATCACCACCATTACTATTATCGCCATCCCCACCGACAGTCCCGCCATCCTTGTTGTTCATTTTGTGTTGCTAAAACAGAATACTAAAGACTGGGAAATTTGTAACAAGAAAAAGAAAGAAGGAAATGTATTTCTCAAAGTTCTAGAACTGGGAAGTCCAATATCAAGGTGTCAGCACTGGTGAGGGTCTTCCCTTTGTACATCAGCCCTATGGTGAAGGTGGAAGGGCAAGAAAGCAGGAGGGAGCAGGAGAGGACAGAACTTGCTTTTATAACAAACCCACTCTCATGATAATGACATTAGTCCATTGAGGGTAGAAATCTCATGACCTGAACACCTCCAATTAGACCCCACTGCCTAACACGTTGCATTGGGGATTAAGTTTCCAACACATGAACTTTGAGGGACACATTCACACCATAGCACTCTGCCCTGACCCCCCATTTCATGTTCTTCCCTCAATGTCAAATACATTGATTCTATCCCAACAGTCTCCAAAGTCTCAACTTACTTCAGCATCAACTCAAAGTCAAAGTCTCATTTAACTTGATATAAATGAGACTCAAGGCATGATTTATGCTGAGGCAAGTTCCTTTCTAGCTGTGGGCCTGTGAAATCAAAACAAGTTAAGTGCTTCCAAAATACAACGGGATGGCATAAAATAGACATTCCCATTCCAAAAGGGAGAAATAGATAAGAAGAAAGGAGTAATAGCACCCAAGCAAGTTTAAAATCCAGCACGACAGAAGTTAAGTCTTAAGACTCTAGAATGATCTTTCACTCCATACACCACCTCCTGGGCACACTGCACTGGGGATTGGGCAGCCTTGGGCGGCCTGGCCCCCATGGCTTTGCAGCTCCTTTGGGTTGGAGTCTCATGCCTGTAGCTACCCCAGGCTTGCACTGCACAATGGTGGCTCCACAGTTCTGGCATCCCAGAGGTGGCAGTCCACTCTTATGGCTCCACCGGGCAATTATTCTGGTGGGGACTGTCTGTGGTGGCTTCATGTGTTAGAAACTTAAGCCCCAGTGCAAAGTGGTGAGAGGTGGGATCTTTAAGAGGTAATTGGGTCACGAGGGCTCTGCCCTCATGAATGGATTAATGCCATTATCACAAGCATGGTGCTATAGTTTGGATATTTGACCCTCCAACCCTCATATTAATATTTGATCTCCAGTGTTGGGGGTGGGGATCTGATGGAAGGTGTTGGGTCATGGGAGCGAATGCCTCATGAATGACTTGATGCTGTTCTTGAAGCAATGAATGAGTTGTTGCTCTGTTGGCTCCTGTGAAAATTCCCCCAACAGCTGGTTGTTAAAAAGATCCCGGCATCTCTCCTCTCTCTTCCTCACTTTCTCTCTCACCGTGGGATTTCTGCACATGGTGGCCCCTGTCTCCCTTCCACCATGAGTGGAGGCAGCCTGAAGCTCTCACCAGATGCAGACATTGGCACCACACTTCTTGTACAGCCTCCAGAACCATGAGCCAAATAAACCTTTTCTTTATAAATTACTCAGCCTTAAGTATTTCTTTTGTCCCCTCTTTGGGATGTTTGGGCGCCAGATAGAAGCACAGCCTCCCCCAGGTATTCCTTATAGCAACACAAATGAAGTAAGGGTTAGTTATCCTGGGAGTGGGTTCCTGATAAAAGGATGAGTTCGTCCCCCTTCCCTCTCTCTCACCCTCTCTTTGCCCTTCAGTCATGTGCTGATGCATCAGTAAGGCTCTTGCCAGAAGCTGGACCCTTGATCGATGGACTTCCCATCCTCCAGGACCATGAGCCAGATAAATTTCTGTTCATTATAAATTACCCATTCTGTGGTAGTCTGTTATAGCAGCTTCTGGAAGCTTCCGTGGCTTGTGGCCTCTTTTCCCATCTTCAAAGTGAGTCACTCCAGTCTCTGCTCTGTCCCTACCTCACCATCTTTGCTTCCTCTGACGCTTCTGCCTCCCTCTTGTAAAACCCTGTAATTACATTGAAGACCCACCTGGGCAACCCATTCCCCTCTCCCCTTCTCTAGATCTTCAACTTAATCCCATCTGCATGGTCCCCTCTGCTGTGTGAGCTAACATATCTGCAGGTTCCTGGGATGGGAGCATGAACATCTGTGGGGGCCGTCTTCCTGCGTAACACACCTAATAAAGTTCTGACCCACTGTTTAGCTCGCCTGGAGAGACCAGCCTTAGTAACAAAAAAGACAACAAACAAACTTTCCTGGGGCCTGGCTGTCAATGACTAGTGAGGGTGTTGCCGACTTCCTTATTACGGATGTGCTATTCCCTGTCTGACTCCTGCTCCATTTTCTGCTCACCCAGAGAGAGGTGAACACCGTGCAGACAGGGTGGCCAGGGAGCCTCAGTTGCCCTGTCTGGGAAGCGGGGATCATGATCAGTCCTTGTCCTGAGGTGGCTGAGAGGATTCAGGATGATGAGTGTGGAAGGCCTGCCCAGAGCACAGCTGCCCCTCCTGTCCCTTGGTCCCGTGTGGGTAGCTGGGGCACAGAAGAACAAAGCCTGGGACTTGGAGGGACCCACTGTGCCTGGCCTTAGGCCAACATCTGGGCAGGTTGCTGCCATATCTTGTGGAATTCTCCAGGGTTGTTCCTGGGAATCCTGGCCAATGTGTCAGCCCATGGCAGGCTGGGGAGGGGTGAGGCCACAGATGTGCATCACAGGGCTGTGGGGTCCCCATCATAGGGGTCCCCCAGGAGGATGGCAGCTGTTCCCCTGCAAAGGGAGAGCCATGCATGAGCCCATAGCACCAGGGGGAGCCCATTCCACGTCTGTCAGGAAGACCCCCAGGCTGGCCGGAAGACTCAGTCCCACTCTGCAGAGGGCAGCCCCACCTGGCAGCCCCCACCTGGTAGCCCTCTCCTTGCAGCCCTCACCTGGCAGCCCTTACCTAGCCAGCCCCCACCTGCCAGCCCTCGCATGGCCAGCCCTTACCTGGCCAGCCCCCACCTGCCAGTCACTTCCCACCTTGGGCCTTCAGTTTCCTTGTCCTTAAAATGGGGCTAAAGCTCACACCTGGAATCCTTGTAGTCAGGAAGAGAGGACAAGTTTCTGGCATTTTGTAATTGTGAATATTTATTTGTTTAATGGAAGCAGAGCCCTGTGGGCCCAGATGTGACCAGCAGTCTCCCGACTGAATGGATTCCAGGTGTGAGTTTCGGTCCCATCTTAGGAACAAGGATACCTGCCCCCATGGGGCTCTCAGCGATTGCGTCTGTCATGACCAGGCCTGAGCACGGGAAAATGACCCATTTCTCCCTCTCCCTGTGTTAGGGGCAGAATTGTGTTCCTCTTAATTCCTATGTTGAAGTTCCAACCCCCAATACCTCCGAGTGAGACTGTGTCTGGGGGCAGGGCTTTTAGAGAGGTGGTTTATACAGGGGCCTTAACCTAACCTGACTGGTGTCTTTATTAGAAGAGGAGATGAGGACACAGACACACACAGGGGTGACCGTGTGAGGATGCAGGGAGAAAATGCCTTCCCCGTGCCAAGGACAGAGGCCCCAGGAGGGACCAGCCCTGCTGCTACCTCGATCTTGGACTTCCCAGCTCCAGAGCTGTGAGACGCACACAGCTGCCATTCTGGCACCTGGCCTGTGGCCTTTGCGATGGTGGCTGAGCTGAGGGTGATGCACCCTAGGGAGAAGCAGACAGCAGCACTGCCGGCCCCTGGTGCCGTGGTGGGGAGGCGTGTGTGCAGGGGGCTGGTGAAGGGGGCAGTGAGTGGCTCTCTAGGGCCCAGGGCACCAGGCCCAGGCAGCCGGGGAGCTTAGAAGCGGGGTGCGCTCGTGGAAGTATTTACTGCTCCAGCCACACCTCGGGTGATGTCACATGTTGGGATGGAGGCAGGAGACAGTGAGGGACACACCTGCCCCACCCCAGCCACAGCTGGAGAAGGCCCCATAAAGACCAGATGGCCTGATCCAGGCCAGACAGCCCGAGCTCTGGATGGGGCCACCACCTGCCTATCTGCCCCGCCCTAGCCACGAGGATCCACCTGTCTTGGCTGCTGTCTCTGAGGCTGGTGTGTTCAGGTGAGCCGATGCGCACTCTTGCTCTGGGTCCCCCCTGGGTCCCTGGGGATGCTGGCGGCCACCCTGACAGCCTGGGTTGGCCTAGCTGGACCAGCCTCTGCAGTCAGGCACCCGTGCTGCTCAGAGGGGAAGCTGGGGCACAGAGGGCAGGACTTGCCAGAGGCCCCACAGGAGGTACAGCCTGAGCCTGAGCCTGAGCCAGCGCAGGGCCACAGCCTGGGCCCTCCACCCCATTCCCAGTCCCTGGGCTGCTTGCCCACTTTGTCTTCCTGACTCACCCAGAGGCACCGTTGGATCTGCTGTTGCTTTTGCTCAGTCCTGCAGAGAGTTGCCCCCATTGGCCTGGTGGGCTTTGAGGGGTACCAGGGGTGCTGGGGGTTGCCTGGTAGCCTGGATCTCTGGCTGCTCAGAGCTTTGGTTCCTAACCCAGGTGATTTCTGGTCGTCTCTGGAGAAAGCAGAGACAACTTCTTTATCTGAGCCTAAGTGTGCACCACGGAGCACTTCCGGGGCCCAGTGTCCACACGGGTGGGCGGGTGGAGGACAGGGTGCAGGGCTTGGTAAGCTGGTGCTTTCCCAAAAGCAGAGTCTATGCCTGAGGTTGTGATGTGGGAGGCTGGGCAGGGACCAGGGCTTGGTCTCCGACCACCAGCTGTGCCTCTCCCAGCCCAGGCACTGAGATGCCATGAGTGCTCTGTGACAGGGAATTGAGGGAATTGTTTCCAGCCCACATCCTGCCAAAACACCACTCGTTACTGCCTGACCACCTGGACCAGTGAGTGCCTCTCCTCTGGGTGGGCAGGTGGGCAGGGCAGTGTGCCTGGGCCTCAGCAGGAGGGCAGGGGGTGGTGGGGAGATCAAAGGGGCTGGGGAGACTGGCTTCTAATCAGAACTCTGATGTTTGCAAGCAATGCCTCAGGCAAATGCTGCAACTGCCGGGCCCTCTATCTCCTCCCTCCAAAATGAGAATGGCAGGTGGCCCCCATCCTGAGGTCCTTAGAGTGGACGAGATTTTCCACGTGAAATGCCCCACAGTGCTGGCACACACGAAATGCTTAATTTAAAGCCTTGTAATTACTGAACAGCGGGTACAGGCTGCTCAGAAAGGAAGAAGGAGAAAAGTGGGACAGTGGGTAAGACCTGGAATCTGCTCATACACTGAGCCTGACTCTGGTCACACACTGAGCCTTGACCTTGGTCACACACTGAGCCCTGGGCCCTGTTCATACATCAAGCCCTGGTCCTGGTAACACACTGAGCCTTGACCCTGGTCACACACTGAGTCCTGGTCCCTGTCATACACTGAGCCCTGGTCCTGGTTACATACTAAGCCCTGACCCTGGTCACATACTGAGCCCTGGTCCCTGTCACACACCGAGCCCTGGTCCTGGTCACACACTGAGCCCTGGTCCCTGTCGCACACTGAGCCCTGGTCCCTGTCACACACAGAGCCCTGGTCCTGGTCACACATTGAGCCCTGTTCCTGGTCACACACTGAACCCTGACCCTTGTCACACAATGAGCCCTGGTCCTGGTCACACACTGAGCCCTGGTCCTTGTCACACACTGAGCCCTGGTCCCTGTCACACACTGAGCCCTGGGGCTGTACTTGCCTCTTGCTCTGCATCCCTGTAAGGTGGGAGAACAATGAGGAAGAGTCTGGCAGGCTTTTGTCTGTCGAGAGGGGCAGGAGTGAATTTCACAGGTCTCAGGTCTCAGAAAACAGCCCTCTGCCCTCTGTTTTCCAGCTCCCCCAGGTCAGCAAATGATTATTATAAAATCATGCGCTTACACCTGCCCTGGCTACCAAGACAGCCTGGCCGCCTCCAGGGCCTCATGTTGCAACACAGATCTCTGCAACAGCACAGCAAGCCTCAGAGTCAGCTGGGGGCTGCTGGCCCTCAGCATCTGGGTGGCCTGCCTCAACAGATAGCAGTGGGGCTCAGCCCCAGGAATGCTCAAGAGGGGATTAGGAGTCTGCAGCCAGGTTGCATCTGCCGCTGACTTGCTTTGTGACCTTAAGCAGGGCACTTGCCCTCTCTGGGCCCCACCTCCAACTGGAAGGATTCCAGGAGAGAATGGACATGCACGTGGGCATTACAGGAGACATTGTGGCTGCATTTGCACATGGTCTTTGCCGCTGTCCAGGGTGCTGCATTGTGATTGCTGGCCCGGAGGGTTGGCCACCTGCTGGCCTCCAGGGGCTAGCACCATTAGGCGGCCACAGCAAGAAACCTGTTAATGATGCCAGGGGCTGAGGCACCTCTGGTAGTCCAGACCACTGCCTTTGGGCCTTCATCTTTACCTGCATTCCAAGGCTGGGTCCTCCTAAGAACCTGGAATCATTCTCAAACGTGCTGCTGTAAGTTGGGTCCCAAGACCATTGGCAAACAGAAACCCTGTGGTGGGACCCCCTGGTCTGTGTGCAGGGGAGGAGTGGCTGCCGACGTGGGGACTGGTGTGCCCCCAGCACCAGTCTGTGTGCGGGAGAAGCAGCCGCCCACATGGGGACAGGTGTGCCCCCAGCACCGTGTGGGTTAGCTCTGGTGGCAGCAGGGGATGATGCAGGCGATGCCAGGCTGCCTGGGCACCCCCAGCTCCCGCAGCTCCCGAAGGACATGGTGTCCCCAGGGGCTGGGCCCTGGGGGATGCCCTCCTGGAGGTGGAAGCACTAACCCCAACTGGAATCTCAGCTCCTATGAACTGCAGTCCACTCTGGACTTCCAGAGCATTGCAGAGCAGGAAGACCAAGGGTCAGGCTTCATCTAGCTGGGAGACTGGGCTTCAGGGCCGGGGCACCAATGGTACCCCCTAATCCCCTCCACCACTGCCTGCAAGCCCATGCCTCTGGTCTTGGTCAGTGTGTTAATCCGCACATCCTTTAATTAAAAAGCCTCATGAGAGTCACGCCTGTTCCTTGAGTGTGTTAGCTGACTCTCTCCTTAGAGACCTGAAACCCTAAGATAGCACCTCTCCCAGTCTCTTCAGTGGAGCCCCTCAGACAAGCATTTGTGAACAGGGCAGACTTCACTGAAGCTTCCCTGGAAGGCCTTTTTGCACGGTGGGAGGCTTCCAGCACGGGAGGTGTCTACAGCCTCCCCATGGGGGCTCCATGGCCTTCCTCCTTCCTCTCATGCCCTCTCCTCTGGAAGGCATGTGCACAGGCGGCTTCTCTAATGTTTTGCAGTGCTGGGGCTGGGCTGGGCTGGGCCACCTTCCTAACAAAGCCAGGGCTCTTCCTCAGCTGCAGCCCAGGGTCAGGGCATAATCCCGGGCTGACTTCACTCTGCAGCAGGGAAGCTGGTGTGGCCTGTGTCCTCAGAACCCCCAGTTGTCCCTTAAGCACACAAGGGCTCTTGAGATGAAATGGTCCCCCTAACCAGCAGGCTCCTGGGACACAGTTGGCCCCAGGCTGGACCTTCTGCTGAGACACACACTTCAAGCACCCAGCAGTGGCCATTCCTGTGAGTTAAGTGTTTGCAGCTGGTCGAGGGGAGCCATGGGTGCTGACGCTGGTCAATGCCATCGGCAGGTGTAGACGCTGGTCAATGCCATCTGCGGGCGGGTGGGTCACTGACTTTCTCTTGCAGGAGCTTTTTCAGTCTGACTGTGTGTGGGGGGCTCTCGCACCTGCAGGGGACCCTATGAACTGCATCCCAGGAGCTGGTTGCATATAGAAATGGTTCCATAGCTGATTCCTCGGGGATGGGCGGGGGGGTCATCAAAAGGGGCTCCAGTGGAAGTTCCCCACCCAACCCAGTCCCAGCAGGGTGGCCTGGTGCAGCCTCGGATAGCCTCTAATGACCAGTGCCCTCTCCCTGGGTCCGGAATGGCACTTGGTGAGCATCTCATTAGGCTGTAGGGATCCTTGAAGCCTGTGTGCACACTGTGAGCTCTGAGCTCGGGCGTGCGTCACTGGATCTGCCATCTAGAAGAAGGTGGGACAGCAGGGTACACAGCCCTCTGAGGACAGCCATGAGGCATCTGTCCAGGTGATGGAGGTGGGCTCTCTCTGGGCCTAACAGTGGGTTGTGAGCATTTTCTCAGGTCCTTAGAAATTAGGTCTTTTCTTTTCTTTTACTTTCTTTTTCTTTTTTTTTTTTTTTGAGACAGAGTGTAGCTCTGTTGCCCAGGCTGGAGTGCAGTGGCGTGATCTCAGCTCACTGCAACCTCCGCCTCCCGGATTCAAGCGATTCTCCTGCCTCAGCCTCTTGAACAGTTGGGATTACAGGCGCACGCCACCACACCCAGTTAATTGTTGTATTTTTAGTAGAAACGGGACTTCACCATATTGGCCAGGTTGGTCTCGAACTCCTGACCTCAAGCGATCCTCCCACCTCAGCCTCACAAATGTTGGGATAACAGGTGTGAGCCATCACTCCCGGCTAAAACTAGGTCCTTTCTGATGGGGCCCCATCACCTGTGGCACGGGCACCCTGGAAACGCAGACTCAGGCTGGTCCCCGGCCTGTCCCTGCCCCAGGAGGCAGCGCCTGTTCATGCTGGGCCGTGGGAGGCATTCCATGGGCTTCTCAGGGCCCAGCACAGTCCAGCCCCACGGTCCCAGTGGTGCACAGAGCCCCTCTCCTTGACTCCCTCGGTCCCTGTCTCACTGACCCTAGACCCTCTTCCTCTCCAAATCCTGGTCTCAGGCTCTGCTTTAGGGGTCTGAGGGGAGACAGTGGGTGCCCGTCAGTTTTTCCTATTCCCCGCCTGTGTTTTCCTATCATGAGGAACAAAGTCATATGCACAGGTGGTATCTTGGATTATTTCCTTTCAGTCAAATTCTAAAATTGCATGACGGGGTCAAAGACTAGGAACAGTTTAAAGCTCTGGGCGCACATTAGCTCACCACCTTCTGGAAGGACCCAGTGCACTGCAGTTTGCCCAGACACTCACTCCCAGCCCCCACACGAAGCTGGCTTTCATGATTGAAAATGAAATAAAACAAGAAGGCTTATAAATAAGCTGGGCTCAAGAACGTCTCCTTGCTCTGTGACTTCTTTTTCACTGGTGGTGAGGCTGGGCATTCTGATCTGTACAGGTCACTTTATCTCTTTGTTTATGAATCAAAAGTCCCCACTTCCAGCCGGGAGCGGTGGCTCACATCTGTAATCCCAGCACTTTGGGAGGCTGAGGCGAGTGGATCACTTGAGGTCAGGAATTTGAGACCAGCCTGGACAACATGGTGAAACTCTATCTCTACTAAAAATACACAATTAGCCAGGCATGGTGGCGCATGCCCGTAATCCCAGCTACGTGGGAGGCTGAGGCAGGAGAATCTTTTGAATCCGGGAGGCGGAGGTTGCAGTGAGCAGAGATTGCACCACTACACTCTAGCCTGGGCAACAAGAACGAAACTGTGCCTCAAAAAATAAATAAATAAATAAAAAGTCCCCACTTCCTATTATTTTTTACACGTGACAATTTGACTACCACTTCTTGTTCACTTTTTTCTTTATTTTTTCCTCAGTTTATCTTTTTTGTATTTTTCCGATTTGTTTTCTCCTTTTTTAATTTTAAAAGTTGCCTTTGAGAAAATGAACAATTACTTCTTTATTAAATATTATAAGCCCTTGTCATATATTTTTCCGTTTTTCATATACTTTTAAATTCACTTATGCAGAAGGTTGACATTTTATCATCAATCTATCAAGCCTTTCTTTTCATGCTTAGAACGTCCTTGCCCAAAATAGAAGCAAATTCGCATGAAGCTGAGTAATTTTCCACTGAACTCTTTGATCCCTCTGGGTCCTGATAACATTCAGTTGCCACAGGCTTCAAGGGAGGCGGGGGAAGCCTGGCTGGGGGGGCGTTGGCCTCTGCCTCACGCTTCCTCCCCTCAGTCCCAGCCTATCACGTCCACAAGGTCCAGCAAGGACCAAGCCTGGACAGGGCACGGGGACATGCGTCTCTCTCCAGGACAGCGCTGCCCGACTGTGCCTGTCCAGGGCCTGTGCTTGCTCTTCCATGGGCCGAATGGTGGGGTGTAAGGTGGAGGAGCACAGTCGGGTGGAGGAGCACGCTGGTCCGGATGGTGGGGTGTGGGGTGGAGGAGCACAGTGGTCCGGATGGTGGGATGTGGGGTGGAGGAGCACAGGTGGGTGGAGGAGCACGCTGGTCCGGATGGTGGGATGTGGGGTGGAGGAGCACAGGTGGGTGGAGGAGCACGCTGGTCCGGATGGTGGGATGTGGGGTGGAGGAGCACAGGTGGGTGGAGGAGCACAGTGGTCCGGATGGTGGGATGTGGGATGGAGGAGCACAGTCGGGTGGAGGAGCACGCTGGTCCTGTCCCGCCCACTGCGCTTATAGCCTCCTGCGTGAGCTCACCGTCCAGCCAAAGGTGTTTGCGTGAAATGAAGGCGGAAGGATGTGCCCCTGGGGTGAAAGGCCTCAGAAGCATCCAGGGTGGGCGAAGGGAAACGCTGAAAGCCACGTGTGCTCAGGATAGGCCTCACCTGCCTGGGGGCTGTCACTGTGGCAAACTGGGTCCTTCTGGTGACTCATCCTTGTTTTCCTGGGTGGAACTTGACTGCCAGCCCCACCCGTGGGGGCAAGGACAGCACCCTCCCAGCGAAGCAAAGCTCAACGGCCCGCCGGCGCCTCCTGGCCTGCCCCGACTGCAGACCCCGCCACCCGCTCCTCTGGAGCCCCTGCCCCTGCTGGCCTCCTGGGAGGCCAGGCCCTGGGGACATCCTTGTGGGGAGCCTGCAGGAAGAGTCCGGGGACTTGCTGTGTCCCGCCTCAGCCGCCAGGCGAAGCATCTTCGCCTCCCTTTCCAGACTGTGTGACTCTCCCCTTGGTCACTGTGGCTGACCTGGAGCACACAGCGGGTGCTGGGACCCAGGGGTCCAGGAGCCGCCATGCTGAGAAGTGATTTGTGGAGAGGACACTGGGAGTCCCTGACCCCGGGGCCTTCTGGGAGAACAAGCACCAGCCCCGCAGCCTCAGGGGCGCCCACAGGCCCCCAGGAACAGCTGCCCACCTTTGTGTCAAGCCTCCCGCACCCGAATCCAGGCTGGACCACCGACTCCTGCAGCTGCAAAGCAGCCCGGGGCGGCCTCCTGGAAGAGGCGGGGCCTGGTCAGGAGGGAACTGCATCCCGGTGCTCTCTCCCAGGGCAGCCGGTGATGGTAGCAGGCGCTTCATCTTCCTTCCAGAGAGAATTAGGATTCTTTATATTTTTATTAAATTAATTTTTTTTGAGATAGGGTCTCTCCCTCCGTGGCCCAGGCTGGAGTGCAGTGGCACAATCACAGCTACTGCAGCCACCACCTCCTGGCTCAAGTGATTTTCCCGCCTCGGCCTCCCAAATAGCTGGGACCACAGGGGTTCGCCACCACGCCTGGGTAACTTTTTCTATTTTTTGTAGAGATGGGGGTCTCACTATGTTGCCCAGGCTGGTCTCAAACTCGTGGGTTCAAGAAATCCTCTTGTCTCTGCCTCCCAAAGTGCTGGGAGTACAGGCATGAGTCACAATGCCTGGTCTGTGTTAACTATTTTTACTGGAGTTTCTGGGGCCTTAGTTTTTAAACATTACCGTGTCTTGTAGATATTTTAATGTTAGGATCTATAGCTGCATCGAATTCTTTTTTAAATAACAGTTGCCCCCAGTATAACAGAGCCACGGCTTAGATAGTGCCTCTTGCATGGAATGGAAACTTCAGCGCCCTCCAGCTTTTTGATATTACAGCTTTGCACATCTTTGACACACGTCTTCGTGCCCAAATCAGAGTATTTCTGTCAAAAAGATTCCTAAAAGTGAAATTTCTGAAAAAAGAGAAATGCTCACATATTTAACATTTTGGTTACCCCTGCCAACTGGCCCTCCTAAAGGATGGCACCAGTTTATACAGGATATAAGCGTATTCATTCCCCTACACCCTTGAAAACACTGACTTTTATCAGGCGTTTACATTTTTGCACCCTAATCTGGGTGGAGCCGGGTGGCATCTCATCACCGTGTTGAATTGCTTCCGTGGATGTTCCGTGGGGGGTCCTGTCACTTCCTCATCTGTGAATGGCCTGCTCAGGGCCTCTGCTCTTTTATGCTGGGTCTTTATGTGCTTGAGATGTTACTTTTTGCTTGTTACACCTATTGCAAATAGTTTGTCCTTCTCATCATTTGCCTTTTTTAAATCTTCAGTTAATGGTTGTTATGTAAATATTTTCACTTTTGAATAATTTAAATTTATACTTCTGCAATATTTCTCCACTCTAAGGCTGTAAACAAAATTACTCACGGTTTTCACTGAGGTGTTTTTCAGGTTTTCTGTCTCTCTCTTCCTCTCATTCCAAATGGTTAAGACATTATCCCAACGCTGCTGACTCCAAGCACTGGTTGGAACCACCATGCTGATGCCAGTGTTAAATTCACACACACAGACACACACACAGAGACACACACACACACCCACACAGACACACAGACACACACAGACACACTGACACACACAGACACACAGACACAGACACACACACAGACACACAGATACACACACAGACACACACACACAGACACAGACACACAGACACACAGACACACACAAGACACACACAGACACACACAGACACACAGACACACACACTGACACACACACACAGAAACAGACACACAGATACACAGACACACAGACACACAGACACAGACACACACACACAGACACACACAGACACACACACAGACACTCACACACACAGACACACACAGACACACACACAGAAACAGACACACACAGACACAGACACACACAGACACAGACACAGACACACACAGACACACAGACACAGACACACACACACAGACACAGACACACAGACACACACAGACACAGACACACATAGAAACAGACACAGATACACACACACAGAGACACACACAGAAACAGACACACACACACAGAAGCAGACACACAGATACACACACACAGACACAGACACACACACAGACACACAGACACACACAGACACACAGACGCACACACACAGACACACACAGAAACAGACACAGATACACACAGACACACACAGACACACACACACACAGACACAGACACACACAGACACAGACACACAGACACACACACAGACACACATAGACACACACAGAATTTGTAGGGTCCAGTACCTACCTCCTGCCTACAGAGCTTGATTTCTTTGTTTATTTTTCAGATTTCACTGTGAAGACTGTCACTGCAGTGGTGTTTGGTAGGTAATTAATTTATGGCTCTCTGATGGCAGGGTCCTGCGGCAGTGCAGTATGGCGTGAGACTGAGGACAACGGTGGGGCCAGGATTTTGAAATGGGAATGGCAGCTCTCAGGTTTCATTATACCGGCTTTCATTTATTCATTGCACACTGTGCGATAGGGCAGGCATGGCCCTCACGGTCGGTGCAGCTGTGGCATTTTAAGGCTCAGGCTGGAGATGGGGTGGGCACAGACAGAAGGCAGGGTGGTCGCTGGGTGATGCAGGACGCCCAGGGCTGCCCCAGCCTGCCCGTCTGACCTGATGGGGAGGACCCCTGCGTGTCACCCCACCTGGGCCCTGTGGTGCAGCCAGCAGAGTAAGGCCTTCGTCTTGTGATAAGCAAGAAAGTTGAAAAGCTGCGGGAACCCCAACACTTTCAACCTTGAGAAAGCTGTGGCTGTGATGTGAGTCACAGATGGTAGAACTTCTGTTTTCAGATTTAGATGAACTTGTTTTCTTATTTTTCTTGTCCCCCACAACCCTCCTTCTCCAAAATGAGATTTAGAAAACTGTACTTCCCAGGCCCCCCTGCTGCTACAGGCAGTCACGTGACTGGGCTCTGCCAATCAGAAGCTCAGGGTGAGACTTGCAGGGAGACTGAGTCCAGGAGACTCCAGCTGGCTTGGGGTGTGGCAGGTTCCAGGTGGTTCTGGGGCTGTGGGCCAGTCCTTCATAGGGTATAGTTAATTGGAGGTCTCTAACAGGCACCTATGGGTGTTATCAAATTCTTTTAGCTTAATAAAAACCCTGGCCAGGTGCGGTGGCTCACACCTGTAATCCCAGCATTTTGGGAGGCCGAGGCGGGTGGATCACTTGAGGTTGGGAGTTCAAGACCAGCCTGACCAACATGAAAAAACCCTGTCTCTACTAAAAATACAAAATTAGCTGGGTGTGGTGGTGCGCACCTATAATCCCAGCTACTCAGGAGGCTGAGGCAGGAGAATCACTTGAACCTGAGAGGCAGAGGTTACAGTGAGCCGAGATTGCACCATCGCACTCCAGCCTAAGCAACAAGAGCGAAACTCTGTCTCAAAAAAAAAAAAAAAAAGAACCCTAAAGAACATTGCAGTCAGGGCTCATGAGCTGCTTGCTTGAGCCTGCTCTCACTCTGTGGAGTGTACTTTCATGTCAATAAATCTGTGCTTGTGTTACTATGCCTTTTGGTTGCTTTGTTTGTGTGTTTTGTTCAATTCTTTGTTCAACATGCCAGGAACCTGGAGAGCTTACAGTCAAGACCTTCCATCCAGTAACAGTGATGATGATGCTGGTGGTGATGGTGTTTTGTAACTGTGCTTCTCAGACTCTGCCACACATGTGGGCCATGGGGACCTTGTGAAACGATGGGTTCTGGTTCCATTCAGACTCTGCTGTGCGTGTGGGTCGTGGGGATCTTGTGAAACCTTGGGCTCTGGTTCCATGGGTCTGCTGGGCTCACACGTCGCCATTTCTATGGAGCCTCAGCTGCTGCTGCTGCCACCTGCAGCAGGACCTGCAGAGCAAGCATTGATTGGCCAGGTTCTGCCCTGTGAGAAAGCCCCCAGGGTTCTGTGAAGCCTGAGATGCTGATCTTGGGCTGGGCTTTCAGGAGTCCCTCCCAGACATGCGCCACAGACCTGGCCAGTCAGAGTGCTCACCTCTGCCACCATCCGTGGTGGCCGGGGCCCCAAGACTGTGCCACCTTTGCCACACCAGGAACCGCCCTCTGAGTGCTGGCCCTAGAACAGATTGAAGAATTGGCTCTAGCAGTGCCTGGAAGGGCTCCACAGACAGAGTGCTGTGAAGACGATGTTGCTGATAGCGGCTATGCTCTGCCACGTCACGATGGCACCATCACCACAGTGCTCGCCTATGTGTGTAAGCGCAGCTCCCCCGGGGGCCAGCTGGTACAGCTGATGTCAGCCTTTGAGGAGGAGGTGTTAGTCCTGTTGGCCCTCCCCCAGTTTCCTGTGGACTTGGGGGCGCCTGGATGCTTATTTCTGTGGCCACACATGGGCTGCATGCACGGTGCAGCACATCTGGCTTGAGCCTCATCCCACGCTCAGTTCGTTATCAATTTCATGCAGAGACCGGTAGTCACAGCAGCTGCACAACTTTCCCGGGGCCTGCCACGGGTCTCATGACGTGAGTGCGGTGCTTCCTGCCCATGATGCTCACCAGGGCCTGTGGCCCTCAAGGTGCCGAGCTGCCCACACCTGCAGGTGATGAGACAGAGGCCCGGAGATCTGCAAATCGGAGGACTGATCTGACCCAACATTTTCCAGGCCAGCACTGAAAGACTGAGGATCCCCCAGGTTCTCGAGGTGTGGAGGGAGTGCTAGCCACGTGGCCAAGTAGAACCCACCGATTCCAGAGTCAGTCCCTGGGGTGCTTACATCCTGGATGGCTCCTGGGGCTGCTGCCCAGCACCCTTCTTCAAGTCCTGCAGCCCACCAGGCAGCGACTGCTCCCAGCCTGGCGCTGAACGTGGGCCCAGGAGGAGCAGAGGCTGTGGAACCAGAGAGGAGGGCTGGACCCCGTGGTACCACTTCACAGCCGAGTATCCCTGGGCAATCCCTGGGCAAAGGCCCTGATTTTTTCTTGGCTTCATTTGTTTACCAATAAAATGGGGATGATCACAGTTCTGCCTCATAGTGTCATGTATATGTATTTGATATAAAGTGTAACGTGGTGCCCAGCTGTAAGTGCTCAGTTGTGCTTCTTATTGATATCCTCATAACGTATTGTTACTGCTGCTGTTACAATTGCTCCAGGGCCATGTTACGATTAAGGAAAAACCCTGAGGACCAGAGGAGTTAAACCAGGCTCTTCCCCGGCAGGTGGCACCCACCGCCGAGCTTACCTTCGCATCTCACAGGCAGAGCTTCGGCAGTCCACCCTGCTGCCTGAGCTGTGAATTAGAGGAGTGAGGTCCTTGGTCATGTACCAAAGACTAAAAAGGGCTTCTTGGCCAGGCGCAGCGGCTCATGCCTGTAATCCAAGCACTTCGGGAGGCTGACGCAGGCAGATCACTTGAGGTCAGGGGTTCAAGACCAGCCTGGCCAACATGGTGAAACCCCATCTCTACAAAAATTAGCCAGACATGGTGGCAGGTGCCTGTAATCCCAGCTACTCAGGAAGCTGAGGCAGGAGAATCGCTTGAACCCGGGAGGCAGAGGTTGCAGCGAGTGTAGACCACACCACTGCACTCCAGTCTGGGTGACAGAGTGAGGCTCTGTCTCAAAAAGATAAAGAATAAAAATAAAAAATAAAAAGGGCTTCTCAGTATAATGTCTGGTTCTGAATGCTGACGAAGAAAAGACATCAAAGGGGAATTCTATCTGGAACGTTCTAAGTATTTCAAAGCTAAGTACCCACGGGTTATTGCCCATAGGCTATTTTGAAGTTCTTGAGCTATTGGCCTCTCCATAGTCAATTGTTAATTAAATGTATCAGCATAATTGTGTCAACTTCTGAACTCACACTCACTTTTTTATATCCCTCATCTTATCTCTGGATCACTTTCTTTGAAGCAAATTCTGAATAGTTCTTTTGGGCAGGGTCTGTGATGAGTAAACTGATTTTTTTCATTAATAGTTCCTTTAGCCTGTTCTCTTGGATGAGCGTTTAACTGAATTTAAGATCCTGTGTTTACAGTAATGTTCCGTTTGCATTTTACATATATATTATTACTCCATTGTCTTCTGTCACTGAATGGTACTGTCAAGGCAAATTTATAGGTTGTCTTTGCTTTCCAGAGGCTTTTCTTGTTTGTTTGTTTGAGACAGTTTCACTCTTGTAGCATGCTCTTGTAGCACAGTCTCAGCTCACTGCAACCTCCACCTCCCAGGTTCAAGGGATCCTCCCGCCTCAGCCTCCCAAGGGCTGGGATTACAGGCACCTGCCACCACACCCGGCTAATTTTTGTATTTTTAGGAGCGACAGGTTTCACCATGTTGGCCAGGCTGGTCTCGAGCTCCTGACCTCAGGTGATCCACCTGCCTCAGCTTCCCAAAGTGCTGGGATTCCAGGAGTGAACCATCACGCCCAGCCTGCTTTCTAGAGGCTTTTATCTTTATTATTGACGTTCTGCTCAACACCTACTAGAACACGGGTTTGTAGACATTGTTGTGTATGTGTGTGTGGGGTATTTGCAAGAACATGCAAGTGTGTCTCTATAGATATGATTCTGACTTGTCCTTTTGCTTAATGCATGGTAAGCAACATTTTCGGTTAATTCAGATAGACCCACGTTTATTACCGATGTCCACTGTCCCACTCAATGGGTGCACCTTAACTTAGTGCTTCTTTTATTACAAGACAATTATGCTGTGTCTACTCTGACATGATCAAAATTAGGGAAATAAATGTGTTAGCACATATGTCTATAGTTTAGACTTATAGAATGGAGTCACTCTGAGGGCAGACACTTTCTTTTTCATTAGCATATCGCACAGCGCCTGACTGGTAGAAAGTTCCCAATAAAGACGTGCTGGGTGAATCAATGAAAGGGTGTACTCAGCCATTTAGAATTTTTTAGACAATGCCACTATTGCCCAACAGTCCATGAGGTCAGAAGAACAACAACCAGCAATTCCAGGGCCCCTCTTGCAAACAGATACAGATTTCTGCAAGAAAGCTGGAACCGTTCTTTTGCAAAGTGAGGCCTGACTTCCATGATTATGAGGCGGCCACACACCTACGGAGTCAGCCTTGTCTTTCCCTCCTATGGCTGCGGAGAGCTGCCCGACACCGTGCGCTACTTAAAAAGCTCCAGGAAATGTCTTCAGGTTCTAGCAAAATTATGGAGCAGAAACTCTGAAAATCCTTTCACTTCCAGCAACAATAAATACTGAAAAACATACAAAGATGCATTTCCAGGCTCTCAAAAGAACACATCTTCAGGAGCCCCAAATAGGGAGGGACCTGGACAAGGGATCAGTCTACATGGGTTTGGATCATAATCCCAAAAGACACAGGACGGAATGCCATAATCTAAACTCCTAAAGTCTAAAATCTCTAACATCTAAAATCCCAAGAATCCCAATCACAGGACAGTTGCACCATGTTAGACAGCACTGTTTCCTTGTTCTTGTCCCTTTTTTTTGGAAATTAACTGTGATTTCAGGAGGAGACGGGTATGGGTGCCAAGTTGACAAGGGGTGAACTTGTGGACCTAACTTTAAGTGTCAACTCAACTGGATTCAGAAATACCTGGAAACCTGGTGACACATTATTCGGGGTGTGTGTGAGAGGCATTTCCAGAGGAGATCAGCATGTGGGTCTGAGTGGTTTGTATGGGGAGGATCTGCTGTAATGTTGGTGGGCACCGGCTAATCCACGGATGCCCTGGAGAGAACAGATACAGAAGGTGAATTGTCTCCCTGAGGGCTGGGACAGACCTCTTCTGCTGCCTTGAACACAGAACCCCAGGCTCTCCAGCCTTTGGAGTCCAGGACTTTTACACCAGTGGCCCCCGGCTTCTCAGGTTTTCAACTTTGTAGTGAGAGTTACACCTGTCCCCTCCCATCCCGCAATGGGTCTTGAGGCTTTCGGTTTGAGCCACACTACTGGCTTCCCACAGTCTCCAGCTTGCAGACAGCCTGCCATGCGACTTCTCAGCCTCTGTAATCATGTGAACCAGTTCCCCTAATAAACCCCTCTCATATATCCATACCCAGAACTTATTGGTTCTGTCTCTCTGGAGAACCCTGACTAATACAGACTTTGTATTGTGGAAGTTGAATACTGTTCCTTCTTACTGTATTTCTTACAACACAATGGAAGAGATCTGTGGAATCATTCCTTTGCAAAAAGGCTGCAATAAGTGTATTAAGCTACTTAATGGTGAAAGATAATAGTTTAAAAGCTAATTATTATTGGCACTGCAATTAAGCAGAAAATTGCTTAATTGCAACAAACAATAATAAGACCTTCAAATAGACAGCATATATCTGCAAAATTCGTAGACCACCACCACTCTCCAGATACAAGTGCAGCAAGTGTTTTGAAGACAATAGAAGTGAAAACTCAGGTGAAAAATACAAGAAATCTCCCAAGTCACATTATCCATTCAGGCCTGACTTCTGCCCCTTCACACACAGCACCAGGCTTGCCTTCAAAAAATGCCCTTGGGCTGGGCGCGGTGGGTCACGCCTGTAATCCCAGCACTTTGGGAGGCCGAGGCCGGTGGATCACGAGGTCAGGAGATGGAGACCATCCTGGTTAACACGGTGAAACCCCGTCTCTACTAAAAATACAAGTAATTAGCTGGGCATGGTGGCAGGTGCCTGTAGTCCCAGCTACTCAGGAGCCTGAGGCAGGAGAATTGCTTGAACCTGGGAGGTGGAGGTTGCGGTGAGCCAAGATAGTGCCACTGCACTCCAGCCTGGGCGACAGAGTGAGACTCTGTCTCAAAAACAAAACAAAACAAAAACGCGCTTCATCAGAGAATAAAGCGAATTCGACAAGCTCAGCGAGCTTCGGAACCAAGGAGGTTTGCTCTTTGCCACTGGGGTTCCTCCAGTGACACAAACACACTGCATGGTGAGAGATTATTGATTAGGGATTTGACTGTTGAAGAGGATAGACTTCTTATATTTACCACTAAATCTGACATAGAAAGACTGGCGCATGCTTCACTTCGACTAAAGACGGCACTTTCAAAACTGTTCCCACTGTTTTCTTTCAACTATATGCAATTCAAGTCCCTGTTGGATCTGAAAATTCTAGAACTTTATCTCCTCATTTGTGTTTCAATGACAGGAAAAAGTGAAGCACTTTATGAATGCTTGTTTGAAGATTTGGTGGACTGTGCAGAAGAGAATAGATTTCGATGGAATCCCCAAACCATGATGATAGACTGGGAACGAGCTGTGACCAGGCTCCTACAAGTTGCCACACGCACTCCCACTCCCAGGTGATGGCCTGAGTATTTATGATTGCAAAAATATGGAAGTTCTTATTGCCTGTTTTATTGCGTAAAGTGGCTGAGGAAGTGTTCTGCCATGTTTTTATGCGTTTCTCAAACAAGTCCCCCTTAAAAATGTGAATAAATATCTTTAAAATAATTACAATATTTTTCCAGAATTGTATTTTTGAGATTTTGATCTTTTGGGATTTCAACATTTGGGATTATGGCATTTGGAGTTGTGTCTTCTGGGATTATGATAGGCAACCAGTCAGTACAGAAGCCAACACAGCCATCACCTGGGAGTGGGGGTGCATGCGGCAACCGCTTTCATCACCTTGGTGAAAAGATGGCTTGAGTTCTAAGGAGGAAAGGAGGTGAGGGTTAGGATACAAGCAAAGTTAGAAATTGGAATTGAATGGCTGGGCACTGTGGTTCACTCCTGTAATCCCAGCACTTTGGGAGGCTGAGGTGGATGGATTACAAAGTCAGGAGATGGAGACCATCCTGGGTAACATGGTGAAACCCCGTCTCTACTAAAAATACAAAGAAAAAAAAGAAAAGAAAAGAAAAGAAATTAGCCGGGCATGGTGGCACATGTCTGTAGTCCCAGCTATTTGGGAGGCTGAGGCAGGAGAATGGCTTGAACTTGGGAGGCGGAGGCTGCAGTGAGCTGAGATAGTGCCACTGCTCTCCAGCCTGGGCAACAGAGCAAGACTCTGTCTCTAAAAAAAAAAAAGAAAGAAAGAAACGAGTTGAAAGCCCCACATAAAGCCTTAACTTTCAAGACTACAACTTCAGTGAAAATGTGGTCCAGAAATATTCTATCTAACAGCATGGGAGATGAGAAGGAAGCTTGGCTCTTTAACCCTGGGAATGAGGAGTGAGAAATGTCCCCTCCTATGGATCAGGATGGAGGCCCTCAAATTGGTTTAGGATTTAGGTCACCCCACCTTTGATGAACCCCAAGCCGAGCCTTTAATACAAAAAGTGGCCCTGGGCAAGTGACAGTTTCTGGAAAACCAGAAAAGCAAACAGTAAGGCTCAGAAGGGAAAACACAGCTGCAAGCCAGGCCCACCTGCATGAAGACCAGGTCCAGGGTTCCTGATTTCCAGTCTTTTGAAGCCAATAGTATCTCTACATTTAAAGAAGTGAGAAGGCGTAAGGTGTGTGACTAACGAACAATCAAAATGAACTACCAGACTGTCCTGGAGGAATTTTAAAAGAGCTGATGAAACACTAAGAGTCAGAGGCACAGAGAATTCCCAGCAGGGTGAGGGAAAAGGAACTCTTCCACAGACTCCGAAGAGATCTCAATAACAAAGCTCTCCCTGTAGCCTCCAGGGCATCCCACACCCTGGGATGGCAGCGTGACGGCCGGCGTTCCAACGCCAGCTGCGGAAGCCAGAGACAGTGGCCAAGGGGTTGGCGCACACCCACCGCTGCAACAAAACACATGTGCACGATGGCTCCAATGGGAAAGAAGCCCCTCTCACAGACACTCGGAAGTGAGCATTCCTAATCAGGTCACCCTCCTTCCACCCGTCGTTCCGACACGTGGTATCTGAGGCTGCCAGGCCGAGATGGGGTAGGGCCAGGCCAGGGGAGGCACATGTGTCTTCTCCCCCGTTCCACTGGCCAAACTCAGACACAGGGGAGCACAGACTGCAAGGCAGGCTGGGAACGGAGCCCGTTCACCTGCCAGGGAAGAACAGGACGTGTGTGGAAGGGCAGTGAACATCGCCTGCCGCGTCTAACATCTTCAAAATGCTGAAATACAAGCACTGCCTACCTGGAAATGAACACTCAACACAACTATCTTTGAAGATTTAGATTAAAATAAGACATTTTTAGACCTAGAGACCTGAAAGAGATCTCTACCAACAGAAGCTTTTCCAAAGATGTTTTAAAGAATGACCTCCAGAAAGAATGGAATTCACCTAGCCCAAAATCTTCCAGTGTAGAGATGAATCTGAGCAAAGAAAACACGTGACTAAAAGGAGGCAAACGTGAACTCTGATCACAATGATAACATCCAGTTTATGTTGTTAAAAAACCAAAATAGAACTTTAATATTGGCCAATAACAGCATAACCGTCAAAAGAGGGTGACCAGAGTTAAAAAGCTCTAAAGTTTCTATGTTTGTTTATTTTTTTATGGGAAGATACTGAATAGTAATGTTATACTTTAAGTTACAAAATTTACTTTATATATTTATTTATTTTTGAGACAGGGTCTTGCTCTGTCACCCAGCCTGGAGGGTTGTGGCGATCATAGCTCACCGCAGCCTTAAGCTCCTGGGCTCAAGAGATCCTCCTGCCTCAGCCTCCTGAGTAGCTGGGACTACAGGCATGTGCCACCATGCCTGGCTAACAAAATTCACTTTAAAATGTCTAAGGTAACCATGAAAATAATGGAAATGGAGAATATGTCTTCCGAAGTAGGAGAGAAAAAGAGGGAACTTAAAAATGGATAACTTGGGATAAACCAAATGCAGAAAATAAAGTGAACATAATCCACATACATTAGTTATCACAAAAATACTAAGTGGATGGACTTTGAGAGTTAAAAGACAAAGATTGTCAAACTAAATAGAACAACACTAACAACAACACAATATCTCTATAGGATGTTTAAATAAGAAATATCTAAAACACAACTTACAGAAAGGTTGAAAGTCACAGAATGAAAAAAAAAAACCTCCAGGCAAATATTGACCGAAAGGAAACAACTGTGCCTCTGAGGCTGGCACTGGAGATATGTGAGTATTTTCAGTGGATCAGATGAGGGCCCCATGGAGAGAAAGTCAGCCTGGGTTCTTCTTGCAACCTGGTCAATAGGCTGCCCTCAGGGAGAGGGACTGGAGCACAGAAGGAGGAGACGGATGCAGGAGTCATCTGGCTTCTGGAGGATTCTCAAGGGACCAGGTGGAATAGAGACACAGCAGGCCAGGTTCAAGAGAACTGCAGGAGAGGCCTCCACAGAAACACCCATCAGACTATGGCTCCGTTCTAAACACTTGACTAGCTTGGGGTGTGGTCAGCTTCTGACACGGGTTCGAGTAGTGAAATCTTTGATATCTCTTCACATGCTGACCCCTCTCAAAGTGATTGGCAAGCTAGAATGCAAAAGGAGAGACACAGGAGGAGGAAGAGACACACCACATGCTGCACACTCACATACACAAAGCACACACACCTCCCACTGCTGGCTGCCAGCCTGATGCCAGCCCAAGCTTGAGGCAGTGAGCTGTGCGTTTCTGAAAGCGGAGGACGGTGGGCTGGTTGGAGGACGACGGGCTGGGCAGAGGATGACAGGCTGGGTGGAGGACGACGGGCTGGGCGGAGGTCAGCAGTCTGGGTGGAGGACAAGGAACCGGGTGGAGGCGAAGTGGCTGAGGTGCAGACTCAGCAGGGGCAGGAAGGGCCCTGGGGGTGAATCAGGGACAGCAAAGGCATAGAGGAGGGAGGACGGCTGCAGCTCCTGCACCAGCTCCTACCATCTCCATGGCGTCTAGGAATCCAGCGGAGAGGGCCGCAGGGTGCTGAGGCAGGTGGGGTCTGTGTGCGAGGGCTGCTTGTGGTCAGGGACAGTCACGCATTTGCTCCTTCAGAGCATGGACTGAAGAAGGATCCCAAGTCGCCCTCTGTGGGGTGTGCCAGGCCACCTGCATGGCCCAGTGGGGAAGACGGCTGCAGGTACACAACGTGCTCCCTGAGGAGTCTCTGTGCTCCCCAGCAGCCTCCGGGGCAGCACCCACAGTCCTGACTTCTTGCAGATGTGGCAGGAAGTCTTCAGATCCCCTTGGCATTTGATGTTTCCTTTGCTTGTCTGCTCTGAGCTCTGCTGTATCTCCCTCTTGGTCCTCACAGCCATTGACAAGGTGGCAAGCACCGTCTCATCTGCTGCCCCACACGTGGAGATGGGGGAGGCCCACACCCATTGATTAGCACTGCTGGGACTAAGTCTTTTGGACCAACCAGGTTGTCCACACGTCGCTGTGCCACACCACTGATCCGGGGCCTCCAGACTTGGCATCCTGCTGCCTTTTCCTAGACGCTATCTTTGAGACGTCACAAACACTCCACCCAACCCAAGCCCCACCACACGGGCAGTAAGTCCCCGCTCCCCCACGTTCACAGAGACCAACCTTCCCACCTCCCCAGCACAGGCACCCACACCCAATCTTGCGCTCTCTCTGGCCTTTGCTGCTTTTGTAAGCGGTTCACTGAATGCATGTGAACCACGTGGGACACAATCTCCCGACATTCCCTCTTTCCCTTCAAGGCTGCACTGTGAGTCCCTGCACTGTTGATCACCCTCATCTTCATGTGAACCCGAAAGAATTCATCTCCACAGTGGCAAAAACTCACCTCGCATGTGCCTGGACCACATGGGCACAAACATTCTCCAGTCAACAGGCATTTTGGTTGCTGTTTCCTCCATTTTCGGTTTCTTTCATTTTTCTTCTTTGTATTGGTTTTTGATTTGAGACAGGGTCTCACTCTGTCACCCAGGCTGGAGTGCAGTGGTGATCACAGCTCACTGCAGCCTCGAACTCCTGGGCTCAAGCGTTCCTCTCACCTCAGCCACCCGAGTAGCTGGGACTATAGGTGCCACCACCGCGCCAGGCTAATTTTTAATTTTTGGTAGCGATGGGGCCTTGTTGTGTTGCCCAGACTGGTCTGGAACTCTCTGCTTCAAGTGATCTTCTGCCTCAGCCTCCCAAATTGCTGGGATTACAGGTGTGAGCCACCGCGCCCACCCATTGTTCTGTTTGTGTTGCATTTTTGTGTTTGCGTTTGTGACACCGCTGTCACTAATGCCATGGCCCAAGAGTAAAACCACTGCAGGAAAGGAGATGTTATGTCCAAGGCTACAGACGAGGGGCTGCTGCTTTCTGCACCAGCCCTAACACTCACGGTCCTCTTGGCTGGGATCAGGAGACACAGCTGCGGGTGGACAGCCCCGCTGCTCCAGAGACCGCTGGGCACACAGGCTTCTGGCCCAGGGCCACTGGAACTCAGCCCGGGGCAGGCGGATGGAGGGTGCTGGGTCAGGGCTGAGGTTTGAGTTGCTTCTCAGAACTGGGAGAGGAACCTGAGAACTTTTCAAAATATCATGGGGTGCAGATTTGGACACTGGGTGTGGGGCCAGAAAGGATTGGAATGAGTAGGACCCACAGACCCAGGGGAGGTGGAAAGTTCTCCTGCAGGCCTGAGGGCTGGCCCAGCCTGGTTCACAGGAGTCCCTGAAAGTGGGGGCCTGGTCTGTCCCCGGAGAGGGAGCCCCTCTTCCTCCACAGTGCACCTTGGGGGTGTCCAGCCTATTCGAAGACAGTTGCTCTGGCCTTGGCCCGTGACCGCAGCCCCAGGATCTTCTCCAGGCGGCTCTGGCACACCCCACCAGGGAAGAACATCAAGGTGGGGGCTCCTGGACCACCAGGGTGCCCTCTGCCTGCCCCTCTCAGCTGCCTCTGGGGCTTGGCTGGGCCCTCACTCTACAGCTGAGTTAAAGGAAAATGTTCCGGGTCAGCCTTGTCAGACCATTTCCTCCCCAGGAGGCAGACTACAGGGGGGTGCGGCCAGACCTATGGGCAGGGAGAGGGGCCGGGAGGTGAGGTGGGGAGGGCCTTTGGGACCTGCACCTCTTCACTGCGTCAGCACGGAGACATGACTGAGGCCCTGCAGGAAGTGAGTTCCGGGATTTGCTTCCAGGTTTCAAGGTCAGGGCATCTGGGAAGCCGCAGAGTCTAGAGCAAGTCCAGGGTGCTGGTCCTGGCACCTCCACACCTCAGCTGCACCCACAGTGTCCTCTGGATGGGAGGGGCCTTCTGGGGTCCTCTGGGGCCCCAGCCTCCTTGTGGGTGGGCTGAGGAGGGATGGGAAATGCTGGCTCATGGCCACAGGTTCAGAAACCCCTAGAACAGATGAGAACAGACCCAGCTGATGGGAGAGGGGAGGGTGCCCACAGGCAGGGACGGGCAGGAGGACTGTCCAGCGTGCCCGGGCAGATTGCACCACCACTCCAAGGACGTGCTGGGAAGTCCGATGGCATCAGCCTGCCCAAGGCCAGCTCTGACATGACAGCGGGAGGCACACGGGGACACACAGCACATCACAGCTGCTGAGGGGCTGAGGCCTTTGAGATTCCCGAGGAAGAACAGGGAGTGGGGAACTGATTAAAGTAAAATGAAAAACAACAAATGGGTCTTTGCCCTCCCCTGTGAAAACCCTCCCAGCACCTTGTCTGGCTCCCCCCAGCCCCTAGCCCAGGCCTCGCGCCCCATTGCTGCCCACTCCTGGCCAGGCCTGACCTCCTGTGTCCCGGGCTGGAAGACCCTTCCCCTGACTGCACTGGCGGCTGCCTTTGGCTTCCCCTTCAGCTTCGCCCCCCAGCGAATTCCCCACTCAGCCTTGCAGTGCCCGCCACGGCCCCTCCTGCCGTTGGAAGGACTTGACTCGGGTATTAAAAACATAATCAGCAGTCAGAGGCCACAGTCTACACGTTCCCCGAGCAATCACCCGCTGAAACGCAAGCCGTCTTCATGTCCCCACACCCTGGCTCCAGTCACCAGCAAAATGCAGCAAGGTGGCCTCTGGACGTCCCTGTGAGCATGACCCAGAGAAAAGGAGCCAACCGGCGGTCCCCAAGTTAGCCGGCAAGCTCTGCAGCCCTGACGAGAATGCGGAGGGGTGACTGCCAGTGAGGGGACAGAGGGGACAGACTGCCGCACTTGCTCCCTCTGCTTTCTGGGCCACATGGTGACTGCAGCCAGGCGGCATCTCCCACTTGGCTGGAAGTCTCCCACCGCGGTCGGCCCTTTCTGCCTGTGGGATGGTGCAAGTTGAGAGGTTTCCTAACTTGGTCTCACTTCATTGGACACAGGCAAGATGATGGGGTCCACACAGACACTGTCTTGCTTGTGAGAGCTTTGCCTGGGGACTCTGCAGTGCTGTGCGGGGTGGGATGCACACCCTCTCTGGGCCCGTGGAGTCCTGGGGACATGCAGCTGTGTGAGCCGTGGGTATGAAAGGGCCCCTTCCTCTAGGCTGGCCCCGGGCCACAGCTACTGCAGGGCAGTCCAGCCCCACTCTGGCCTCGGCTGGTGTGGCGGTACACAGGCTCTGACCTGCATCAGGGTGCCCCAGGGCACCATTCCCAGGGCATCAGGAACCCTGTCATCCTCCCCCATGGCCAGGTGCCGCCCCCCTCAACTTGGAGTGAGTGCCTTTCCAAGGGAGGGTGGACAGGCAGTGCCAGGTGCCACTGATCTGTCCTCCCAAGGGAAGGCGGGGGCCCTGGCGGGCAGCATCAGCAGGGAGGGGCAGGCAGCTCAGGCCTGGCACGGCAAGCGACCAGGCGTGTTCTCCTACCCAGGGGTCTAGGCTGAGGGTCCCTGGGGCTTTGGCGGGTCCCCCTGGAGTCTCCAGGCTCTGACATCGGAGGGTTGGAGTCAGAGGAGCTGAGACAGAGCCCAGCGGAGCAGATCTCGGGATTTTCTGGTCCTTGAAACTGGAAAAGGCCACAGCATGTAGAAGCCACTGCGGGGCAGCAGGAGGGGTGTAGTCTCCCTGGGGCCGGGGCTGCTCGGCCTCAGGCTGGGCCACTGGGCTCAGGGCTTGGAGGGCACATCTGAAGGGTGCTGAGGAGTGAGAGATCTGCGGTCCCTCTGACCCACTGGGGGACGTGAGGCCGGGGACCGCACACCCTGGACCTCAGTTTCCTCCTGTGGAATGGGGACAGTGACAGCAATGCTCCCTTCCTGGGACTGCTGCAGGCTTCCGTGAGACAACATGTCACCAAACCGCAGATCCCCCTGCAAGGTTCGGTGCCTGGTGTGTGGCTGCTGGAGGGAGTTCATGGGACAGTGGGGACCCTGAGAACGGCCCTCAACTCAGTCGTCACAGGCCCCTTATGGCTCTATGAATCTGAACTACGGACAACACGTTTTAGGACAGAAAAGGGGGATGTGAGCTGCTGGCACAGGGCCCCTGCCCGGATGAGGACAGACTCAGGCAAGCACTGCTCGTCTTCCAGCCTGGGTGTGGCTCCCAGCACCCGGCCTCTCATGGTCTCCTGGGTATTCCCAGCTCCTTAGCAGGACCAGTGAGGTGAGCCCAGACCCGGCCTCGGACATGTTTTCATCTCCTTCCATGCCACCTTGTGCCTCTGGGGACTCACAGAATTGCCCCGAGAGGACTGAGCCCCTCACAGGGAAGGGCCCCTGCGGGCTCTTGTTCCCGCTCCTTGCACCCAGCATAGGGCCTGGAAGAGGAGGTGAAATACCATTTGGTAATTCGGGAAGTACAGCCCTCTGCCCTTCCTTCCTGTGTGGGACCTTGCTCCAGGCAGATGAGTAATCCAAGGTCCAACCTTTGCGTCCAATTCAGCATGCTAGGAACTTGAAGTTGTTAATTCATCCTAACATCAAGTAAAAAGGAAAAAACTTCCCAAAATCAGCAACTCTTCTTAGATTCCCAGGAGAAGTGAGACCACACAGCAAACTGCCACCCCCAAGACTGGAGAGTCAGACAGGTGAAAATGGAGAATTGCCACTCACCAAGGGCAGGCTTCTTGAGGGCTAGTGACAAGAAAAAAAATCCAGAGCAATCCCAGAAGAGCTTCTGGGGCTCAGTGTGCACAAGCGTAAGAGCTAAGGTCAGTCAGGAACCCGGGCACTCACTTATGTGAGTTTCACCTCCAGAAGCTCTACGAGGTGCTCACCGCAAATATCAGAAAAGCTCGTCTATGTCAGGCAGCAAGAGAAAAAGAATGGTCATTATGAAATACACCAGAGCATTCTGTTCTTTAAAAGGCCAGCCTTTCAGAGAGACTGTCTTGCCAGAGCCTAAGCTGCTGGGTTTTATCAGAGCTGAACTATCTGGGAAAGAAGAGAGACATCCAACCCCAGTCCGTGTAGCGTGCCACATGTGAGAAGAGCCACACACAGCCCCAGCCCTTACTGCTCAACCTGTCTATTTATGTCAAGGAAACACTGAGAAGCCCTTGTAATGTTCACGGGTTGGGGACACAGGCTCACTGAAAGACTCAGACCTACTCACAGGACCACAACACACTCCCCTCTCCGCACACCTTACCTCTGCATCATCAAAGGCACCTATTTGCAGCAGTTTCTTTTATGCAGTATATTATGTCTGGGGCTTAATAAAAAATGATACGGCATACTAAAAGGCAAAAGCCAAGGTTTGAAGTGATGGAGTAAATACTACAAGGAGGCTCAGATATGGCAGGGACCTGGAATGATCAACTGGGAATTTTAAACAACAGTGATTAATACGCTAAGGACCCTCATGGAAAAGTAGACAACACGCAAGACCAGATGGGGAATGTGGACATCCAGATGAAAATTCAAGGATGGGTGAAAAAAGAAATTCTGGAGATCAAAAACACTGTGACAGAAACAAAGCGTGCCTTAGATAGGCTTATTAGTGGACCGAACACAGCTGAGGAAAGAATCTCCGAGCTTGAGAATATGTCAATGGAAACTGGAAGCTGAAAGGCAAAAAGAAGAAAACGGAACAGAATACTGAGGACTGTGAAACAACTACTGCTGGTGTAACATACACATAACGGGGACATTGGAAGGAGGAAAAAAGAAAGGAACAGAAGAAACATTTGAATCAATAATGATTAATGTCAGACACCAAACCACAGATTCAAGCAGCTCAGAGAACACCAAGCAGAAAACAAAACAAAACAAACGTCTCCACCTAAGCATATCATACTCAAACTTTGGAAAAATCAAAGATGAAAAAGAAACCAGGGGTTGGGTGGGGGACACCTTATCTATATAGGAGTAAAGCTAAGAATTACATGTGACTTACCCTCAGAAACCATGCAAGCAAGAAGACAGTGGAGGGAAACATTTCAAGTGTTAGAAGAAAAAAGAAAATACATCAACCTAGAATTCTGCATCCTGTGAAATTATCCTTCAAAAGTGAACATAAATATTTTCTCAGGTAAATAAAAATTGAGGGGATTCGCTGCCAATAGAACTGACTTGCCAGAAATGTTTTTTAAAAGTTCTGCAGAGAGAAAGAAAATGATACAGGTCAGCAACCCTGAGCTACATAAAGAAAGGAAGAGCATTTCAGAAGGAATCAGTAAAGAGAAAATGAAGTCTTTTATTTTTTCTTAATCTTAATTGATCTAAGAGTTTGCTAAAACAAAACAACAACAATAAAAATAGGCCGGGCGCGGTGACTCACCACACCTGTAATCCCAGCACTTTGGGAGGCCGAGGTGGGCAGATCACCTGAGGTCAGGAGTTCGAGACTAGCCTGGCCAACACGGTGAAACCCCGTCTCTACTAAAAATACAAAAATTAGCTGGGCGTGGTGGTGGCACATGCCTGTAATCCCAGCTACTTGGGAGGCTGAGGCGGGAGAATTGCTTGAACCCGGGAGACAGAGGTCGCAGTGAGCCGAGATCACACCATTGCACTCTAGCCTGGGCGACAGAGTGAGACTCTGTCTCAAAAATAAATAAATAAATAAATAAATAAATAATAAAAATAAATAAATAAAAGCCAGAAAGTGTATTTGATGATCATAGTTATGTATATGTGAAATGAAGGACAGCAATGATGCAAGGGATGGGTGAGTGGAATTAAAAATATCTTATTATTTATTTATTTTGAGATGGAGTCTTGCTTTGCTGCCCAGGTTGGAGTGCAGTGGGATGATCTCAACTCACTGCAACCTCCGCCTCCTTGATTCAAGCATTCATCTTGACTCAGCCTGCTGAGAAGCCGAGATTACAGGCATGCGCCACCACACCTGGCTAATTTTGTATTTTTAGTAGAGACAGGGTTTTGCCATGTTGGCCAGGCTGGTCTCGAACTCCTGACCTCAGGTGATCCACCTGCATCAGCCTCCCAAAGTGCTGGGATGACAGACATGAGCCACTATGCCCAGCCTAAGAATATCTGATGATTATAAAGTGCTTGCATTACCTCTGAAGCTGTATAGTGTTATATGAAGGTGGAGTTGGAGAGATGAGTTTTAAGCGTATATTGCAAACTCTAGGGCAACCACTAAAGAAGTGAGACCCAGCCTCTAGAAAAAAAAAAAAAAAAGGAAATTAGCTATCAAGCCACGAAAAGAAATGGAGGAACCTTAAACGCATATTACTAACTGAGATACGTCACTTTGAAAAGGCTACAAACGGTGTCATTCCAACTATACAACATTTTGGAAAAGGCCAAAGCATGGTGATGATAAAAAGATCGGAGATGTCAGGGACTGGGGCAGGAGGGATGAGCAGGCAGAGCACAGGTTTTCTTTTCCTCTTTTTAAGACAGTGAAAATACTCCTAGGATCCTGCAAGGAGGGATACAAATTACATACATTTGTCAAAACCCACAGCATGTTGACCACCAGGAGGAGACCCCATGTGACTCCAGGACCCTGGTTGATAACAACGTATCGAGATTCCTCACATGGAACCAGTGCGCTCCTGTGGTGGAGGGTGTACCTGTGTCAGGGCAGGGGGTACGTGGACATTTTCTGCAGTTTTTGATCAATTTTGCAATGAACTAAATCTGTGGTATAAAAATAAAGTCTATTAAAAGAATCCAAGGCTCCCTCTCATCTCACGATAAGATAAAGTCCCCATCCATTTTACTCCTCTCAGCCCTGGAGAAAGGAGAGGCCAGGTCCCACCACCTTCCACCAGCATGGACCCCCAGTCCAGACCCCACGCCTTTTCTCAGCATCCTCAGACCAGCAGGACTTGCAGCAATGGGGAATTAGGCACCTGACTTCTCCTTCATCTACCTTTGGCTGGGGGCCTCCAGCCTTGACCTTCGCTCTGAGAGTCTCAGGCAGGTCCAGAGCCAGTTCTCCCATGACGTGATATGTTTCCAGAGCAGGTTCCTGGGTGAGATAAAAGGATTTGGGCTGAACAGGGTGGAGGGAGCATTGGAATGGCACTCAGGGCAAAGGCAGAGGTGTGCGTGGCAGCGCCCTGGCTGTCCCTGCAAAGGGCACGGGCACTGGGCACTAGAGCCGCTCGGGCCCCTAGGACGGTGCTGCCGTTTGAAGCCATGCCCCAGCATCCAGGCAACAGGTGGCTGAGGCTGCTGCAGATCTGGAGGGAGCAGGGTTATGAGCACCTGCACCTGGAGATGCACCAGACCTTCCAGGAGCTGGGGCCCATTTTCAGGTAAAGCCCTCCCTGGCCCTCGCTGGGAACACCCAGATCCCTGCCCCTGCTGCCCAGGACCCTGCCAGGCACTCAGCACTGCCATTCCCAGCAGGTCCCGGCACTCTGCATCCTTTGGAGGATGGGGAAGGAGTGCAGCACATGCTGGTCTGTGGTGCTGCCAGGGCAGGGGATAGTGCAGAGAAAACCCCAGCTCACTGCAGAGAGGGCAGGACTCAGAAGCACTAAAGTTGAAAGGTTCCAGGGAGCCAGCAGGAGGGCTTTAGCTGTGAAGCCGCTAATCCAGGAGCAGGGAGGGTGGACAGGAGACACTTTGGATTGGGACTGCAGGGTGGGGCCACGAGGGACATGACCCCGTCCAGCAGGGCCTCCTGCTTGGCCCCACAGGTACAACTTGGGAGGACCACGCATGGTGTGTGTGATGCTGCCGGAGGATGTGGAGAAGCTGCAACAGGTGGACAGCCTGCATCCCTGCAGGATGATCCTGGAGCCCTGGGTGGCCTACAGACAACATCGTGGGCACAAATGTGGCGTGTTCTTGTTGTAAGCGGCGAGTTGGGAGCTGAGAGCTGGGAGCAGGGTGGGCAGCCTGGGTGTAGGGGGGAGGCGAGAGAGGTAGGACCCAAAAGCACATCTGCCCTGGGCCCCTGTGGTGGGCAGTGAGGGTGAGCACCCGGCCCAGAGGACGGCCATCCTGTGGGGTCGCGTCTGCACTGTGGGTTGGGGAAGCAGGGCGGTGGTGGAGAAATGGGCACGGGCACCTCTGCAGAGAAGACGCAGAGCAATGAGCCCTTCTGTGTAGTGAGAACCCGCTCTGCACCAACCTCGGCGGCTGCTTTCTCTTGCGGTCTGGGGACTGTCCTTCCCATAGGTCAGAAAACTGAGGCCCTGAGAAGGGGACTTCCACTGGCCCAGGTCACAGGCTGAGTGCTGAGCCTGGTGTTCGCCGGGGCCACAGCCTCCCTCAGGGCGCTCAGGGTCCCTGCAGTCCTGGCAAACCTTCCTGATGGGGACAGTCCGGGGCAGGAGGCAGGTGGGGACGCAGGTGGCTGGTGGTTCCGTTGTTCTCAGAAGCAAGGCACAAGGTGGGGCGGTTGATGGCACTGGGGAGGATGTTTCCTGGCCCGTGGAGAGGGTGGCGCCTGGTCAGGTGGGCAGGGAGAGGCTGATGCTTGGAGTCGGTCACCTGCAGGGATGTTGTCATTAGGACGGGGGAAGGACTGGATGAGGATGTCACAGTGGTGACAGCCCCCACTCCATGGTAGGAAGGGAACGCTATTGGGAATAGTGGGGTTTAGGTAAAAGGGCACCCGTGGGTCGGGGCCTTCACTGAGGCTGGCCTATAGATGACATCTGGGAGAGAGTCAGGACCCAGGAAGGCAGGTCCAGGAGGCTGGGTGCGCATAATGGAAGGAAGGGGAGCGCTCCTGTATGTGTGTGTGTCTTGCATCTGTGCACATGCTGTGTGTTTCTCTGTACCTGCATTTGCACATGTGTAGTGTGTGCACGTGTCTGTGTGTGAATGTATGTGTGGTGTGTGTGCACAAGTGTCTGTGTGTGTGCATGTGCAGGTGCCGGCATGGGTGTAGTGTTTGTGCACACATGCACATGCGTCTCTTCACACATGGTGTTGAGGTCTTGCATGGGCGCACGTGTGCATGTGCATCTTCTGCCTGTCATCACTGTCAACAGCTCACAGCAGCCAGCTGGACATAAATAAAGGAGTTTTGCAGGAATGTGGCTGACAGGGGAAATTCCTCCCCACCATTCCCTGGGGGCATCCATGGAGCCCCCACGCACTCTGGCTGTGGGTGAGGATGGCATGAAGCACAAAGCTTGGTTTCTGTCCTGCAGAAGATATAGATGCTTCACAGAGACAGGCAGAGGCTGCTGCCCCAGAGGCACTGTGCCCAGGGCGGGGAAGGGTGGGGAGGAGAGGGCAGCCAGGGGCTCTCCCCTCAGGACACTGTGTGGGTGAGGTGGGCAAAGCTTGACAACAGGGGTCACCTCCTTTCTTGGAGAAAAGCCCTACCCTGTTACTACAGGGAGGGCCCGCATGGGTGAGGTGGTGCCAGACTTGGGTCGCCAGGTCCCGGGAATGACCTCAGTTACCCTGTCAGCACCTGTGGGCAGAAGCTACCATCTCATCCCTGCTTAGACCTGAGTGGCCTTTGCCCAGCACCTGGAGGCCGCTCTGAGAAAAGGCTGCAGCTCGAACACAAACAGGCAGCTTCTACCAGGGCCCCCAGTCAGCTCCCTGCAGGCCGATTCCCCTTGGGGACAAGGAGGATGGGATACGGGTCAGGGCCTGTGTCTTGCTGGGGCGGCCTCACAAGCTCTGCCCTGGCCTCTGTAGGAATGGGCCTGAATGGCGCTTCAACCGATTGCGGCTGAACCCAGATGTGCTGTCGCCCAAGGCCGTGCAGAGGTTCCTCCCGATGGTGGATGCAGTGGCCAGGGACTTCTCCCAGGCCCTGAAGAAGAAGGTGCTGCAGAACGCCCGGGGGAGCCTGACCCTGGACGTCCAGCCCAGCATCTTCCACTACACCATAGAAGGTGTGGGCCATGCGGGAAGGTCCAGCCCCAGAGACCCTGGAGTGGCCAGGGATGGGGATGGAGGACTGAAGGGAGTGTGGGGAGGCAGCCAGGAGGCCTGGGGCTGCCTTGTGCTCAGCAGTGCATCCTCCCCGCAGCCAGCAACTTAGCTCTTTTTGGAGAGCGGCTGGGCCTGGTTGGCCACAGCCCCAGTTCTGCCAGCCTGAACTTCCTCCATGCCCTGGAGGTCATGTTCAAATCCACCGTCCAGCTCATGTTCATGCCCAGGAGCCTGTCTCGCTGGATCAGCCCCAAGGTGTGGAAGGAGCACTTTGAGGCCTGGGACTGCATCTTCCAGTACGGTGAGGCCAGGGACCCGGGCAGTGCTATGGGGAAGGGACACCATGGGGGCCCAATTTCTCCTTCTCCACCACCCAGTGGGGAATGGAGGCCACAGGGAGGGGTCGGGGATTCCTCACCTTCCTGCCGGGGAGATTGGTGCGAGGCTGGGGCTGGGCTGGGCTGATCCGGAGAATTTGGGATGAGAGCAGGGAGATTTGGGTGTCGGGGCAGTCTGGGCAGGAGGAGGACACTGAAGGATGCTTCCCAGCACCAAGATCTGAGGGCTGTCCCCTGCTCCCTGGACAGGTGACAACTGTATCCAGAAAATCTACCAGGAACTGGCCTTCAACCGCCCTCAACACTACACAGGCATCGTGGCGGAGCTCCTGTTGAAGGCGGAACTGTCACTAGAAGCCATCAAGGCCAACTCTATGGAACTCACTGCAGGGAGCGTGGACACGGTCAGGCCAGCAACCAGCCCCACCCAGAGAGGGTGATGCCAAGCCTGCCTCCCAGGCACTGCCTGCCAATGCCACACGGCACCCACGTTCCCCATCCCCAGGCTACAGGCCCCACATTTCTGTTGCCCTCAGCCTTCCCCCTCCTTTGTTAAGGGATGAGATTTGCAGGGGAGGGGAAATGTGAGCTCCCCCTCACATGAGACTGAGTTTGCAGTTACCTGTGTGGGGATCCATGCTCCAGGCTGGAAGAAAGTTGGATGAGGCCCTGGACACACAGCAGCTCTGTCCCCACTGGAAAGCTCTGGGTGTACAAGGAGAAGGAGGGTTGAGAGGCAGCTGGAGGACTCCACTGGGCACCCTTCCCAGTGTGCCCGGTCACCTTGGGCCAGAAATGTAGATGCATGGGAGGGCAGGGTTGTGGGGAAGACAGCAGCACAGGCTCCAGCCAGTGCAGAGGGGCCTGTGGGTGCACAGTGGGGAGAACTCAATGGAAGCAGAGGGAGCTGGGGCTCCAGAACTCCCTGGATGATGCTGAGGTGTGGCCCCCTGCCCTAATGGTGGCTGTGAGAACCCGCCCTGAAGAGGCTGCAGGGGACCTGGGCCTTGGTGGAGATGGGGGTCACCTTTCCCTGAAGAAGTCAGGGAATCTGGCCCAAGTGGTCATCAAGGTTTCAGATCCGGGGTCCCAGGGCTCTGTTTTTGCTCAGGGCATGGATGTCTCCACCCCTCAGAGGGAGGTTGTCCTGGGAGGGGTGTCCCGGGGGCTGAGTCCTCCTGTGCAAGGTCTGACCCTGCAGACATGGCTTCTGTAGACAGCGTTTCCCTTGCTGATGACGCTCTTTGAGCTGGCTCGGAACCCCGACGTGCAGCAGATCCTGCGCCAGGAGAGCCTGGCCGCCGCAGCCAGCATCAGTGAACATCCCCAGAAGGCAACCACCGAGCTGCCCTTGCTGCGGGCGGCCCTCAAGGAGACCTTGCGGTGGGTGCTGGCTGAGGCCTCCCTGTGGCCCTGGCCCCCTGCTGGAGAGCAGCCCCCACTGGGTGGTGGCAGACAGAATCTGGGGCTGATAAACAGCGTCACCCAGCAGCCCATTCCCCTGCACCTGCTCTTCCTCCCCCTCAAGGACAGGGAGCTCTTCTTCCTCTGGAATCCCTCTTCAACACCCTGGGGATTAACGTGGGGCATGTCCTTCTGCGCTTGGGGCTTCTCAAGTTAGGGGAGGTTTGGCTGGGCTCAGCAGGTGCAAGGAAGTACTTCCTACGACCTGGGCTTCCCATGGATCTGGGACCTCTGCGGGGTCTTCGGTAGGAAGGGTGCAGAGAGCACAGGAAGCCCCATCCAGCTGAGGACCCTTTCTATGGATGCCCCCACCTCCAGGCTCTACCCTGTGGGTCTGTTTTTGGAGCGAGTGGTGAGCTCAGACTTGGTGCTTCAGAACTACCACATCCCAGCTGGGGTGAGTGAGCCCCACACCCCTCGAGCTGAGAACCTCCCTCCCCAGTCATTCCCTGATCCCTGCTCTGCACCGTCCGCAGACATTGGTACAGGTTTTCCTCTACTCGCTGGGTCGCAATGCCGCCTTGTTCCCGAGGCCTGAGCGGTATAATCCCCAGCGCTGGCTAGACATCAGGGGCTCCGGCAGGAACTTCCACCACGTGCCCTTTGGCTTTGGCATGCGCCAGTGCCTCGGGCGGCGCCTGGCAGAGGCAGAGATGCTGCTGCTGCTGCACCACGTAAGCAGGCCTGGGGGCGGGGGCGGGACCTGGGCAGCAGAGGCGGGACCTGCACACTGGGGGCGGGGCTTGCATGGTGTGATTGACACCTGGGAACAGTGGATGGGGCCTTGGTTGGTTGAGGTCGGCGTGACCAGGGAGGATCTGTGCTGAGCAAGACAGGGTAGGATCTGGGTGAGGCTGCTTCTAAACATTGAAATGGGGACTAGGGGAGTGGGGTGGAGCCTGTACAGAATAATGGGGCTTGGGCAAGACCTGGGCAGGATTCAGTCTGGGCCTGGTCCGTAAGGTGGGGCTGGTCAGAAGTGGGATAGGTTGGGGCCCAGGCTGCTGCTCCCCCTTCAGCATAATTGTTGCACCTGGGACGATGGGAGGAAGCTGCCCCAGGTCCATGGGCTACTGACCAGGCCAGATGGAAACCCAGCCTCTGTCCTAGGTGCTGAAGCACTTCCTGGTGGAGACACTAACTCAAGAGGACATAAAGATGGTCTACAGCTTCATATTGAGGCCTGGCACGTCCCCCCTCCTCACTTTCAGAGCGATTAACTAGTCTTGCATCTGCACCCAGGGTCCCAGCCTGGCCACCAGCTTCCCTCTGCCTGACCCCAGGCCACCTGTCTTCTCTCCCACGTGCACAGCTTCCTGAGTCACCCCTCTGTCCAGCCAGCTCCTGCACAAATGGAACTCCCCAGGGCCTCCAGGACTGGGGCTTGCCAGGCTTGTCAAATAGCAAGGCCAGGGCACAGCTGGAGACGATCTTGCTGGCAGGGCCTGGCCTTGTCCCCAGCTCCACCTGGCCCCTTCTCCAGCAAGCAGTGCCCTCTGGACAGCTTGACTCTACTCCCAGCGCTGGCTCCAGGCTCCTCATGAGGCCATGCAAGGGTGCTGTGATTTTGTCCCTTGCCTTCCTGCCTAGTCTCACATGTCCCTGTCCCTCTCGCCCTGGCCAGGGCCTCTGTGCAGACAGTGTCAGAGTCATTAAGCGGGATCCCAGCATCTCAGAGTCCAGTCAAGTTCCCTCCTGCAGCCTGACCCCAGGCAGCTCGAGCATGCCCTGAGCTCTCTGAAAGTTGTCACCCTGGAATACGATCCTGCAGGGTAGACTAAAAAGGCCCCTGTGGTCACTTATCCTGACACATTTTCAAGTGATACAACTGAGTCTCGAGGGGCGTGTGTTCCCCAGCTGATCATGTCAGCCTCATGCCCCAGGCCTCGTCTTTCATGGACCAGGTCTTGTTCAAGCAGCGAGTGTTGGGTCCTCTGCTTCCTGAGCTGTCCCCTGGAGAAGGTCCCGAGGATGCTGTCAGGAGATGGAAGAGTCATGTGGGGTGGGAACCTGGGGTGTGGTTCCAGAAATGTTTTTGGCAACAGGAGAGACAGGATTGGGCCAACAAGGACTCAGATGAGTTTTATTGACTCATTCCTCTGGTTGATACGGAGCCATGTCATGTGCCACGACCTGGGGTGGGCACAGGGAGGCTGCAGTTCCCTACGTGAACCTGCCTTGGGCCTCATCTGCTCCTAGCCCAGCAGAGAGAGTTGACCCCTCCTGAACTGGCCACTCCCCAGTGCTCCTGTGCAGGGATAGGAAGTGCCCCAGGGTGAGAACGTGCCCAGCCACATCATCTTTATCTCCTGGGATTTTCATTAGGGCAAAGATCTCAGCAGCCAGCTCCTGGTAGCTGATGAGGATCAGAGCGTTTGTTCCCCCATGAAAGGGGAAATACTTAGGTAATCATTCCAGGTGTGTTCAGTAGTTCCAGGACTCAGGGACTCAGGCCAGTCACCCTGTGACCGCAGGTTGCTTTCCCACCCTGGGCAATGCAGTGCAGCATGGGAAAGGAATAAGGGGGCAACAAGGTGCACAGACCTCAGAGATGGCTTCCTTGTTTATGGGGCTCTCACAGATACCCATCCAACTCCTCTAGTCAGCACTAGATCATGGGATCCTAAAATAAACCTTGGAAAAATATTTTAAAGCCTTTTATCTCAAAATTATTATAGATATATTCAAATTTGTTGACATATATATACAGGCAGGTCCCCCCGCCACCCTTCACACAGCCTCCCACCATCAGCAGCTTGCAATTACATAGAACAGTCTTCAAAACAGGAAATGGACAGTGGCACGATTCACTGAGCTTATTTAGAACTTACCAGTGAAATGTGTGCCTGCGAATGGGTGTGTGTGTGTGTGTGTGTGTGTGTGTGTGCCTGCCTAATTCCATGCAACTCTGTCCCACATGTAAATTTTTGTGTTTTTAAATGTAAGCTTAATTATTACTCAGTTGTGGTGAGGCCCACAGGCCAGGAGAAGACTGTGATTGAAGAAATAGTCTGTTACTGACAGCGTGCAGTGGCAGGGCTGTTCTTGCCATCATGACCTCATTGGAAGCATCCGGGTCAATCTGAAGGCAGAGGTTCTAGTTCTTCCTGGGGGAGGAGCCAGTGAAAGCAGGGTAGGCAGGCTTGGGACTGATTGCTTTGCATGATTACCCAGGGCTGCGAGTCACAGGGATTGTCTCTGGCTGTCTGGTGCCTGACTCTGGGGGAATCTGTTCAGGGGAGCTGTGGCCTGGAGTGTGCAACAAGGTGGCTGGCAAGACTTCACAGGAAAGGCATTCACCAGGGGGGACCTTGACCATCTGTAGTAACTGGCCAGCCCTGGTAGGGCATCCTGTCCAGGATGCAAGCCCAGAAAAGCATCAGAAGCACAGAAAATAACAAGGATGATTACATGATTGGCCTGGTGATGCTTGGATGTCATTATTGAGAAAGCACTAGCATTAGTTTCTTTATCCACTTGTTGATTGATGGGTGTTTGGGTTGGTTCCACGTTTTTGCACTTGCAAACTGTGTTGCTATAAACATGCGTGTGCAAGTGTCTTTTTTGTATAATGACTTCTTTTCTTCTGGGTGGATTGCTGGATCAAATGGTAGTTCTACTTTTAGTTCTTTAAGAAATCTCCACACTGTTTTCCATAGTGGCTGTACTAGTTTACATTCCCACCAGTATTTAGAAGTGTTCCTTGTTCATTGCATCCATGCCAACATCTATTTTCTTATTTTTATTTTTTGATTACGACCATTCTTGCAGGAGTAAGGTGGTATCACATTGTGGTTTTGATTTGCATTTGACTGATCATTAGTGATGTTGAGAATGTTTTCATATGTTTGTTGGCTATTTGTTTATCTTCTTTTGAGAACTGTCTATTCATGTCCTTAGCCCACTTTTTGATGGGTTTGTTTGTTTGTTTCTTGCTAATTTGTTTGAGTTGATTGTACATTCTGGATATTAGTCCTTTGTCAGATGTATAGATTGTGAGGCTTTTCTCCCACTCTGTGGGTTGTCTGTTTACTCTGCTGACTGTTCCTTTTGCAGTGCAACAGCTCTTTAGTTTAATTAAGTCCCAGCTATTTATCTTTGTTTTTATTGTATTTGCTTTTGGGTTCTCGGTCATGAAATCCTTGCCTAAGCCAATGTCTAGAAGGGTTTTTCCAATGCTATCTTCTGGAATTTGTATAGTTTCAGGTCTTAGATTTAAGTCCTTGATCCATCTTGAGTTGATTTTTGTGTAAGGTGAAAGATGAGGATCCAGTTTCATTTTCCTACATGTGGCTTGCCAATTATCCCAGCACCATTTGTGGAATAGGATGCCCTTTCCCCACTTTATGTTTTTGTCTGCTTTGTTGAAGGTCAGTTGGCTGTAACTATTTGGGTTTATTTCTGGGTTCTCTATTCTGTTCCTTGGTCTATGTGCCTACTTTTATACCAGTACCATGCTGTTTTGGTGACTATGGCCTTATAGTATAACTTGAAATAAGGTAATGTGATGCCTCCAGATTTGTTCTTTTTGATTAGTCTTGCTTTGGCTATGGGGGCTCTTTTTTGATTCCATACGAGTTTTAGGACTGTTTTTCCTAGTTCTGTGAAGAATGATGGTGGTATTTTGATGGGAATTGCATTGAATTTGTACAACATAATTTCAATACACCTGAGAACTACACATATATTTGAAGAATAATACTTGGTGTGTTGCTTGTGTCAAGGTAGCAGGTTGATCAATTATGTTTTTGGAGCATAACAATTGGTAAATTAGTAAAGTATATGTAAAGATTAGTGGCATTTTTGTGTAACCAAGGAAAAAGAGTGGTTGTGATGGTTAGAGATGCAGCGTAGAAGGTCACGGTAGAATCCTGGACAAGATTAGTAGGAGAAGTTTCTGGAGAGTGAGTGGTCCTTTCCCTGGAGGTAAGATGTTGATATGAGACAAGTACCTTCTGGGGAAAGTGATAATCTCCATTAATTTTCAGAGTGGCACAGAGACCATCAACCTTTTCCAGGTGTCTCTTCGGCACGGGAGTGTAGGGGTGTGGGTGGTTCTGGAGATCAGGGATTTTATAAGGATCATGGGTGTTATACATGTGTTGCGTCTCCCAGAAATTTCTGTGTTGAAATCCTAAGCCCAGGACCTCAGAATATTACTGTATTTGAAGACAGAGTCTTTAAAGAGATAAATAATGTGAAACCAGGTCATTGAGGTAGACCCTAATCCAATATGACAGGTGTCCTTGGAGGAAAAGGGATTAGAACCCAGGCACAAACAGAGGGTGTCTCTGTGATTTGGTCAATAAACCAAGAAGAGAAGCTTGAGCAGAAACCATCCCCCCGAACACCTTCATCTAAGTCTTCTAGCCTCTGGAATTGTGAAAAAACAACTTTCTGTTGTTTAAGCCACCCAGTCCAGGGTACTTTGTTATTGCAGCCAAAGCAAACTAACGTGATAGGCTAAGCAGTCAGCAAGCTGCAGAAACTCATTACAATTGCTAAAACCAAAGAAAGAAAAGCAATCCATGTCCTGTGTCCAGTTCATGCCTTAGTGTAGCTGAACCCAGGCTTGGCTGCTTGCTGCATGAAAACTAAACTCCAGAGACAAGAGTTGGTGGGAGGAAAAGCAGGTGTATTCAACAGCCAGCAACCTGAGGAGACGGCAGACTAGTGTCACCAAGACCATCTCAATACAGTACAAATTTTAGGCTCTTTTTAGTTAAGGGAAAAAGGAAGAGGAGGGAGGTGTGATTGAGAGGTGACCAATGACCACAGACTCCAAGGAGCCAGCAAGGGTCCGAGGAGGCTGAAAACTTCTTTGTCCTTGGTCAGGTCTCAATGCCCCTGTAAATCTTTAACAAAACATAGTTAACTGTTTACATGCTTTTCCTTTGATCTCAGAGTTAGTTTTAAAAAGTACATGACTGCTGTTTTTGTATTATTAACTCAATGCTTTAAAATTATCCTCGCCCATGTGCAGGAATCAGTAAAGGCCCTTTAAACAAAAAATGGAGTGAGTTATGTGCGTTCATTTGTTGCTTCACTTTTAGATTAGGAAAGGCAGTCATGGGCATTGCTGGGGAGTTGAGATTTTAGAGCCTGGGATGAAGTTGTGTCCTGAGTTGGGGGAGAAATCTTCTCCAATGGCAAGTTCTTGAGCTGAGTTGAGGTCCTGCAAGGCAATGTCATCTCCTGGGTGTTCTCCTGGGCCAGAGTGATGCCATCTGGGATGTGCAAGTAACATTTTCTTTTTAGTGGATACCTACTTGAGTTGATGTGGGTCTTGTGTTTATAGCTCTATGGTTTTATAATGAGCCTGAGGCTGAGCTCCAGCATTAATGCTCTCTAGGGCAGGCCCACTAATTTGGTCAATTGCAATGGCCCTGAGCCTAAGTTGCGTGGTTAATGAAGGTCAAGCCATGGGGGCCTTTTGGTCATAAGGCTTTTATCAGCCAAACTCAATGGCACGTGGACCTCAGCACAGCCCCAGCAGGACAAGTGCTGAGGTCCACATTAGGAGGGCTGAGCCTCCAGATTCCATTTAACAGTTTTTTGTTTATATTTTTGGATTTGATGAAGGTTTGGGCTCAAATGGGTCCTGTATCGGATGAGCAGATGCCTGCCCCATGGTACAATCCATGGTTAATGGATCCCAGGAAATAATTCACCCCCCAGTCTGGTGGCCAACCCTCCTGGGATGAGGAGGGTTGGCAAACAAAGATCCAAAATTTACAAAGATGGGGGAGTCAACATAAAAAGTTTTCCTATACATGAAGGTGACACATATGCCCCTTTACAAATAAGAAAGGGAAACTGAAAACTTTTAAAACTTGGTGTGAGATGAGTCAGTCAAGCAGCCTGGAGTAAGAAGAGGTTAGGGCCTGGAACAACAGTATGATCCATGTCAGGGACATGATCCATGTTCTTCAGGGACATGTGACAATATGATCCAGTCACAACCACTCTTTTTCCTTGGTTACACACAAATGCCACTAATCTTTACATATACTTTACTAATTTACCAATTGTTACACAGACTAGGATTTGAAAAAGAGTTGTTTGAGGAGAATATATTTCTATCAATTAAATTAAATTAAATTTGGGGGACATATCAGGGAAATGAAAGTTCTATTGACTGTCTTTTCCAAGACAGTTGGGTACTTTGAGAAGTGATATATGTCCTCTGGTTACTATAAGTAAAACTTGTAAGTTAAGGAGAAGTGTCCTGGTGTTAGTGTATGTGGAGACAGGTGATTTTGTTTTATATTTTGAGTATCTGTGAGGCAAGAGATTCCCAGAGTGCTTTACCTTGAAGGGGCCAACTCTTAGACATAATCCAGCCATTAGTAGTAAGAAGGAAGATGGGGACATTTGTTGGACATCCAGCGTTAGGATGACAGCCAGAGGTTGGCCAATGTTATTGACCCTTAGGTCTTGTTCTTCATAGAGGACGCCCTGGCTAAAGCAGCAGCATTCCACTGATGCCATTACTTCATGCTGATTGGCAGTGCTATTGAGTAGTCTCTGGATGAATGGCTCATTGCCATTCCCTTAGTTAATGCCTTTGGGAAAAAGGGAAAGCCTCCACTTCCTGCAGGTGGAATATGCAGAGGTCCGAGTTTTGGCTCCAATCTGTCCAAAGGTGTCCTCAGTAGCTGGGGTGAGCTTGTGGGGTGCTATTTCCATGACCCACGCATGGTGGGTGCTGGGGATGGAGGGTCACTGGCTCAGGGTCTGTGAGAGCTTCTTTCCAGGAGACCTCAATAGGTAGAAAGTTGTTTTGTTTTTGTCGTGTTTTATCTTTTTATGATGTACAGAACAGGGCCGAGAAGAGCAGTTTGGGCACCTTATGGCCATCAAAAGTGGTCAAAAGAGATGCCAGGGGGCCTGAGAGGAAACTGACAAAGTGTGTTTGTCAAAGGAGGGATCAAGTCTCCTTTAGGGTTAATATGGCTTGGATGTGTGTCCTTCCAAATCTCATGTTGAAACGTGACCCCCCGTGCCCCAATGTGGCAGTACTGCTGCCCTGGTCTCCATGTGGCAGTGCTGCTGCTTCTTGTAAAGGCTCTAACTTGGGCCTGTGCGGGCGGATGTTGGTTGTGGTGCTGTCAGCTGGCAGGGTTGGTCTGACCTCAGGCCCTGGGGGAAGTGGTCAGGTGTCAGCAGAGTTGGAATGGGGTAGGTAGCTCCCCAGTTCCCAGACCTCTGGATGGCCCACTGGACAGCATGCATGAGTCCTAAAGGGGCTGGACCTGTGTCAGGCTGGCTCAGGGTTCAGGTGCTGGCTGTGATAGGGAAGGGGACAGGATGGTCCCCAAGTCACTGGCCAAACTCTCAGGCAGGGGCAGGCAGAATGCTTAGGTGGTGGGAGGCTGAAGGAAGATCACAGACCTGTAGGGGCTGGGTTTTCAGAAAGGTTCTGAGCTGCAGATAAAATGTTCAGGCAGGGGCAGGGCAGCTATGCTGCGGACCTTTCACTGGGGAGGACAGGACCTCTCAGCTGGGTCCATGGAGACTGGTGGCTGTGGGATATGTGGCATGCTGACACTTTCCTCCTACCCAAGCATGCTAAACTTCGCTGCTGGGGGCATGCAAAGGTGCCAAGCATTGTCTGTTAACTCCGGGAGTTTTAACCCAGAGGAACACAGAGGAACAACTCACCACAGTGTCCAGGCGGGGGTGCGGTTACTGTACTGGAAGCACAAGCCAGTAAGCTTTGCCTGGCAAAGAACAGTGGGGGTTGGGGGACATCACGTGGGCTGTGGTGTGGGTGCATATCAGGAGAACACAGAGCTGTGCCCCCGACAGTGTTTAGGTGGGGATGGGGTTACTGCGCTGGAAACCTGAGCTGAGCCTTGCGTGGTGAGGAGAAGCACAGCAGTCTGGCCATTCCTTGGCACCACAGCTGTGTGCTCTACTGGGGCTATGGCAGCTGGCACAAGGCTGTTCGGGGATCCAAGGCCTGTGAGGCTCCATGTGGGCTTAAGCAGCGCCTCTGCAAAACTCCAGCTAGTTCTCTGTGTCAGTCTGGAGGCCTGGGGGTTGGGGCATCAGAGAGGTTCTCCCATGCCCAGGATTGCAAAGGTCCATGAGGGAAGTATGGATCCCTTGTGGACTCTCATTCACTCAGCCTTTCCCCAAGTTAGGGAGCTTCTCCTGGCTCCATACCGGTAACCTCCTTCCCTGTTCTCATGTCTGCTGAATTCATGAGCACACTGGGTGAGGACAGGGTTGGCTGGGGATAGTGACTGGCTGGTGTTCACGAACAGATTGTCCTATCTACTGGATTATTAAAATCGTCCTCCATCGAGGTCACACTTTGGTAAGCATTAGCATGGGGCAAGCTTCAGTCCTCTCTGTTCTCTGTGGGTTCCCTGCTTGAGGCCCAATCAGGAAGCGTCTCTCAGATGATGAGCTTGAAGAGCTAGTGTTTACTGGCTACCTTGTTTCCTCTCCAGGGAGTGGCACACAATAGCTGCTTCTAGTTGGCCGTCTGGAACTCCCTCCCCAACGTTTTCTGAATATATTTTGGGACTCTGTGGTTTGATACGTATATGTCTACAGTTGTTATATCTTTTGATGAGTCTTCCCTAGAATAAGCCAGAGTTCTCCAGAAATACTGAATCAAGATGAGAGAGGGATTTATTTTACAGAATTAGTTCATGTGAGTGTTTCTGCTGGTAAGTCCAGGATATGCAGGGCAGGCTAGTAGTATGAAGATGCAGAGAAAAGCTAACGTTGAGATCTTGATTCAAAGGCCATCTGGAGGCAGTATTCCTTCTTCCTCAGGAGACCTCCAGCCATCCTCTAAAGGACTTACTAGTTTGGATGAGGCATATCCTCATTCTGGAGTATAATTTACTTTACTCAAAGTCTACTGATTTAAATCTTATTCATATCTAAAAAATTTCTTTTCAGCAACATCTTGACTGGTTTTTGACTTTTATGAAGTGAATTGTGCCCTTCCTCATTTATATGTTGAAGCTCTAGCCCCAAGTGTGACTATCTTTGGAGGTAGAGCCTTTAAGAAGGTAATTAGGATTAAGTGAGGTCACATGTGTGGGGCCTCAATCCAATAGGGCTAGTGTCTTTATTAGAAGAGGAAGAGATACCGGGAGTGCTCATACATGGAGAAAAGGCCACGTGAGCACACAGAGGTAAGACAGCCATCTACGGTCTAAGTAGAGAGGCCCGGGAGAAACAAAGCCTTCTGGCACCACGATCTTGGACTGCTCAGCATCCAGAACTGTGAGAGATAAACGTTTGTCATTTAAGCCACTCAATCCATGGCACTTCGTTACAGCAGCCATAGCAGACTCATGCATTGACTGAAACTGGGTACCATAGCCTAGCCAGATGGAAACCTAAAACCAACCATCACACTCCATTCCTTCTCATCTTGGCTCCCACACACAGCTCCTTAAATCATACTTAACTTTCAAATAAAAATAAAAGCAAGGTCATACTTCACCTAACATGATACAACTGTCCTAATCCTCTCCCCAGAAGAAGCTGCAAAAACCCTTGGTGGTGTTTATTCTTCTTGATATTCTGTACAATAAATACTATGATATAGTCAATGCATCTTATTTTATTTAAAGTTATAAGAGATGAAATAAAAATATATCGTTTTGACGCAGCATTGAATGCAGAAAAAATGCATATCCAAAGAAAGTGTGTATGTATCCCAATAGGAACAAAATGCTTCCCATCCATGATGAAAAAGGCTGGATGTAATAGACCTGCCACAAGGTTGCTGGCTGATCTCCCCAGGGAGCCGTATCATTCTGTGAGCTATCTGTTGGTGTATGCTGCTGGCAGATTGTGCACTCAGCAGGAGTTGTAGCCAGCTTGGCACCATTAGTGCAAAACCACATTGCTGAGCATGCATAACCCCCTTCCCTGTTCCCACATCTGCTTAATTCATGAGCACATTGGGCAATGACAGGCATGGCCGGGGATAGTGACTGGTTTGTGTTCACAAATAGGTCATCCTATCTACTTGATTATTAAAATCCCCCTCTACTGAGATCACGCTTTGGTAAGCATTCACATGGGACACAAATATCCTCACATGTTTTGCCCATTCAGAGAGATCTATCCACATACCTCTTCCTCAAAATCTCTAGTCACCAATTTTACAGTTGTGTTGCTTCCTAGATCCTTACCCCCCAGCGAAATCATTGGCAAAAGCCCATAAATCTGTATATGATTGCATGCATGGCCATTTCTCCCTCCAAGTGTAATGAACAACCAGGCTTAGTGATCAAAGTTCTGCCCACCGGGAGGATTTTCCTCTGCCATTGTCCTTCAGGGACGTCTCGGAAAGTAACTGCATTGCTGTGACTGTCTGTTTTGGGACGATAACGACATCTCTTGCAGAACCATCTCTAAACCTGACTTTAGTTTTCTTTTTCTCTGCCAACGAAATACAGGTAACCACGTAAGGCCATAGGTGCAGGCTGGGGAGAGAAGATGGTGTAGCAGGATTGTGGACAACCTGGACATTAGGGCCACTTCTTCATGTAACCTATTTGTGCTTTCTGGGCCTCCTCGAGGCCAAATGAACATACTCCTTCCATTCATTGATAGAGTGCTGCTGGGTATGTTAAGGCTTAGTGGCTTATGTAACACCCCACGAATCAAAGGCAGTCACGTGGTAACTTAGTGGCCCGTGGTAAAGTGTTTATTCTCTACGAAGACCCAGGAGCAAGCCAAAAGCTCTTTCTCCAAGGAGAGTAGTTATCAGCACAGGTTGATAGAGCTTTGTGCTGCAATTCCAGGGATTTGTGCTGTGATTAACCTACAGGGCCCGACCAAGGCTCCAGAAAGCTTGCCTATCTGCCACTGACACTTCAGTTATTGTTGGATCTGCTAGAAAATGTGGCACAATTAGCAAAGCAGCTTGCATGGTGGCCGGGACCTGTTGCTGAGCCTTCCACTGTCCTGGGTTCCACTCATAAGTAGCAGCACTTTAGGTCAAAAGAAAGTGGGCTGGATCATACTCAGATGAGAAATATGTTACCATGAAAGTCCTAAGAGTCTACTAGGCAATGTACCTCCTTTTTGATTGCAGGAGGGGCCAGATGTTACAGCTTGTAATTCACCTTAGAAGAGATATTTAGGCATGCCCCACACCACCGGATTCCTAGAAATTTCATGGAGGTAGAAGGGCCCTGAATTTCTGTTGGGTTTATTTCCCATCTGTCTTAGTTGATTTTGTGTACTTTAACAAAAACACTAGAGACTGGGTAACTTATAAAGAACAGAAATTTATTTTCCCACAGTTCTGGTGGCTGAGAGTCCAAGATCAGGACATCAGCAGGGTCAGCGTCTGGTGGAGGCTGGGTCTCTGTTTCCAAGCGGCACCTTGAACATTGCATCGTCTGGAGGGGAGGAACAATGTGTCCTCACATGGTAGAAGTCGGAGGGCATAAGGGGGATAAAATCCCCTCTGTCAAGCCCCTTTACAAGGGCACCTAATCCCATTCACGAGGGTGGAGCCCTCACTGCCTAACCATCTCTCAAAGGCCCCATATCTTAATACTATCAAACCGGCAACAACTGGATTTTGGAGGGGACACATTCAAATCACAGCAGCACCCTTTCACACAAATGTCTTTTTTTTTTAATTATTATGCTTTAAGTTCTAGGGTACATGTGCACAATGTGCAGGTTTGTTACATATGTATACATGTGCCATGTTGGTTTGCTGCACCCATTAACTCATCATTTACATTAGGTATATCTCCTAATGCTATCCCTCCCCCTCCCCTCACCCCACTACAGGCCCTGGGGTGTTTTCACACAAATGTCTTAATAATAAGTCTAGAGCAATTGGTACGTCTTGCTCTCTGGGTCTAATTAGCATTATGTTATAAATGTAATCCATCAGTGTGGTATCTTTCAGAAAGGAAAGGTGATCCCTACAAAGTAAATTATGACAAGATGCCTACAAATTAAATTATAATCAGTCTGGAGAGTTAATATATCCCTGAGGAGGACAGTGAAGGTATACTGCTAACCTTGCCAGCTAAAAGCAAACTGCTTCTGGTGTTCGTTACTGGTAGGAATGGAGAAAAGTGCATTTGTCAGCTCAGTAGCTACATACCATGTACCAGGGCATGCGTTCATTTGCTCAAGCAATGAAACCACCTCTGGTACGGTAGCTGCAATTGGAGTGGTGGCTTGGTTAATCTTACAAAAATCTGCTTTTCTCCAAGATTCATCTGTCTTCTGCACAGGCAAAACAGGAAAGTCGAATGGGGATGTGGCAGGAATCTTCACCTGTGCATTTTTCAGGTTCTGACTGGTAGCTCTAATCTCTGCCATCCGTCTAGGAATGTTACGCTTTTGGCTATTTTTCTTGGTAGACACAGTTCTAATGGCTTCTACTTGGTCTTTTCCACTATAATATCTCTCACTGCATAGAAGAGGGAACGAGTGTGGGGATTCTGCCAGTTGTTGACTATGAATATTCCAATTCTGCTTGAATTGTGGCGATAACCACAGGATGGATCCTGCAGGAGGATACTTGGAGGATAATCTGCTTTACTCAAAACCTACTTCTTTAAATGATGGTAAAACCTAAAAATGCCTTTCCACCAAAATCCAGACTAGTGTTTGACCAAAAACTATACCATAGCTTAGTTAATGACATATAAAATTAACCATCAGAACTCTTTTTTTTTTTTTTTTTTTTTTTTGAGACGGAGTCTCGCTCTGTCACCCAGGCTGGAGTGCAGTGGCGTGATCTCGGCTCACTGCAAGCTCTGCCTCCCGGGTTCACGCCATTCTCCTGCCTCAGCCTCCCAAGTAGCTGGGACTACAGGTGCCCGCCACCACGCCCGGCTAATTTTTTTGTATTTTTAGTAGAGACGGGGTTTCACTGTGTTAGCCAGGATGGTCTCGATCTCCTGACCTCGTGATTCACCCGCCTCGGCCTCCCAAAGTGCTGGGATTACAGGCGTGAGCCACCGTGCCCGGCCACAACTCTTTTATCAATATATAATGACCTTCTTTGTCTTTTGTAACTTTTTTACATAAAGACTATTTTGTCTTATATTAGCATAGCCATCCAAGCTCCCTGGTTACTATTCCCATGAAATACCATTTTTCTACCTTTCACTTTCAACCTATTTGCATCTTTGGATATGATGTGAATCTGTTGAAGACCGCATGTAGTGGATCACAATTTTTATCCATTCTGCCTTTTCAATGGAGAGTTTGAACCATTTATATGTAAAGCAATTACTGATAAATAAGACAACTTCTATAATTTTTCTATTTGTTTTCTCTAGGTCTTCTACTGTTTATTTGTATCACAGAAATACAAAGGATTATAAGGCAATAGTGGAATCTATTTCTTTAGCTTGCATTAATCTGATGTTTTGACAAATTTGAGAGAGATTTTCTCCTTGAACACCAGGAGGAAAAGAAAAGAAAGAAAAAAAGAAAAGAAAAGAAAGAGGGGAAAAATAAAAAGACAAGAAAAATAATCACACTGTCTTTGTCTTTGCAGTTTGGGCCTGTTTTCGGGGCACTCCTGTAAACACAGCCAACACTGTCTTTGTCTTTGCAGTTTGGGCCTGTTTTCGGGGCACTCCTGTAAACACAGCCAACACTGTCTTTGTCTTTGCAGTTTGGGCCTGTTTTCGGGGCACTCCTGTAGACACAGCCAACACTGTCTTTGTCTTTGCAGTTTGGGCCTGTTTTCGGGGCACTCCTGTAGACACAGCCAACACTGTCTTTGTCTTTGCAGTTTGGGCCTGTTTTCGGGGCACTCCTGTAGACACAGCCAACACTGTCTTTGTCTTTGCAGTTTGGGCCTGTTTTCGGGGCACTCCTGTAGACACAGCCAACACTGTCTTTGTCTTTGCAGTTTGGGCCTGTTTTCGGGGCACTCCTGTAAACACAGCCAACACTGTCTTTGTCTTTGCAGTTTGGGCCTGTTTCCAGGGCACTCCTGTAAACACAGCCAACACTGTCTTTGTCTTTGCAGTTTGGGCCTGTTTTCGGGGCACTCCTGTAAACACAGCCAACACTGTCTTTGTCTTTGCAGTTTGGGCCTGTTTTCGGGGCACTCCTGTAAACACAGCCAGGAGGATTATAATTAGACACTGTCTTAGCATCTGTCCTGCCCTAGGAGCTTGTGGTTTTCTAGATTTCCCAGCATAGGTTGGCATTTCAAATCCTCTAGCTTCTCAAAGAAACACTCTTCCAAGCTTTTTCTTCTAGTGTTTTGACAAAGTTTTTTTTTCTTTCCTCAAGTTGAATCTTTTGCCTTTGATGATATCAGGTTACTCAGCTGCCTTACAATATTTTTGATGCGGGTCTTCCATAGCTACTTTTCCACTTGAATACATTCCAAGTTAGGCAAAACAAAGGCAAGGCCCTTGCATCAGTTCCTCAGGTAGTCCACAGAAAGGTTAGAACAAATAATGACAATTTTGGGGAATAAGCGCTGCCCTGATCCTTCTGTCTCCAGACCCCAGCATCCCACACTGGTAGCTTGAGCTGCCATCTTCAAAGACAGCCACTGATCTGGGGTGGGCAAAGCCAGAGCAAGTAAAGATACAGGAAAGCTTCTCTACAATGTAAGAGTTGTCACTTTCTTCATGTAGCATTTATGTGGTGGCCAGAAATAATTATTTTCCAGAGCCCTGACAAAGTTAATTTGTGCAGTTTTTGCTTGTTTTTTGAATGTTACTGTGATGGGTCACACATTTAGAGCTGCCCACCGCATTTTTGCTGAAGTCCTGGATTTCTTTGGCGATTTTAGAAATTAATAAAATTGGATGTAGTGATAGTTGTACATATTTGTGACTATACTACCAACCTTTAATTGTATACTTTCAGTAGGTGAATTATATGGTATGTGAATAACTTCTCAATAAAGCTATTTAAAAATAGAATCAGGCCAGGCATGGTGGCTCACCCCTGTAATCCCAGAACTGTGGGAGGCTTAGGCCGGACTTCAATACAACACTTTTAGCAATAAACAGATCATCCAGACATAAAATCAATAAGGATAAATCAGAATTGAATACATTTTAGACTAAATGAATCTAACAGAAATATACAAAACATTCGATCCAACAGTAGCGCAGTACACCTTCTTCTCAAGTGCACACAGATCATCCTCCCACATAGATAATATGTTAGATGAAAGAACAAGTCTTAAATTTAAGAAAATTAAAATCGTATCAAGTATCTTTTCTGGCAACAATATAAAACTAAGAAATCAATAGCAGCAGGAATTACAGAAAATTCACAAATATATAAAAATTAAACAACATGAACAACCAATGGGTCAAAGAAGAAATTTAAATAAAAAATTTAAAATATGTTGAGACAACTGAAAATGGAAACACAGTAGAGCAAAATATATGTAATGCAGTAAAAGCAGTTCTAAGAGGGATGTTTACAGCAACAAATGCCTGCATGAAAAAAGAAGAAAAATCTCAAATAAACAATGTAACATTACACCCAAAGGAACCAGATAAAGAAAAAAATAAAACCAATGTTAGCAGAGGGAAGGAAATAAGATCAGAGCAGAAGTAAACAAAATAAAGATTCCAAAAGCAATACAAAAAATCAACAAAACTAAGAGTTGGTTTTTTGAAAAGATAAACAAAATCAACAATCCTCTAGCTATACCAAATAAGAAAAAAAGAAGACTTGGGGTAAAATCAGAAGTAAAGGCTCAGAAGTAAAATCAGAAATGAAAGAAAAGACATTGTAACTGAAACCACAGAAATACAAAGCATTATAAGATTCTACTATGAATTATTGATTAACAACACATTAGATGACCTAGAAGAAAAGGATAAATTCTTAGACACACACAACCTACCAAGGCTGCATTATGAAGAAATATAAAATCTGAATGAGAGAAGAGAGACAGACCTTCTCATATTGTTTTATGTTGTTTTATACTCTGAAAAGGAAAGAGAAGCCAAACTAAAGGCAGGTGCCCCGGCGCCTAGGAACCAGACCCAAATCCAAGAAACCAGAACCGAAACCAAGCCTGGGCCTGACCTAAGCCTGGTAGTTAAAATTCGACCCCTGACCTAGCAACTGCTGTTATCTACAGATTACAGAAAGACATTGTAAAACTTCCCGGTCTGTTCTGTTTCACTCTGACCACCGGTGCATGCAGACCCTGTCACCTACCCCGTTTACTCAATCAATCATGACCCTCTCACGCAGACCCCCTTGGAGTTGTGAGCCCTTAAAAGGGACAGGAATTGCTCACTCAGGGAGCTTGGCTCTTGAGACAGGAGTCCTGCCGATGCTCCCGGCCGAATAAACCTCTTTCTTCTTTAACTCGGTGTCTGAGGAGTTTTGTCTGTGGCTTGTCCTGCTACATCAACAGACCAATAACAAGTAAGAGACTGAATTAGTGATTTAAAATTTCCAGTTAAAGAAAAGTTCAGAACCTGATGGCCTCACTGCTCAATTCTACCAAACCTTAAAAAAAAACACAAAAAAACCTTCTCAAACTCTTCCAAAAAATTGAAGAGGAGATAATACTTCCAAACTCATTTACAAGGCCAGTATTACCTTAATACCAAAGCCCAACAAACACATCACAAGAAAATAAAATTTCAAGCCAATATCCCTGATGGACATAGATGCAAAATTCCTCAACAAAATACGAGCAAACTGAGTTCAACAGCATATTAAAGGGAACATTCACCGTGATTAACTGAGATTTATTTCGGTGATGCAAGAATTGTTCAATATATGCAAATCAATAAATGTGATTCACTACATTAAAAAAAGAATGGCCTTAGGATCATCTCAATAGATGCAGAAAAACACTTGATAAAATTCAACATCCTTTCATAATAGAAACTCCCAGCAAATTAGGTGTAGAAGGAACATACCTCAACACAATAAAAGCCATACATAGAAATCTCTCAGCTAATATCATACTCAATGGTGAAAATTTGAAGGCTTTTCCTGGAAGACGAGGAATAAGACAAAAATGTCCATTCTTGCCACTTCTACTCAACATAGTGCTGGAAGTACTAGACAGAGCAATTAGGTAAGGGAAAGAAATAAAAAGCACCTAAATTAAAAGGGAAGAAATTAAATTGTCCTCATTTGCAGATGACAATGATCTTATAAATAGAAACCCTAAAGACTGCAACCAAAAAAAAACTGATAGAACTAAAATAAATTCAATAAAATTGCAGGATGAAAAAAGTCAAGAGACAAAAATTCATAGCATTTCTGCATACTAGTAACAAACTATACAAAAAAAAAAGAAATAAAAAAACCCAATTTTTCTGGGCACACTGTCTCATGCCTGTAATGCCAGTTACTCAGGGGGTTAGGGGTGGGGCTGAGGTGGGAGGATCATTTGAGCCCAGGAGTTCAAGGCTGTAATGAGCTGTAATCATGCCACTGCACTACAGCCTGGGTGACAGAGCAAGATCCAATCTCTTAAAAAAAAAAAAAAAAAAGAAAGAAGGAAAAAATATCCCATTAATAATAGCTACAAAATTTTAAAAACTTAGGAATAAATTTAACTAAGGAGGTGAAAGACCTATGCACTGAAAACTATAAAACCTTATTAAGAAATCAGGGAGAGGGGGAGAGGAGGTAAAGCAAGATGGTGGAATAGAACGCTGAGCCAGTTGTCCCCCTAGCAGCCGTGGTGTGATGTGGAGTGCATTTCAGTGCACTGGGAGAGGGAGACTGCAGCAATTGTGAGGCAGTGAACTCAGTGCTATCCTACTAGAGCAGAAAGCAAAACCAGACCAAACCCAGCTGATGCCTGCTCATGGAGGGAGCATTAAACCAGCCCTAGTTCACAGGTTCTGAGGGTTAGGACCAAAACAAACAAACAAACAAACAAAAACAAAACAAAACAAAACCCAGCCCCAGCCAGAGGAAAATTGCTGATCCCAGTGGTACAAACTGGAGTTGCCTCAAGCCTCATTACCACAGACTAGAGTTTCAAGTTTATTTAGAGCACCTCTAAATAAAGGGGACCTCTGGACTTTGGAGGTACCCTTTAAAGCACCTCTAAACAAACTTGAAAGGCAGTCTAGGCCACAAGAACTGCAACTCCTGCTGCTGAACTGGGCCCAGAGCCAGTGGACCGGTGGGCACGTGAGATACTTAGGCAATAGCTGGGGCAGATAAGGGAGTGCTGGCATCACACCGCTCTCCTAACCACAGGCTGCACAGTTTGAAGCTCCAAAGGAGACCCCTTCCTTCTACTTGAGGAGAGGAGAGAAAAGAAAGGGGAGGACGTTGTCTTACATCTTGGATACCAGCTTCAGCCACAGCAGGATAGGGCACTTGTCAGAGTCCTGAGGTCCCCTTTCCAGGCCCTAGCTCTCAGATGACATTACTAGACACACCTTGGGCCGGAAGAGAACCTGCTGCCTTGAAGGGAAGGGCCAAGTCTGGCAGGAATCATCACCTGCTAACTAAAGAGACCTTGGACCTTGAATAATAAGCAGCTATACCCAGGTTCTTCATCAAGGGCTTTAGGTGAGAATCTGAGACTTGCTGGCTTCAGGTGAAGCTTAGCAGATTCCCCACTGTGGTGAGAGAGATAGACCCCCAATACAATAGTAAGTGGAGACGTCAATACCTCACTTTGACTATCGGACAGATCTTCCAGACAGAAAGTCAACAAAGAAACATCAGACTTAATCTGAACTATAAACCAAATGGACCTAGTAGATATTTGCAGAATATTTTATCCAACGGCTACAGAATACACATTATTTTCCTCAGCACATGGATCATTCTCAAGGATAGACCGTAGGTTAGGTCAAAAAACAAATCTTAAAACATTCAAAAAATTGAAATAATATTGAGCATCTTCTATGACCACAATGAAATAAAACTAGAAATCAATTAACAAGAAGAATTTTGGAAACTATACAAATATATGGAAGTTAAACAATATCCTCCTGAATGACCACTGGGTCAATGAAAAAATTAAGAAGAAAATTGAAAAATTTCTTGAAACAAATGATACTGGAAACAAAACATACCAAAATTTATGGGATACAGCAAAAGCAGTACTAAGAGGGAACTTTATAGCTGTAAGTGCCTATCTCAAAAAAGAAGAAAAACTTCAAATAAAACCTAAGGAACAGAAATAAATGAAATTGAAATGAAGAAAGTGATACAAAAGATCAATGAAACAAAAAGTTGGGTCTTTCTTTGAAAAGATAAACAAAGTTGACAAAACTTTAGCCCAACTAACTAAGAAAAAAAAAGAGAAGATTCAAATAAATAAAATCAGAAATGAAAAAAGAGATATTAAAACTGATGCTGCAGAAACTCAAAGGATAATTAGTGGCTACTATGAGCAACTACATGCCAATAAATTGGAAAATCTAGAAGAAATGGATACATTTCAAGACACAAAAACCTACCAAGATTGAACCTTGAAAAAATAAAAAACCTGAACAGACAAATAGCAAGTAATGAGATTTACTCCATAATAAAATGTCTCCAAGTAAAGAGAAGCCCTGGACTCAATAGCTTCACCGCTGAATTCTACCAAGCATTTAAAGAAGAACTAATACCAATCCTACTGAAACTATTCTGAAAAATAAAGGATGAAGGAATACTTCTGAACTCATTCTACAAGACCAGTATTACCCTGATACCAAAACCAGACAAAGACACATAAAAAAATTAAAGGCCAATATCTCTGATAAATATTGATGCAAAAATCCTCAACAAAATACTATCAAATTGAATTCCACAATACGTTAAAAAGACCATTCATCACGACCAAGTGAGATTTATCTCTGGGATGCAAGAATGGTTCAACAAATGCAAATCAATCAGTGTGATACATCCCATCAACAGAATGAAGGACAAAAACTGTATAATCATTTCCATTGATGCTGAAAAACATTTAATAAAATTCAACATCCTTTTATGATAAAAACAAACCCTCAAAAAACTGGGTGTAGAAGGAATATACTTTAACATAATAAAAGCCATATATTACAGACCCACAGCTAGTATCATACTGAATGGGGGAAAACTGAAAGCCTGTCCTCCAAGATCTAGAGAATGACAAGGATGCCCACTATCACCACTGTTATTCAACATAGTACTGGAAGTCCTAGCTAGAGGAGTCAGACAAGATAAAGATATAAACAACATCCACATTAGAAAGGAAGCAGTGAAATTATCCTTGTTTGCAGATTATATAATCTTATATTTGGAAGAATATAAAGACTCCACAAAAAAACTATTAGAACTTATAAACAAATTCAGTAAAGTTGCAGAATACAAAATCAACTTACAAAAATCAGTAGCATTTCCATATGCCAACAGTGAACAATTTGAAAAATAAAAAGTAATTCCATTTACAATAACCACAAATAAAATTAAATACCTGAGATTAACTAAAGAAGTGAAAGACTATTAAACAGTGATGAAAGAAATTGAAGAAGACACCAAAATGTTCGTTGATTGGAAGGATTGATATGGTTAAAATGTCCATACTACCCAAAGCAATCTACAGATTCAATGCAGTCCCTCTCAAAATACCAGTGATATTCCTCACAGAAATAGAAAAACAATCCTAAAATCTATATGGAACCACAAAAGACCCGGAATAGCCAAAGTTACCCTAAGCAAAGGAACAAAACTGGAGAAATCACATTACTTGACTTCATATTATACTACAGAAGTATAGTAAGCAAAGCAGCAGGGTACTGGCATTAAAACAGACACATAGATCAATGGAATAGAATAGAGAGCTAAGAAAAAAATCCATACACAACAGTGAACTCATTTTTGACAAAGGTGCCAAGGAAAAGACAGTCTCTTCAATAAATGGTGCTGAGAAAACTGGATATCTATATGCAGAAGAATGAAATTAGACCCGTTTCTCACCATATACAAAAATCAAATCAAAATGGATTAAAGTCATAAACATAAAACCTCATACTATGAAACTACTATAAGAAAATATTGGAGAAACTTTCCAGGACATTGGTCTGGGCAAAGATTTCCCGAATAATAACCCACAAACACACACAACCAAAACAAAAATGGACAAATAGGATTACATCAAGTTAGAAAACTTCTGCACAGCAAAGTAAACAATTGCCAAGGTGAAGCGACAACCCACAGAATGGGAGAAAATATTTGCAAGCTACCCATCTGACAAAGGAGTAATAATCAGAATATATAAGGAGTTCAAACAACTCTGTAGGAAAAAAAACTAATAATCCAATTTAAAAATGGGCAAAATATTCGAATAGACATTTCTTAAAAAAAGACATACAAACAGTAAACAGGCATATGAAAAGCTGCTCAACATCATTATCATCAGAGAAATGCAAATAAAAACTACCATGAGATATTTTCTCACCCCAGTTACAATGGCTTGTATCCAAAAGACAGGCAATAACAAATGCTAGCGAGGAAGTGGAGAAAGGGAACCCTTCTACACTGTTGGTAGGAATGTAAATTAGTGCAACCACTATAGAAAATAGTTTGGGGGTTCCTCAAAAAACTAAAAATAGAGGTACCATACAATCCAGCAATCTCATTGCTAGGTATATACCCAAAAGAAAGGAAATTGGTATATGGGATCTGCACTAGCATGTTTATTGCAGTACTGTTCACAACAGCCAAGATTTGGAAGCAATCTAAGTGTGCGTCAACAGATAAAAGGATAAAGGAAATGTGGTGAATATACACAATGGAGTACTATTCAGCCATGAAAAAGCATTTGATCCTGTCATTTGCACCAACAAGGATGGAACTGCAGATTATTACATTAATTGAAATAAGCCAGGCACAGAAAGACAAGCATTGCATGTTCTCACTTATTTGTGGGATCTAAAAACTGAAACAATTGAACTCATGGGGATACAGAGTAGGATAGTTACCAGAGGCTAAGAATGGTAGTGAGGGAGTGGAGGTGAGGTGAGAATGGTTAAAATATAGAAAGAATGAATAAGACCTACTATTTGATAGCACAACAGGGTGATTATAATCAATGACAATTTAATTGTACATTTAAAAATCACTAAAAGCGTATAATTGTGAGATGGTTTGGCTGTGTGTCCCCACCCAAATCTCATGTCGAACTGTAATTCCCACGTGTTGGAGGAGGGTCCTGGTGGGAGATGCTTGGATCATGGAGGGGTGGTTTCTAATGGTTAAGCACCATCCCTCTTGTGCTGTCTCATGATAGAGTTCTCATGAGATTTGGTTGTTTGAAAGTATGTAGCACCTCCCCCTTCACTCTCTCTCTCTCCTGCTCTGTCATGTTAAGACGTGCCTGCTTCCCCTTCATCATCTGCCATGACTGTAAGTTTCCTGAGGTCTTCCAGCTATGCTCCCTGTACAGCCTGCAGAACTGTGAGTCAACCAAACCTCTTTTCTTTATAAATTACCCAGTCTCAGATAGTTATTTATAGCAGTGTGAGAACAGACTAATACAGAAAATTGGTACCAGAGAAATGGGGCATTGCTATAAAGATAACTGGAAAGGTGGAAGTGACTTTGGAACTGGGTAATAGGCAGAGGTTGGAACAATTTGGAGGAATCAGAAGAAGACAGGCAGATGAGAGAAAGTTTGGAACCTCCTGGAGACTTGTTGAATGGCTTCGACCAAAATGCTGATAGTGATATGGACAGAGATGGCCAGGCAGATGAGTTCTTAGATGGAAATGAGGAACTTACTGGGAACTGGCATAAAGGTCACTCTTGCTATACTTTAGCAAAGAGACTGGTGACATTATGCCCCTGCTCTAGAGATCTGTGGAACTTTGAACTTGAGAGAAATAATTTAGGGCATCTGGCAGAAGAAATGTCTAAGCAGCTGCATTGAAGAGGTTACCTGGCTGTTTCTAAAAGTGTATTCTCATATGTATGAAGAAAGAGATTATCTGAAATTTGAACTTATATTTAAAAGAGGAGAGTATGAAAGCTGGGAAAATTTGCAGTTCGACCATGCAGTAGAAAAGAAAAACCCATTTTCTAGGGAAGAATTCAAGGCTGCAGAAATTTGCATAAGTAAAGGAGAGCCAAATGTTAATAGCCAAGTGTATTTATCCTTTCTCATGCTGCTATAAGGACATACCTGAGACCGGGCGATTTATAGAGAAAAGAGGTTTAATTGATCCACGGTTCTGCAGGGCTGGGGAGGCTTCAAGAAACTTACAATCATGGCAGAAGGGGAAGCAAACACATCCCTCTTCACATAGTAGCAGCAAGGAGAAGTGCAGCATGAAGGGTGAGGGTGGGGAGCCCCTTATAAAACCATTAGATCTTGTGGGAACTCACTCACTCACTATCACAAGAACAGCACAGAGGTAACTGCCTCCATGATTCAATTACCTCCCACTGGGTCCTTCCCATGACACATGGGGATTATGGGAACTACAGTTCAAGATGAGATTTGGGTAGGGACACAGCCAAACCGTATCACCAAGACAATGCAGACAATGCCTTCAGGGCATTTCAGAGACATTTGTGGCAGTCCCTCCCATCACAGGCCTGGAGACCTAGGAGGGAAAAATGGTTTTGTGGGCCAGGTCCAGGGCCTTGCTGATCTGCACAGCCTCAGAACATGGTGTCCTGCATCCCAGTGACTCCAGCTTCAACCGTGGCTAAAAGGGGCCAAGGTACATCTCAGGCCATTGCTTTGGAGGATGGAAGCCCCAAACCTTTGTGAGTTTTAATCAGTGAGGCCCTGTGGGTGTGCAGAAGGCAAGAGTTGAGGTTTGGGAGCCTCTGTCTAGATTTCAGAGGATGCAAGGAAACACCTGGATGTCTAGGCAGAAGTCTGCCGCAGGGGCAGAGCCCTGATGGAGAACCTCTACTAAGGCAGTGCAGAGGGGAAATGTGGGGTTGGAGCCCCCACACAGATTTCCCACTGGGGCACTGCTCAGTGGAGCTCTGAGAAGAGGGCCACCATCCTCCAGACCCCAGAATGGTAGATCCACTGACAGCTTACATCATGCACCTGGAAAAGCCATAGGCACTGAACGCCAGCTTGTGAAAACAGCCACAGGGGCTGTACCTTGCAGATCCACAAGGGTGGAGCTGCTCAAGGCCTTGGGAGCCCAGCTCTTGCATCAGCATGACCTGGGTGTGAGACATGGAGTCAAAGGAGAATATTTTGGAGTTTTGAGATTTAATGACTGCCTTGCTGGATTTGGGACTTGCATAGGTCCAGTAGCCCCTTTTTTTTGGCCAATTTCTCCCATTTGGAATGAGAGCATTTACCCAATGCCTGTACACTCCATTATATCTTGGAAGTAACTAATTTGTTTTTTATTTTATAGGCTCATAGGTGGAAGGAACTTGCCTTGTCTCAGATGAGATGTTGACCTTTTGGTTAAAGCTGGAATGAATTCAGACTTTGTGAGACTGCTGAGAAGGGATTATTATATTTTGAAATGTGAGAAGGACATGAGATTTGGGAGAGGCCAGGGACAGAATGATATGGTTTGGCTGTATGTCCCTACCCAAATCTCATGTCTTATTTTAATACCCACGATTGACAATCCCCATGATTGAAAAGTGTTAGTGAGGATGTGGACAAAGGGGAACTCTTGTGCCCTGCTGATGGAAATGTAAATTATCATAAATTATTGGAGGAGGGGCGTGGTGGGAGGTGATTGGATCATGAAGGTGTTTCTAATGGTTTAGGCACCATTCCCCTAGTGCTGTCTCGTGATAGGGTTCTCATGACATCTAGTTGTTTGAAAGTGTGTAGCACCTCCCCCTTCTCTCTCTCTCTCTCTCTCTCTCTCTCTCTCTCTCTCTCTCTCTCTCTCTCCCGCCCTCCTGCTCTGCCACGGTAAGACGTGCTTGCTTCCCCTTCACTTCCCACCATGATTGTAAGTTTCCTGAGGCCTCCAAGCCATGCTTCCTGTGCAGCCTGCAGAACTGTGAGTCAATTAAACTTCTTTTCTTCATAAACTACTCAGTGTCAGGTAGTTCTTTATAGCAATGTGACAATGAACTAATACAAATTGGATTGCTTGTAACAGAAAGGATAAATGCTTGAGGAAATGGATACCTCATTATCTATGATGTGATTATTACACATTGCATACTTGTATCAAAACATATACCCCATGATATGGGTTGGCTCTGTGTCCCCACCCAAATTTCACCTTGAATTGTAATTCCCATAATCCCCATATGTAAAGGGCAGGACCAAGTGGAGGTAATTGAATCATGGGGGCAGTTTCTCTCTGTTCTCGTGATAATGGGTTAGTCTCATGAGATTTGACGGTTTTATAAGTGTCTGGTATTTCCCGTGCTTGCACTCATTCTCTCTCCTGCCACCCTGTGAAGAGGTGCCTTCCACCATGATTGTACTCTTTATAAATTACCCAGTCTTAGGTATTTCTTCATAGCAGCATGAGAACGGACTAATACACCCAATAAATATATACACCTACTATGTATTCACAAAAATTAAACATGAAAAATAAAGAAATTGAAGAGGACACAAAAAATGTAAAGAAATGCAGTACTCATCAACTGGAAGAATTAATATTGCTAAAATGTCCATATACCCCCAAAATCTACAGATTTAATACAATTCCAATTAAAATTCCAATGACATTTTTCAAAGAAATAGAAAAAACAATCCTAATATTGTTATAGAATCACAAAAAATCCTGAATTAGCCAAAGCAATTTTGAGCAACAATGAACAAAGCTGAGGGGCATCACACTACTTGACTTTGAAATATACTACAAAGCTATAGTAACCAACACAGATTGGTATTGACATAAAAACAGACACATAGATTAACGGAACAGAAAGCAGAGCCCAGAAATTAATCCATGCATTTAAGGTCAATTGATTTTTGACAAAGATGCCAAGAACATACACAGGAGAAAGGACAGTCTCTTCAACACACAGTGTTGAGAAAACTGGATATCCATAGGCAAAGAATAAAATTAGACTTCTATTGCACTAAACTGTTCTTGCATTGCTATAAAGAAATATCTGAGACTGGGAATTTCTGGGTAATTTATAAAGAAAAGAGGTTTAATTGGCTATGGTCCTGCAGGCTGTAAAGGAAACATGGTGCTGGCATCTTATCAGCTTCTGGTGAGGCCTGAGGAAGTTTACAATCATGGAGGAAGGCAAAGGGGGAGCCAGCGTACCAGATGACGAGAGTGGGCATGAGAAAGCGAGGGGGGAAGTGCCACATTCTTTTGAACAACAGATCTCATGTGAACTCAGATAACTTATTCTCTACTAAGGCGACACTCTCAGCCATTCATGAGGGATCTGCCCCCATGATCCAGTACCTCCCACCAGGTCCCACCTCCAACACTGGAGGTCACATTCCAACATGAGATTTGGAGGGGACACACATCCAAACCATATTAAAAAATTTTAAGATATCACTTATTTCCCACCATACAGAAAAATCAACTCAAAATGAATTAAAGACTTAAATGAAAAACCTGAAACATTAAAAATCCTGGAAGAAAACATGGAAGAAAGAATCCATGACACTGGTCTTAGCAAATTTTTTTTTGGATATTAACACAAAACCATAGGCAACAAAAGCAATGATAGACAAATAGAATACATCAAACAAAAAAAAAAATCTTCTGCACAACCAAGAAAGCAATCCACAGAGTGAAGAGAAATGGGGACTAAATATCTGCAAATCTATATCTGATAAGGGTTTAATATCCAAAATACATAAGGCACTCAACTCAATAGCAAGAAAACAAGTAACTGGATTAAAAAATGGACAAAGGACCTGAATATCTATTTCTCAATCTATTTCTCAAATTCCCAGTCTCAGATATTTCTTTATAGCAATGCAAGAACAGTCTAGTGTAATAAGGGTCTAATTTTATTCTTTGCCTATGGATATCCAGTTTTCTCAACACCGTGTGTTGAAAAGCCTGTCCTTTCCCCTGTGTATGTTCTTGGCATCTTTGTCAAAAATCAATTGACCTTAAATGCATGGATTAATTTCTGGGCTCTGCTTTCTGTTCCGTTAATCTATGTATCTGTTTTTATGCCAATACCGATCTGTGTTGGTTACTATAGCTTTGTAGTATATTTCAAGGTCAAGTATATTTCTCAAAAGAGGATGTATGAATGGCTGACAGGTATGTGAAAAGGTGCTCAACATCAGTAATCATCAAAGAAATGCAAATTAAAACCACAATGAAATATCACTGGCTGGGCATGGTGGCTCACACCTGTAATCCCAGCACTTTGAGAGGCCGAGGCAGGCAGATCACAAGGTTAGGAGTTCGAGACCAGCCTGGCCATCATAGTGAAACACCGTCTCTACTAAAAATACAAAAATTAGCCAGGCATGGTGGCGCATGCCTGTAGTCCCAGCTACTCAGGAGGATGAGGCAGGAGAATCACTTGAACCCGGGAGGTGGAGGTTGTGGTGAGCTGAGATTGCGCCACTGCACTCCAGCCTGGGCAACAGAGTGAGACTCTGTCTGAAAAAAAAAAAAAAAAAAGAAGTATCACCTGACACTGGTTAGAATGGCCTCTATAAAAAAGGGGGAAGATGACAGTGTTGTGAGAATGCAGACAAAGGGGATTCTAGTACCCTGTTGATGGGAATGTAAATTATCACAGCCATTATGGCAAACAGAATGAAAGTTTCTTAAAAATTAAAAATAAAATTACCATATGACCCACCCATGTCATGGTGAGTCTACATAAAGGAAATGAAATCAGTATGCTGAAGATACCTGCACTCCCATGTTGATTGCAGCATTATTCACAATAATGGAATCAACCTAAGTGTCCATCAACAGATGAATAAAGAAAATGTGGAATATAGACACAAAGGCTTTAATTCAGCCTTAAAAAAATAAGGAAATCTATTATTTGTGACAACATGGATGAAGCTGGAAAATGGTTATGTGAAATAAGCCAGGCACGGCCAGGCGCGGTGGCTCACGCCTGTAATCCCAGCACTTTGGGAGGCCGAGGGGAGTGGATCACGAGGTCAGGAGATCGAGACCATCCTGGCTAACACGGTGAAACCCTGTCTCTACTAAAAATACAAAAAAATTAGCCAGGCATGGTGGTGGGCGCCTATAGTCCCAGCTACTGGGGAGGCTGAGGCAGGAGAATGGCATAAACCCGGGAGGTGGAGCTTGCAGTGAGCCAAGATCGCGCCACTGCACTCTAGCCTGGGTAACAGTGAGACTCTGTCTCAAAAATAAATAAATAAATAAATAAAAAATAAGCCAGGCACAAAAAAAGCAAACACCAACACATAATCTCACTTATACTGTGGAATCTAAAAAAATAGAACCCACAGAAACAGAGAGTGGAATGGTGGCTACCAGCAGTTGAGGGCAGGGAGGCAGACGTACCTGGAGGGTTGCGGTGGGGAGACTGTTGGTCAGCAGGTGAAAGGATACAAAGTTTCAGTTAGCCAGGGGGAAAAAGGCCAAGAGATTGATGATGTGACATGGAACCGTGGTTAATAACCACGGACTTGAAAATCTCTAAGAGAGTAGACTTGATGTATTCTAAACACACACAAAAAGTGTCTGAGCTAATAAACATATTATTTAGCTTGATTGTGGCCAAAATTATATTTCAGATTTTATATACATATTTCAAAACATCATGCTGCACAGGATAGATACATGTAATTTTAATTGTCAACTAAAAGTTAATGAAATAAAATTATTTTTATTTTTATTTTTATTATTATTATACTTTAAGTTTTAGGGTACATGTGCACAATGTGCAGGTTACATATGTATACATGTGCCATGTTGGTGCGCTGCACCCATTAACTCGTCATTTAGCATTAGGTATATCTCCTAATACTATCCCTCCCCCCTCCCCCCACCCCACAACAGTCCCCAGAGTGTGATGTTGTCCTTCCTGTGTCCATGTGTTCTCATTGTTCAATTCCCATCTATGAGTGAGAACATGTGGTGTTTGGTTTTGTGTCATTGAGATAGTTTACTGAGAATGATGATTTCCAATTTCATCCATGTCCCTACAAAGGACATGAACTCATCATTTTTTTATGGCTGCATAGTATTCCATGGTGTATATGTGCCACATTTTCTTAATCCAGTCTATCATTGTTGGACATTTGGGTTGGTTCCAAGTCTCTGCCATTGTGAATAGTGCCACAATAAACATACGTGTGCATGTGTCTTTATAGCAGCATGATTTACAGTCCTTTGGGTATATACACAGTAATGGGATGGCTGGGTCAAATGGTATTTCTAGTTCTAGATCCCTGAGGAATCGCCACACTGACTTCCACAATGGTTGAACTAGTTTACAGTCCCACCAACAGTGTAAAAGTGTTCCTATTTCTCCACATCCTCTCCAGCACCTGTTGTTTCCTGACTTTTTAATGATTGCCATTCCAACTGGTGTGAGATGGTATCTCATTGTGGTTTTGATTTGCATTTCTCTGATGGCCAGTGATGATGAGCAATTTTTCATGTGTGTTTTGGCTGCATAAATGTCTTCTTTTGAGAAGTGTCTGTTCATATCCTTTGCCCACTTTTTGATGGGGTTGTTTGTTTTTTTCTTGTAAATTTGTTTGAGTTCATTGTAAATTCTGGATATTAGCCCTTTGTCAGATAGTAGGTTGCAAAAATTTTCTCCCATTTTGTAGGTTGCCTGTTCACTCTGATGGTAGTTTCTTTTGCTGTGCAGAAGCTCTTTAGTTTAGTTAGATCCCATTTGTCAATTTTGGCTTTTGTTGCCATTGCTTTTGGTGTTTTAGACATGAAGTCCTTGCCCATGCCTATGTCCTGAATGGTGATGCCTAGGTTTTCTTCTAGGGTTTTTATGGTTTTAGGTCTAACGTTTAAGTCTTTAATCCATCTTGAATTAATTTTTGTATAAGGTGTAAGGAAGGGATCCAGTTTCAGCTTTCTACATATGGCTAGCCAGTTTTCCCAGCACCATTTATTAAATAGGGAATCCTTTACCCATTGTTTGTTTTTCTCAGGTTTGTCAAAGATCAGATAGTTGTAGATATGCGGCATTATTTCTGAGGGCTCTGTTCTGTTCCATTGATCTATATCTCTGTTTTGGTACCAGTACCATGCTGTTTTGGTTACTGTAGCCTTGTAGTATAGTTTGAAGTCAGGTAGCGTGATGCCTCCAGCTTTGTTCTTTTGGCTTAGGATTGACTTGGTGATGCAGGCTCTTTTTTGGTTCCATATGAACTTTAAAGTAGTTTTTTCCAATTCTGTGAAGAAAGTCATTGGTAGCTTGATGGGGATGGCATTGAATCTATAAATTACCTTGGGCAGTATGGCCATTTTCACGATATTGATTCTTCCTACCCATGAGCATGGAATGTTCTTCCATTTGTTTGTATCCTCTTTTATTTCATTGAGCAGTGGTTTGTAGTTCTCCTTAAAGAGATCCTTCGCATCCCTTGTAAGTTGGATTCCTAAGTATTTTATTCTCTTTGAAGCAATTGTGAATGGGAGTTCACTCATGATTTGGCTCTCTGTTTGTCTGTTAAGTGTGTATAAGAATGCTTGTGATTTTTGTACGTTGATTTTGTATCCTGAGACTTTGCTGAAGTTGCTTATCAGCTTAAGGAGATTTTGGGCTGAGACAATGGGGTTTTCTAGATATACAATCATGTCGTCTGCAAACAGAGACAATTTGACTTCCTCTTTTCCTAATTGAATACCCTTTATTTCCTTCTCCTGCCTAATTGCCCTGGCCAGAACTTCCAACACTATGTTGAATAGGAGTGGTGAGAGAGGGCATTCCTGTCTTGTACCAGTTTTCAAAGGGAATGCTTCCAGTTTTTGACCATTCAGTATGATATTGGCTGTGGGTTTGCCATAGATAGCTCTTATTATTTTGAGATACGTCCCATCAATACCTAATTTATTGAGAGTTTTTAGCATGAAGGTTGTTGAATTTTGTCAAAGGCCTTTTCTGCATCTATTGAGATAATCATGTGGTTTTTGTCTTTGGTTCTGTTTATATGCTGGATTACATTTATTGATTTGCATATATTGAACCAGCCTTGCATCCCAGGGATGAAGCCCACTTGATCATGGTGGATAAGCTTTTTGATGTGCTGCTGGATTCGGTTTGCCAGTATTTTATTGAGGATTTTTGCATCAATGTTCATCAAGGATATTGGTCTAAAATTCTCTTTTTTGGTTGTGTCTCTGCCCGGCTTTGGTATCAGGATGATGCTGGCCTCATAAAATGAGTTAGGGAGGATTCCCTCTCTTTCTATTGATTGGAATAGTTTCAGAAGGAATGGTACCAGTTCCTCCTTGTACGTCTGGTATAATTCGGCTGTGAATCCATCTGGTCATGGACTCTTTTTGGTTGGTAATCTATTGATTATTGCCACAATTTCAGATCCTGTTATTGGTCTATTCAGAGATTCAACTTCTTACTGGTTTAGTCTTGGGAGAGTGTATGTGTCGAGGAATTTATCCATTTCTTCTAGATTTTCTAGTTTATTTGCGTAGAGGTGTTTGTAGTATTCTCTGATGGTAGTTTGTATTTCTGTGGGATCGGTGGTGATATCCCCTTTATCATTTTTTATTGCATCTATTTGATTCTTCTCTCTTTTTTTCTTTATTAGTCTTGCTAGCGGTCTATCAATTTTGTTGATCCTTTCAAAAAACCAGCTCCTGGATTCATTAATTTTTTGAAGGGTTTTTTGTGTCTCTATTTCCTTCAGTTCTGCACTGATTTTAGTTATTTCTTGCCTTCTGCTAGTTTTGAATGTGTTTGCTCTTGCTTTTCTAGTTCTTTTAATTGTGATGTTAGGGTGTCAGTTTTGGATCTTTCCTGCTTTCTCTTGTGGGCATTTAGTGCTATAAATTTCCCTCTACACACTGCTTTGAATGTGTTCCAGAGATTCTGGTATGCTGTGTCTTTGTTCTCGTTGGTTTCAAGAACATCTTTATTTCTGCCTTCATTTTGTTACGTACCCAGTAGTCATTCAGGAGCAGGTTGCTCAGTTTCCATGTAATTGAGCGGTTTTGAGTGAGTTTCTTAATCCTGAGTTCTAGTTTGATTGCACTAAAATTTTTAAAAAGTAAAAAAAATACATGTGGTTTAATACAATTCATGCCAACTCATTCCCTCGTTTTTTGCTATAAACCTTGCAAGGAGATGAATAATCCAAGGCTCTTGGATAAGATAAGGGCCCCATCCATCTTGCTCCTCTCAGCCCTGGAGGAGGAGGGAGAGTCCTTTTCCCCTGTCTACGCTCATGCACCCCCAATGAGTCCCTGCCTCCAGCCCTGACCTCTGCCCTCGGTCTCTCAGGCAGATCCAGGGCCAGTTCTCCCATGACGTGATCCCTCTCGAAGGCAAGGCACCAGGCAAGATAAAAGGATTGCAGCTGAACAGGGTGGAGGGAGCATTGGAATGGCACTCAGGGCAAAGGCAGAGGTGTGCATGGCAGTGCCCTGGCTGTCCCTGCAAAGGGCACAGGCACTGGGCACGAGAGCCGCCCGGGTCCCCAGGACAGTGCTGCCCTTTGAAGCCATGCCCCGGCGTCCAGGCAACAGGTGGCTGAGGCTGCTGCAGATCTGGAGGGAGCAGGGTTATGAGGACCTGCACCTGGAAGTACACCAGACCTTCCAGGAACTAGGGCCCATTTTCAGGTAAAGCCCTCCCTGGCCCTCGCTGGGAACACCCAGAGCCCTGCCCTTGCTGCCCAGGACCCTGCCGGGCACTCAGCACTGCCATTCCCAGCAGGTCCCGGCACTCTGCATCCTTTGGAAGATGGGGAAGGAGTGCAGCACGTGCTGGTCTGTGGCGCTGCCAGGGCAGGGGATGGTGCAGAGCAAATCCCAGCTCGCTGCAGAGAGGGCAGGACTCAGAGGCACTGAAGTTAAGAGGTTCCGGGCAGTCAGCAAGAGGGCTTTAGCTGTGAAGCCGCTAATCCAGGAGAGGGGAGGGTGGACAGGAGACACTTTGGATTGGGACTGCAGGGTGGGGCTAGCGGGGACATGGTCCCATCCAGCACGGCCTCGTGCTTGGCCCCACAGGTACGACTTGGGAGGAGCAGGCATGGTGTGTGTGATGCTGCCGGAGGACGTGGAGAAGCTGCAACAGGTGGACAGCCTGCATCCCCACAGGATGAGCCTGGAGCCCTGGGTGGCCTACAGACAACATCGTGGGCACAAATGTGGCGTGTTCTTGCTGTAAGCGGCGAGCTGAGAGCTGGGAGCAGGGTGGGCAGCCTGGGTGTAGGGGGGAGGCGAGAGAGGCAGGACCCAAAAGCACATCTGCCCTGGGCCCCTGTGGTGGGCAGTGAGGGTGAGCACCCGACCCAGAGGACGGCCATTCCGTGGGGTCGTGTCTGCCCTGTGGGTTGGGGAAGCAGGGCGGTGGTGGAGAAATGGGCACGGGCACCTCTGCAGAGAAGATGCAGAGCAATGAGCCCTTCTGTGTAGTGAGAACCCGCTCTGCACCAACCTTGGCCGATGCTTTCTCTTGCGGTCTGGGGACTGTCCTTCCCATAGGTCAGAAAACTGAGGCCCTGAGAAGGGTACTCCCACTGGCCCAGGTCACAGGCTGAGTACTGAGCCTGGTGTTCGCCGGGGCCGCAGCCTCCCTCAGGGCGCTCAGGGTCCCTGCAGTCCTGGCAAACCTTCCTGATGGGGACAGTCCGGGGCAGGAGGCAGGTGGGGATGCAGGTGGCTGGTGGCTCCATTGTTCTCAGAAGCAAGGCACGAGGTGGGGCGGTTGATGGCACTGGGGAGGATGTTTCCTGGCCCGTGCAGAGGGTGGCGCCTGGTCAGGTGGGCAGGGAGAGGCTGATGCTTGGAGTCAGTCACCTGCAGGAATGTTGTCATTAGGACGGGGGAAGGACTGGACGAGGATGTCACAGTGGCGACAGCCCCCACTCCATGGCAGGAGGAGAACGCTTTTGGGAATAGTGGGGTTTAGGTAAAAGGGCACTCAAGGGTGGGGGCCTTCACTGAGGCTGGCCTACAGACGACATCTGGGAGGGAGTCAGGACCCAGGAAGGCAAGTCCAGAAGGCTGGGTGCACATAACGGAAGGAAGGGGAGCGCACCTGTATGTGTGTGCGTCTTGCATCTGTGCACATGCTGTGTGTTTCTCTGTACCTGCATTTGCACGTGTTGTGTGTGCATGCGTGTGTGCACATGTGTCTGTGTGCATGTATGTGTGGTGTGTGTGCACGAGTGTCTCTGTGTGTGCATGTGCAGGTGCCGGCATGGGTGTAGTGTCTGTGCACATGTGTACATGTGTCTCTTCACACATGGTGTTGAGGTCTTGCATGGGCGCATGTGAGCATGTGCATCTTCTGCCTGCCATCACTGTCAACAGCTCACAACAGCCAGCTGGACATAAATAAAGCTTTGAGTTTTGCAGAAATGTGGCTGACAGGGGAAATTCCTCCCCACCATTCCCTGGGGGCATCCATGGAGCCCCCACGCACTCTGGCTGTAGGTGAGGATGGCATGAAGCACAAAGCTTGGTTTCTGTCCTGCAGAAGATGCAGACACTTCACTGGGGCTGCTGCCCCAGAGGCACTGTGCCCAGGGCAGGGAAGGGCGGGGAGGAGAGGGCAGCCAGGGGCTCTCCCCTCAGGACACTGTGTGGGTGAGGTGGGCAAAGCTTGACAACAGGGGTCAGTTCCTTTCTTGCAGAAAATCCCTCCCCCCTACTACAGGGAGGGCCTGCATGGGTGAGGTGGTGCCAGACTTGGGGTGCCAGGTCCCGGGAATGACCTCAGTTACCCTGTCAGCACCTGTGGGCAGAAGCTACCATCTCATCCCTGCTTAGACCTGAGTGGCCTTTGTCCAGCACCTGGAGGCCGCTCTGAGAAAAGGCTGCAGCTCGAACACAAACAGGCAGCTTCTACCAGGGCCCCCAGTCAGCTCCCTGCAGGCCGATTCCCCTTGGGGACAAGGAGGATGGGATACGGGTCAGGGCCTGTGTCTTGCTGGGGCGGCCTCACAAGCTCTGCCCTGGCCTCTGTAGGAATGGGCCTGAATGGCGCTTCAACCGATTGCGGCTGAATCCAGAAGTGCTGTCGCCCAACGCTGTGCAGAGGTTCCTCCCGATGGTGGATGCAGTGGCCAGGGACTTCTCCCAGGCCCTGAAGAAGAAGGTGCTGCAGAACGCCCGGGGGAGCCTGACCCTGGACGTCCAGCCCAGCATCTTCCACTACACCATAGAAGGTGTGGGCCACGTGGGAAGATCCAGCCTCAGAGACCCTGGAGTGGCCAGGGACGGGGATGGGGGACTGAAGGGAGTGTGGGGAGGCAGCCAGGAGGCCCGGGGCTGCCTTGTGCTCAGCAGTGCATCCTCCCCGCAGCCAGCAACTTGGCTCTTTTTGGAGAGCGGCTGGGCCTGGTTGGCCACAGCCCCAGTTCTGCCAGCCTGAACTTCCTCCATGCCCTGGAGGTCATGTTCAAATCCACCGTCCAGCTCATGTTCATGCCCAGGAGCCTGTCTCGCTGGACCAGCCCCAAGGTGTGGAAGGAGCACTTTGAGGCCTGGGACTGCATCTTCCAGTACGGTGAGGCCAGGGACCCGGGCAGTGCTATGGGGAAGGGACACCATGGGGGCCCAATTTCTCCCTCTCCACCACCCAGTGGGGAATGGAGGCCACAGGGAGGGGTCGGGGATTCCTCACCTTCCTGCCAGGGAGATTGGTGCGAGGCTGGGGCTGGGCTGGGCTGATCCGGAGAATTTGGGATGAGAGCAGGGAGACTTGGGTGTCGGGGCAGTCTGGGCAGGAGGAGGACACTGAAGGATGTCTCCCAGCACCAAAGTCTGAGGGCTGCCTCCCGCTCCCCGGATAGGCGACAACTGTATCCAGAAAATCTATCAGGAACTGGCCTTCAGCCGCCCTCAACAGTACACCAGCATCGTGGCGGAGCTCCTGTTGAATGCGGAACTGTCGCCAGATGCCATCAAGGCCAACTCTATGGAACTCACTGCAGGGAGCGTGGACACGGTCAGGCCGGCAACCAGCCCCACCCAGAGAGGGTGATGCCAAGCCTGCCTCCCAGGCACTGCCTGCCAATGTCACACGGCGCCCACGTGTCCCATCCCCAGGCTATGGGCCCCACATTTCTTACTTGGGATTGTGATGTGATAAACACGTTTGCAGGTTGCCATGGTTGGAATGGGGGGTTCCTTTCTGTGGAGGACTCAGGGAAAGGGGTTTGGATGGGCATTAGGATTTGAAGTCTTGGGCTCTGTCGTTCTCAGGGTATGCATGTCTGCACCCCTCACAGGGAGGTTGTCCTGGGAGGGGTGTCCCGGGGGCTGAGTCCTCCTGTGCAAGGTCTGACCCTGCAGCTGTGTCTCCTGCAGACGGTGTTTCCCTTGCTGATGACGCTCTTTGAGCTGGCTCGGAACCCCAACGTGCAGCAGGCCCTGCGCCAGGAGAGCCTGGCCGCCGCAGCCAGCATCAGTGAACATCCCCAGAAGGCAACCACCGAGCTGCCCTTGCTGCGTGCGGCCCTCAAGGAGACCTTGCGGTGGGTGCTGGCTGAGGCCTCCCTGTGGCCCTGGCCCCCTGCTGGAGAGCAGCCCCCACTGGGTGGTGGCAGACAGAATCTGGGGCTGATAAACAGCGTCACCCAGCAGCCCATTCCCCTGCACCTGCTCTTCCTCCCCCTCAAGGACAGGGAGCTCTTCTTTCTCTGGAATCCCTCTTCAACGCCCTGGGGATTAACGTGGAGCATGTCCTTCTGCGCTCGGGGCTGCTTAAGTTAGGGGAGGTTTGGCCGGGCTCAGCAGGTGCAAGGAAGCACTTCCTACGACCTGGGCTTCCCATGGATCTGGGACCTCTGCGGGTTCTTCGGTAGGAAGGGTGCAGAGAGCACAGGAAGCCCCATCCAGCTGAGGACCCTTTCTATGGATGCCCCCACCTCCAGGCTCTACCCTGTGGGTCTGTTTCTGGAGCGAGTGGCGAGCTCAGACTTGGTGCTTCAGAACTACCACATCCCAGCTGGGGTGAGTGAGCCCCACACCCCTCGAGCTGAGAACCTCCCTCCCCAGTCATTCCCTGATCCCCGCTCTGCACCGTCCGCAGACATTGGTGCGCGTGTTCCTCTACTCTCTGGGTCGCAACCCCGCCTTGTTCCCGAGGCCTGAGCGCTATAACCCCCAGCGCTGGCTAGACATCAGGGGCTCCGGCAGGAACTTCTACCACGTGCCCTTTGGCTTTGGCATGCGCCAGTGCCTTGGGCGGCGCCTGGCAGAGGCAGAGATGCTGCTGCTGCTGCACCATGTGAGCAGGCCCGGGCTGGGGAGGGGCCTGGGCGGGGTCTGGGCAGCATGGGCGGGGCTTGAGCAATGTGGGACTGGCCTCGGCAGAGTGGGAGTGGCCTGCATGTTTCCTGGACTGGGCAGAGCCGGTACTGGGAGAACCTGGGCCAGGTTGAGGCTGTGTAGGTCCTGGGCAGGAGTTGGTATGGTGAGGAGCGTACCATCTGGGTGAGGTTGCTGCTAAACCGGGTCAGGTGGGAACTGGGGAAGTCGGGTGGAGCCTGTACAGGATAGTGGGGCTTGGGCAATACCTGGGCTGGATGAATTCTGGGCCTGGGCTGTAAGGTGGGGCTGGTCAGGAATGAAACAGGTTGGAGGCCAGGCTGCTGTTCCCCCTTCAGCATAATCTCTGCAACTTTGAGGGTCTGAGAAGGCTGCACCACGTGCATGGGCTGCGGACCAAGCCAGATGGAAACCCGGCTTCTGTCCTAGGTGCTGAAACACCTCCAGGTGGAGACACTAACCCAAGAGGACATAAAGATGGTCTACAGCTTCATATTGAGGCCCAGCATGTTCCCCCTCCTCACCTTCAGAGCCATCAACTAATCACGTCTCTGCACCCAGGGTCCCAGCCTGGCCACCAGCCTCCCTTTCTGCCTGACCCCAGGCCACCCCTCTTCTCTCCCACATGCACAGCTTCCTGAGTCACCCCTCTGTCTAACCAGCCCCAGCACAAATGGAACTCCCGAGGGCCTCTAGGACCAGGGTTTGCCAGGCTAAGCAGCAATGCCAGGGCACAGCTGGGGAAGATCTTGCTGACCTTGTCCCCAGCCCCACCTGGCCCTTTCTCCAGCAAGCACTGTCCTCTGGGCAGTTTGCCCCCATCCCTCCCAGTGCTGGCTCCAGGCTCCTCGTGTGGCCATACAAGGGTGCTGTGGTTTTGTCCCTTGCCTTCCTGCCTAGTCTCACATGTCCCTGTTCCTCTTCCCCTGGCCAGGGCCCCTGCGCAGACTGTCAGAGTCATTAAGCGGGATCCCAGCATCTCAGAGTCCAGTCAAGTTCCCTCCTGCAGCCTGACCCCTAGGCAGCTCGAGCATGCCCTGAGCTCTCTGAAAGTTGTCACCCTGGAATAGGGTCCTGCAGGGTAGAATAAAAAGGCCCCTGTGGTCACTTGTCCTGACATCCCCATTTTCAAGTGATACAACTGAGTCTCGAGGGACGTGTGTTCCCCAGCTGATCGTGTCAGCCTCATGCCCCAGGCCTCATCTTTCATGGACCAGGCCTTGTTCCAGGAGTGGGTGTTGGGTCCTCTGCTTCCTGTGCTGTCCCCTGGGGAAGGTCCCGAGGATGCTGTCAGGAGATGGAAGAGTCATGTGGGGTGGGAACCTGGGGTGTGGTTCCAGAAATGTTTTTGGCAACAGGAGAGACAGGATTGGGCCAACAAGGACTCAGACGAGTTTTATTGACTCATTTCTCTGGTTGATACGGAGCCATGTCATGTGCCACGACCTGGGGTGGGCACAGGGAGGCTGCAGTTTCCTGCGTGAACCTGCCTTGGGCCTCATCTGCTCCTAGCCCAGCAGAGAGAGTTGACCCCTCCTGAACTGGCCACTCCCCAGTGCTCCCGTGCAGGGAGAGGAAGCACCCAGTTTGAGAGTGTACCCAGCCAGACTGTCTTTATCTCCATGGATTTTCATCAGGGCAAAGATCACAGCAGCCAGCTCCTGGTGGCTGATGAGGATCAGAGCATTTGTTCCCCCATGAAAGGGGAAATCCCTATGGCATCATTCCAGTGGTGGTCAGTAGATCCAGGACGCCCTGCAGGACTCAGCCTGTACAGGGAGATGAAGTGCCCCAGGTTGGGAGCACACCTAGCTAGAGTTATTTGTGTTAATCTATTCAGGATGCTCTAAGAAAACGCCATAGACTGGGTTGCTGACAAACATCAGAATTCTATTTCTCATGGTTCTGAAGGCTTAGAAGGCTAAGATCAAGGTGTCAGCAGGTTCTGTGTCTGGTGAGGACCCACCTCTTGTTTCATAGATAAAACCTTCTTGCTGTGTCCTCACATGGTGGAAAAGGGCAAGACAGCTCACAGAGACCTCTTTTATAAGGACGCCAGTTCCATTCAAGAGGGCACTGCCTGCATTCCCTTCCCCCCTCAAAGGCCCGGCCCTGCTATTATCGTCACCTTGGTGACTAGATTTCAGCCTATGAATTCTGGAGGCGGACACAAAAATTCAGATTAAACTACTCTGCTTCTGTTTCTCTAAAATCTACATCCTTCTCATATACAAAATACATGCATTTCTCCCCAGTAGCCCCAAATATCAACTCATTTTAGCATCAACTTTAAAATTGTAGTCCAAAGTGTGATTTAAATGTTATCTGAGTCAAACATGGGTAAGACTCAAGGTACAATTTATCCTGAGTCCAACTGTTCTTGCTGCGAACCTATGAAATCAAACATGTTATGTGCTTCCAAAATACAGTGGTTGGAGAGGCATAGGATAAACATTCCCATTCCAGAAAGGAGAAACAGGAAAGAAGAAAGGAGTAACAAGTTTCAAGCAACTCCAAAATTGAATGTGACAAACAGTATTAAACCTTAAGCCTCAAGAATAATCTCCTTTGACTGGATTTTCCATCTTCTGAACATAGTGGTGCAGGGATTGTTTCCCTCAGGGCTTCAGGATGCTCTGCCCCTGCAGCTTGGCTGGGTGCAGCTGCAGTGCAGCTCTCATGAGTTGGAGTTGCATTCCTGCAGGTCTCCCAGACTGGAATGACTCACCGGTAGCTTCACCTACCTGGGATCCTGGGCTGTCCTGCTCTGCTGCCTCCACTAGGCATGGCTTTCACAGCAGCCCTCTGCCTCAGTCTTGTGCCTGAAGTTGTGGGCCACTCCACCCTTTGATATCCAGGTGCAGGCTTCCACACCCCACAGCTCATGCAACCTTCACTCCAGCAGAGATGACCCTATGTTGACACCACCAAGGTTTACTACATGTGCCCTCTGGAGGGGCAGCCACTGTGGCACATGACCCACATAAGCTTACTGGAGCCCACTTGGGGTGGTCAATGAACAGAACTCCAGAATGTGGGGAGCAGAGCCTTGAGGTAGCACAAGGGAGTGAGTGCCAAGGTCTTACAGAAAAATATAGCCCATCCTTTAAAAATATTCTGTCCCCCTAGACTCTTGCACTTTGGGTGTGTGGTGACAGTGGCAGCCCCAGTTATTTCTAAAATGCCTCCAGGGTCATTCTTCCATTGTCTTGGTGAACAACACCTGGCTGATCCATACTAATCTTATCAAATGGTCCCTTGGCCACACCCTTGGTGCTGTCTCCAGAACATGCTTTCTCATATTTTGCAATATGGACAGACTGGCAATTTCCCAAATCTTTAAGTTCTGCTTCCCTTTTGATTTAAAAAAAAATCCATCTTCAAATTATTTTTCTCTTCTTCTATTTTACTATAAACATTCAAGAGCACCAAGTTGCACCTTAAACACTTGGCTTAGAAATCTCTTCAGCCAAATATCTTATTTAATTACTCACCAGTTCTACTCTACATAAAACACTAGGACATAAAGTCAATTCAGCCAAGTTCTTTGCCAGTTTATAACAAGGACTACCTTTCCCCCAGTTTCCAAATAACATGTTCCTTATTTCTGTTTGAAGTCCCATAAGAATGGTTTTTATCATCTATATTTCTAGTACCATTCTGTCCATGGCCACTTAGATATTCTCTAAGAAGATGGAGGCTTTCTTTACAGCCCTCCTCCTCTTGTTCTGAGCCCTTACCAGCAGCATCCTTCAGGGCCTGCTCATGGTGACATAGGCTTTCTCTAGCATGCACTTCAAAACCCTTCTAGCCTCTACCCAATTACCCAGCAGCACCCCATCTTTCAGTACCAATCTTCTGTCTTAGTTTATTCAAGCTGCTATAACAAAGCACCACAGACTGGGTGGCTCGGAAACAACAGAGATTTGTTGCTCACAGATCTGGAGCCTGAGACATCTGAGATCAAGGTGCTGGCAGATTTGGTGTCTGGGGAGGGTCTATTTCCTGAGTCATAGATAGGACATTCTTACTGTGTCCTCACATGATGGAAAGAAATGAAGAAGCTCTCTGGGGACTCTTTTGTGTGGGCACTTTCACTTTCAACAGCATTTTTCAGCTTTACTTGCACTTATCCTGAAAAATTTCCTGTACATGTATCCAGCAGTGGAATTTAAAAAAACAAACAAGCAAGGATTGGCAATAGGGTTTGGAGGAGCCAGGACCCAGATATCCAAGATAGCAGGCAGGGTCTTTTTTGGAAAAGAGCACAGTCTAGCCCTGCTCACATGTCTCAGCCCTTTTACTGATAGAGAGGGACTGTTGGGCTCTCTTCTTCCTTAAGAGTTGTCCTTGGAAATGTCCACCTCTGGCTGGAAAATAATTCCCCAGCTCCAGCCTTCTCACTCTCCTAGGTGAAGGTGTGTGAGTGTTGTGTGGAGAAGGGCACAAGCCTGAGGCAGCACAGGGGAAGGTGTCCTTGAGGATGGCAGAAACTCTGCTTTGCCTGAAGAACCTGTAATGGCCTCCCTGAGGGAGCTGCCTTGCAAGACACTGTTGATTTGTCTCAGAACCTACTGCACCATCTCTCTTTCCTTCTAGACCTAGAGCTACACTTAAGTACCAGCAGGCCCCAAAAGATGAGGTAAAAGTGTGACCCAGGAGGAGCTGTGCTACACTCTAAAACAACCATGTGCCATTCCCAATACATGCAGATGCATCAGGGGAAAACAAGTGGAAATGAATTTTAAGTGGGTGGGATCATGGTTGAACAAAAGAAAAGTTAGATTCAGGCTGAATTTATTGATATGGGCCCTCCAAGCAGAGATTCTGGATAGTTTGAGAGTTAGAAATGGGCTCTAATAGTCTGGTTGGTTGGCTGAAATATGAACAAAATATGGCCGACATGAAATGAATGCCAGGACAATCTTAGTTCACCATAGAGGAACATATCCAAAGCCTGAAGGAGAGTGAAATGATAAAGCAGATTGATCATGTAAGATCTGTGCCAATCCACGGAGGCCACCCATCCCCGGAGGCCCAAGGAAGTATCTTTCACCATGACTGTCAGAAATCAATTTGGGAAGGGAGTTTTTTTATCCTTGAAGAGCTCTGTGGGCACTCTTCTCTGCAGGTCAGGCATCATAGTGGGAGCTGCTGGCACTTAACTGGGATCCTTAAAGGCAGCGGAAATAATTGCAGTGGGAGGGGCGTAGCCGGGCCTTGTGGCAATCCTTAATAACCAGAAAAGCTGACATGGCTGCAATAATAAACAGCACGGTTAAAGCCGTACTCAGAAGAATCTGCCTGGCGGAGGCCCATGGCATTGGCTAGTTGATCACGGTGTTCCTAGATGCCAAATAAATAGGTATGGAGTCCACTAAATCCTTATTTGATCTGTATAAGCAGAGGAGTTCTAGGTCAAGTGGACGGAAGTTAAACCAGAATCATAAAAGCAGAGTCATGGCCCCTGAATCAGTTCCCACAATGAGCCAGTTTACATGCCCAGAACCGCTTGAATGAAGGGTAGGCCAGTTCCTCTTGAGGAGCAGACCCCATGACACTGCCAAAAATTTATACTGTTAATCTTTCTCACATCCTCCCCCAAAGAGCCTTTTACCAGGGTGACTTTGCACTGGGAAAAAGGAAATCGTCATACTTCTCAGGGATTTCTAAACACAGGCTCTGAATTGACACTAATTTCAGGAGACCCCAAATATAAGGGATTATAGAACTCAGATGATTAATGGAATTTTAGCTCAGGTCCATCTCACAGTGGATCCAATGGGCCCCAAAACCCATCCAGTGCTTATTTCCCTCAGTTCAGAATGCACTACTGGAATAGACATACTCAGGTCCTGACAAAATCCCACAAGGGTCTCTTGACCTGTGAAGCAAGGGCTATTACTGTAGGAGAAGCCAAACGGAAGCCACTAGAATTGCTTCTGCCCAGGAAAACCATAAATAAAAAGCAATATTGCACTTGCAGAAAAAATTACAAATGTTGGTGTCACTATCAAGGACTTGAAGAGTGGAGGGATGATGATTCCCGCCATACTCCCATTCAACTAGATTATTTGGACTGAGCAGAAGATAGATGGATCTTCTAGAATGACAATAAAGTACTGTAAATTTAGCCAGATGGTGACTCCAAGTGCAGTTTCTGTACCCGATATCATTTCATTATTGTGGCAAATTAATATGCCTCCTGGTACCTGGTTGCTATGATTTCAATGTCCCCTCCAGAACTCATGTTGAAACATAACCCAGAAGTGGCAGTGTTGATTCGTGGTGCCTTTGGGAGGTGACTAGACTATGAAGGGTTTTGCCCCCATTAATATATTAATCCATTCCTGGATTAATGGGCTGTCATGGAAACTGGTGACTTTATAAGAAGAGGAAGAGAGACCTGAGCTAGCACACGCAATCACACTCAGCCCCTCGCCATGTGATGTCCTGCGCCACCCTGGGACCCTTCAGAGAGTCTCCACCAGCAATAAGACTCTCACCAGATTCACCTCGAACTGACAGCTTCTTAGACCCCATAACTGTGAAAAATAAATTTCTTTTTCTTTACAAATTACCCAGTTTCAGGTATTCTGTTATAAACAACAGAAAACAGACTAAGACAATAGTATGCAGGTATTGACTGACAAATGCTTTTTTCTAAATTTCTATTAGGAATGACCACCAGAAGTAATTTGCTTTCAGCTGGCAAAATCAGCAATACAACTTTTCTGTCCTAATGGCTGTGATAATTGTATACGTTAACTTGAGTAGGATACAGTATCCAGTAACTCAAACATGATTTATGAGTATACGTCTGTTCTTACCTTCCTATAAAGAAATACCTGAGACAGTGTAATTTATTTTAAAAAGAGGTTTAATTGCCTCATGGCTCTGCAGGCTGTACAGAAAGGATAGAAGCTTCTGCTCAGCTTCTGGAGGGGCCTCAGGAAACTTACAATCATGGCGAAAGGTAAAGAGGAAGCAGGCACGTCTTATGTGGCTGGAGCAGGAGTAAGAGAGCATGGAGAGGTGCTACACACTTTTAAACAACCAGATCTTCTGAGAACTCACTCACTGTCCAGTATCAAGGGGGAACGGTGCTAAACCATTCATCAGAACTCCGCCCCCGTGATCCAGTCACCTCCCACCAGGCCCCACCTCCAACACTGGGGATTACAACTGAACATGAGATTTGGATGGGAACACAGCCAAACCATATCGCTCTGTGTTGTGAAGGTATTTTGTAGATGTAGTTAACATCAACAGTAAATTGACTTTAAGTAAAGAAGATTAAGATCACTCTCAAAAATGTGGTGGATCTTATCCAATCAGTTGAAAGGGCTTAAAAGCCAAATTAATGTTTTCTAGAGAAGAAGAAATTCTACCTCAAGACTGCGGCATCAATTCCTGCCCAAGAGGTTCCAACCTACTGACCTGGCCTACAGATTTTGAACTTACCAGCCCCCCAAATCATGTGAAAACACACACACACACACACACACACACACACACACAGAGTATATATTTAGAGACAGAGAGAGAGATCCATTGGAACTACTGATTCTGTTTCTCTAGAGGACCTGCACTAATACATTTGGTGATATGGTTTGGCTGTGTCCCCACCCAAATCTCATCTCAAATTGCAATCCAAATATGTCAAGGGAGGGACCAGGTGGGAGGTGATTAGATCATGAAAGCAGTTTCTCCCATGCTGTTCTCATGACAGTGAGCGAGTTCTCACAAGATGTGGTTGTTTGACAGTATCTGGCACTTCCCCCCTTGCTTCTCTCTCTCTCCTGCCACTTTGTGAAGAAGGTCCTTGCTTCCCCTTCACCTTCCACCATGATTGTAAGTTTCCTGAGACTTCCCCAGCCATGCACAACTGTGAGTCAATTAAACCTCTTTATAAATTACCCAGTCTCAAGCAGTTTTTTATAGCAGTGTGAAAACAAATTAATACACCTGGATACAGGAAAAGGTTTTTTAATAAATAAAAGCTTTTCAATAAATAAATCTGACAACACAAAAAAATCTTTTGCATTGCAAAAATGTAAACAAATCAAAAGACAACTGATGAACTAGTAGAAAATATTTGCAAAATACATCACAAATAAAGTGCTAATGTCCTCAAAATATAAAGTGCTTAAAGATGACTGACTGGGATCAGCTACTGGGCACCTCTCTCCCAGAGAGGAATCAAAATCATGAGTAAACACTAACACTTCAAGTAGATCATCTAAGAGAGCATGCTGAAATTCAACAGAGAAATGACAGGAATCACAGACAGCCTAGGAGAGCTAAGATGGCACCCTCCGAGCTGGTACAGGCAGAGTTGGGAGAGGCTCCCTAATGTGGGCAAGTGGTGGGCAAGTGAGAGACCCCAGGTGTCCACACCTCTGCCATGGGCCTTTAAAATCCTAGACATGAGAAAGACCACTCAAGTACCCCAGACCTCCAGGGAGCTGCCTGGAGACAGCACAGAGGCACCCCTCAAACCTGTGTGGAATCCTACAGGCTTTTGATCCCTGAACAGCCTAATACCAGCTGCTGCTACCATGCCAAAGAGGGAGGCTGAGCACTTTTGCATTCCCCAAAGACAGATGCTGCACCCATGGTATGGAGGAGCAGGCAGACTACGCACTGCATGGCTTCCTACTTCTGCTGCTCCCCACCAAATGGGGTGTGCCTGCATTGGCAACAGGGCCCCAGCAAAGCCACCCCATAGCTCAGCGTTTCCCTGAAATCTCAACCCCCAGAAACCACTGATAAGCCCTGTGGGTCATGCAGTAGTCACTGCCACTGCTGCCTCCACCCCTGCCACCCATGGTCCAGGGAGGGAGCAGGGAGGCCAGGCACCTGCACATGCCCCAGCAGCAAAATCCAGCGCTGCTTCTGTGGGAGGGAAGTGCGATGGGCCACGCGCTCTGAAGCTGCCAGTCTCCAGTGTCGCAGCTCGGGGGGTCTGCCTTCCCTAGTGAAAGGGCCACAGCACAAGCATCAGCTCTCACTTGACCTTTTCAGCTGCAGCTTGGAGCCTTTCTGACAGCCCAGCCCCCAAAGGCCTATAATCTGCCCTCAGGCTCTCACTGCCTGAGCATTCTGCCTGCTGGCACCTGAGAGTTTGGCTGGTGGCCAGGGACCAGTCTACCCCTCCCTGTCACATCTAGCACCTGAACTCTGGGCCGGCCGGATCCTGGTCCAGTCCCTACAGCACTCATATATACCATTCACTGGCCATCTAGGGACCTAGGAATTAGAGAATTATCTAGCCTATTGTGGCACTGCTGATACCTGACCACTCCCCCAGGGCCTGAGGTGGGCTGACCCAACCAGCTGACGTCACTGCAACTGAAACCTGCCCACACAGGCTGAAAGGCAGAGACCCTCCCCACCCGCCAGCAGTTACCACCCTGGGGAACAGGGGAGCCACAAAGCTGTCTGTATCGGACTGAGTGGAGGTTATATCCAAAACCACTCCCACAGAGAGCCATAGGACTGGCATTTCCGTGGCTCTCCGCTACACTGTGGCCTAGAGATAGACCACAGTGTGCATCTGAAATGAAAGTCACTAGCCCTGGCACAGGGGTGTGATAGGGAAACAGATTGTGCTCCTGCCTATCTAGGACATAGAGCTAGTGCAATTCCCCAGGTGCCTGTGCTTGCCATTGGGGTATTTATGGGCAAGCCAGGGGATCCAGCTCTGCCTAGCTGTGTCCCCCATCCACTGAACAGATAGCTCAGGGTGCCAGGCACTCCACTGTCCAGCCCATCACCTGAAACAACAGAGAGTTCCTCACAGTAGCCAAAGGTCTAGTTCATACCCATCCACTTGTGCTGCAGCCAATTCTTACCCATAACTACCACCTACTGGCCTGCAGGTCAAACTGCACAACTCACTATAAAACCTGCTGACCGAGGTGCAGAGGGCTATAGAAGGGAAGCCAAAAGACCCTGCCCAAGTACTCCACAGTCACACCCCCAAGGGTTGGGGGGAATAATAGAGAAAAAAAAAACAATCAGAATGAAAATAAATTCAAAAATAAGAAGTGTCAGCTTCTACAAATGAGAAAGAATCAGCATAAGAACTCTGGCACCACGAAAAATCAGAATGTTGTGACCAAAGGATCACACTAGCTCTTTATCAATGGACCCCAACCAAAATGAGAACTCATAAATGACAGGTAAAGAATTCAAAGTATGGGCTGTAAGGATGCTCAACGAGATCCAAGAGAAGGTTGAAAACCAACACAAAAGAACCATGAAAGCCTTCCAGGAAATAAAGACAAAGGTAAATATCTTAGAAACAAAAACCCAACAGAACTTGTGGAGAAGGAAAGTTCATTTAAGGAATTTCAAAGTACAGTTGGAAGCTTTAACAATAGACTACACCAAGCAGAAGAAAGAATATCCAAGCTTGAAGACTGGTCTTTTGAATTAACCCAGTCAGACAAAAATAAAGAAAAAAGAATTATAAAAAATGAACAAAGCCCCTGAGAAATATGAGATCATGTAAAGTGACCAAACCTACAGTTTATAGGCATTCCTGAAAGAGAAGAAAAAGTAAGCAACCTGGAAAACATATTTGAGGGAATAATTCAGGAAAATTTCCCTAATCTTGCTAAAGAGGTAGACATCCAGATATAAAAAATTCAGAGAACACCTGTGAGATATTATACAAGACAAACATCACCAAGGCATATAGTCATCAGACTATCCAATGTCAATGCCAGAAAAAAAATCGTAAGGGCAGCTAGAAAGGTGGGTCAAATCACCTGTAAAGGAAAATCCATCAGAGTAACAGCAGAATTCTCAGCAGAGACCCTACAAGCCAGAAGAGATTGGGGGCCTGTTTTTAGCTGCCTTAATGAAAAAAAAAAGCCAGCCAAGAATTGTATAATCCTGGCTAGCTAAGCTTCATAAATGAAGGAGAAATGAGGTCTTTTCCAGACAAGCAAATGCTAAGGTAATTTGTCACCACTAGACTACAATAAATACTCAAAGGAGTTCTAAACATGGAGACAGAAGGACAATACTTGCCATCATAGAAGGACACATGAGTGCAAAGTTTACAGATCCTATAGAGCAATTACACAATTTAAACTCCAACACAACTACCTAACAACACTATGATAGGAACAAAACCTCACATACCAATATTAACCTTGAATGTAAATGGCCTAAGTGCTCCACTTAAAAGATAAAGAGTGGCAAATTGGATGAAAAAAATAAGACCCAATCATTTGCTGCCTACAAGAGACCCACCTACTGGCTAAAGACACCTTCACACTCAAAGTTAAAAGGTAGAGAAAGATATGTCATGCAAATGAAAAGCAAAAGCAAGTGGGAATAGCCATTCTCATATCAGATAAAACAAACTTTAAACCAAAAACAGTTAAAAAAAAAAGTCAAAGAAGGGTATTATGTAAGACAAAGGGTTGAATACAACAAGAAGATTTAACTCTTCTAAATATATATGTACCCAACACCAGATCACCCAGATTCATGCAAGAAATACTAGTAGACCTAAGAAAACAGGTTGATAGCAATGCAATAATAGTGGGGACTTCAACACCTCATTGACACCACTGGACAGATCATTGAGGCAGAAAATCAAGAAACACTGGACTTGAATTGGACTATAGACTAAATGAACCTAATAGATATTAGCAGAACATTCTACCCAATAACCACAGAATATACATTCTCGTCTATGCATGGAATATTCTCCAAAATCGACCACATGCTTGGCCATGAAGCAAGTCTCAACATTAAAAAAATCGTATCAAGTATCCTCAGAACACAGTGGAATAAAATTAGAAATCAATATCCAGAGGAACTCTCAAAACTACATAAGTACATGGAAACTAAACAACTTGTTCAAGAATGATTCTTGGGTAAACAATAAAATTAAGAAATAAAACAATTCTTTGAAACAAATGAAAGTAGAGATAAAACACATCAAAACCTCTGTGGTACAGCAAAAACAGAGCTATGATGAAACTTTATAGAATTAAACACCTACATTGAAAAGAAAGAAAGATCTCGAATTAGCATTCTAACATCACACCTCAAGGAACTAGAACAAGAGAGTCTGAGTGTGAGAACACTTCTAAGGGGCTGCCCAGGCACACTGGGTGCAGGATCTACCTAGCTCTTTTCTGCAGCTCTCCCAGCTGCTTGCCCAAACCGAAATCTAGCAGAAGAGAAGAAATAACAAGAATCAGAGCAGAATTAAGTGAGACTGAGACCAAACAGGATGACAGACAGGATCAGTGAAATGAAAAGTTGGTTCTTTGAAATGATAAACAAAATTAATGACCACTAGCTAGACTAACCAAGAAAAAAAGAAGATTCAAATAAGCATAATCAGAAATGATAAAGCTGACATTACCATTGATACCACATAAAAACCAAAAGATCATCAGAGAGTACTTTGAATACCTCTATGCACACAAACTAGAAAATGTAGAGGAAATGGATAAATTCCTAGAAACATACAACCTCCCAAGATTAAACCAGAAAGAAATAGAACTACTGAACAGACCAATAAGGAGTAATAAAATTGAACTCATATTAAAAAAATCTTCCAACAACAACAAAAAAGCCCAGCACCAGGCATATTCACAGCGAAATATTACCAGATGTACAAAGAAGAGCTAGGACCAAAGTTACTGAAACTATTCCAAACAATCTAGAAGGAGAGATTTTATGGAATGCTTTTTCTGCATCTGTTGAGATGATCACATGGTTTTCATTCTTAGTTCTGTTTACGTGGTGAGTCACATTTATTGATTTGTGTGTGTTGAGCCATTCTTCCATCCCTGGAATAAAGTCCACTTAATTGTGATGAATTGTCTTTTTGATGCACTGTTGAATTTTGGTGTCATAGAATGAGTTAGGGAGGAATCAGGCAAGCACGCAACAAAGAAAACTACAGGCCAATATCACTCAACGCAGAAGCCAAAATCCTCAACAAAATACTAGCAAACTGAATCCAACAGCACATCAAAAAGATAATTCATCCCTCTATTCCAGGGATGCAATGATGGCTCAACATATGCAAATCAATCAATGTGATTCACCACATAAACAGAACTAAGAACACAAAACATATGATTATCTCAATACATGCAGAAAAAATCATTTGTTAAAAGCCAATATCCCTTCATGATAAAAACTGTCAACAAACTAGGCATTTAAAAATACCTCAAAATAATAACAGCCATATATGACAAACCCACAGCCACTGAACGGGGAATATATATGATGAATCCACAGCCACTAGACATCATACTGAATGGGGAAAGGTTGAAAGCATTTCCCTTAAGAATTGGAACGAGGATGTCCATTCCTTGTTCCACTTCTTGGAATGGATGTCCATTCCTTGTTCCACCACTCCTATTCAACATAATACTGAAAGTCCTAGCCAGAACAATCAGGCAAGAGAAAGAAAGAAAAAAGAAAACAGGAAGTCAAATTATCTCTGTTCACCAATTACACAGTCACATACCTAGAAAGCCCTAAAGACTCCTCCAAAAGACTCCCAACTTGATAAACAACTTCTGTAAAGTTTCAAGATACAAAATCAACATACAAAAATCAGTAGCATTTTTATACACTAATAACATTTAAGCTGGGAACCAATTCAAGAACTCAGTCCCGTTTACAATAGACCACACACACACACAACCTAGGAATACATTTAACCAAGGAGGTGAAAGATTTCTACAAGGAGAACTACAGAACACTAATGAAAGAAATCATAAGTGACACAAACAAATGGTAAAACATTTCATGCTCATGCATTGGAAGAACCAACATCGTTAAAATGACCCTATTGCCCAAAGCAATCTGTAGATTCAACACAATTCTTATCAAATTACCAATGCCATTTTTTACAAAATTAGAAAAAAAATTCTATAGTTCATATGGAACAACAACAAAAAGCCCAAATAGCCAAAGCAATCCTAAGCAGAAAGGAAAAATCTGGAGGCATCATATTGCCTGACCTCAAATTGTGCTACAAGACTATAGTGACCAAACAGCATGGAACTAGTACAAAAATCGACACATAGATCAATTAAAAAGAATAGAGAACCTAGAAATAAAGCCACATACCTACAACCAACTAATTTTTGACAAAATTGACAAAAATAAACAATGGGGAAATGACACTCTATTCAATAAATGGTACTGGGAAAATTGGATAGCCACATGCAGAAGAATAATACTGGGCTCCAACTCTCACCATATATATTGAGACAGAGTTTTACTCTTGTTGCCCAGGCTGGAGTGCAATGGCATGATCTCGGCTCACTGAAATCTCTGCCTCCTGGATTCAAGCAACTCTCTTGCCTCAGCCTCCAAAGTAGCTGGGATTATAGGTGCCTGCCATCATGCCCAGCTAATTTTTTGTATTTTTAGTAGAGACAGGGTTTTGCCATGTTGGGCAGGCTGGTCTGGAACTCCTGACCTCAGGTGATCTGCCCACCTCAGCCTCCCAAAGTGCTAGGATTACAGGCATGTGCCACTGCGCCCAGCTCTCTCACCATATATTATACAGAAATTAAATTAAGATGAATTAAAGACTAAATGTAAGACCTGGAACTATAAAGACCTTAGAAAAAAACCCTAGAAAAACTCTTCTGGATATGCTTAGGCAAATAATTTGTGATGGAGACCCCAAAAGCAAATGCAACAAAAACAAAACAACACAAATGAGACTTAAACTAAAAACCTTCTGCACAGCAAAAGAAACAATCAACAGAGTAAATAGACAACCTACAAAATGAGAGAAAATATTTGTAAATTATGCCTCTGAAGAAGAACTAATATTTACAAGAAACTCAAACAACCCAACAAGAAAAAAACCAAACACCACCATTGAAAACTGGGCAAAGGACATGGACAGACATTTCTCAAAAGAAGAAATACGAATGGCCAACAAACACACGAAAAAATGCTGAAAATTCCTAATTATCAGAGAAATGCAAATTAAAACCACAATGAGATACTGTCTCATACCAGTCAGAATGCCTATTATTAAAATATCAGAAAACAACAGATACTGGCATGGATGTGGAGAAAAGGCAATATTTATACACTGTTGGAGGGAATGTAAATTAGTTCAACCTTTATGGAAAAACAGTATGGAGATGTCTCAAGGAAATAAGAATAGAACTACCACTTGACCCAGCAATCCCACTACTGGGTATCTACCCAAAGGAAAAGAAATTATTATATAAAAAAGACACCTGCACTCATACGTTTATGGCAGCACTATTTACAATAGCAGTCATGGGACCAACATAAGTGTCCATCAACAGTTGATTGGATGAAGAAAATGTGATATGTTTGCACCAGGAAATACTACAAAGCCATAAAAAGAATGAAATCATGTTATTTGTAGCAACATGGATGGAGCTAGACACCACTATGCTAAGTGAACTGAGAGAGAGAAAATCAAATACTGCATGTTCTCACTTATAAGTGGGGGCTAAACAATGGATACACATGTATACAAAGACAGAAATAATAGACAATAGGAATTTCAAAACGGAGGACGGTTGGATGGGGTGAGTGTTTAAAAATAACCTCTTAGGTACAATGTCCAATAGTTGGGTGTTGGGTAGACTAGAAGCCTAACCCCCACAATTACATAATATACCCATGTAACAAACATGCACACATGACCCCTGATGTGGTTTGGCTCTGTGTCCTCACCCAAATCTCATTTTGAATTGTAATCCGAATTGTAATCCCCAAGTGCTGAGGGAGGGACCTGGTGGGAGCTGATTGGATCACGGGGGCAGTATTCCCCATGCTGTTCTCATAATAGTGAGTGAATTCTCATGAGAGCTGATTTTTTTTTAAATTTTTTTTTCCTGGCAAAGGCTTTTTATTCTAACAGCACTGGGTGGGCCCAACCCACCTGCCAGACAGTTCCCAGGAGTGAGGCTGGTCTTTCCCAGCAAGTAAGACACAGTTTTGTTAGGTGAGTGAGCAGCTCCTCCCTTAGTCCAGGGAGAGCCCCCACTCCACTGGGTGATGAAACTGGCTTTTTGGAGGCCTGGCAATGCACAGAGGCCCTTCCTCTCCAGGAATGCCCGGGCTCACATGGTCCACTTCAGATATCTGGTCTCCTGGTGGGTCCCCAGACAGCACACGGTGCAATACCAGGCACCACAGCTGACACAGGTGTAGGGGGAGGGGAAGCTGCAGACAGCACAGAAGGAACGCTGTGGCTGCGACAGGGACTCTGCACAGGCTATCAGGTAGTTGGGGCCCTTGGCCACACTCAAGTTCTGCTCCTCCAGCAGGGCCTGAAAGTTTTTTTGGACGTGAAGTTGAAAATGATCACCTCGGGTTTTCTTCTTTTACTGTCTGGTGTCTGCATCATCATCGAACTGTGGCAGTCTCTTGCTGAGCTGAGGGAGTCCCACATGGGGGTCGTCCTGGAAGTTGTCATTCTCCAGGACTTCTAGCTGCCAGTTGATGTGACGCTGCCAGGTGGCCCAGTCCAGCACCCGTTGCTGCCCAGGGTCCTGGGAGTGGACTTCATTGAATAGAAAGAAACCCTTTGCTTGCTTCCTTGACAAGATTCCAGACCTTCTCCATGTCCAGCAATGCTGCTCAGGCTCCAGCTTGGCTGCTCTCCCTGCCTCTACGGAGGTAGCTGGTCCTCTTCTCTGCTCAGTCTATGCACTCTTCCTGAAGTTTTCTTCTCCACCATTTGCACAACCCAACTGATCTGATGGTTTTATAAATGACAGTTTTCCCTGCTCTCTCTCTCTGCTGCCACCATGTAAGACATGCCTTGCTACCCCTTTGCCTTCCACCATGATTGTAAGTTTCCCGAGGCCTCCCCAGCCATGCAGAACTGTGCGTCAATTAAACCTCTTTTGTTTACAAATTACCCAGTCTCGGGTGGTATTCTTTACAGCAATGTAAAAATGGACCAATATAACTCCCAAATCTAAAATAAAATAAAATTTTAAAAGCTTAGAAATTGAGAGAAAACTTTAAAAACTGATAAAATGGTAAAAATTCATGAACAGAGAATACACACACACACACACACACACACACACACACACACACACACACCCTTAGCTCTTCGTCTCTATGGTATTCTTCCCTAAGATATGTAACTTCAGACTAATCATGAGAAAACATCAGATAATCCAAATAGATTGGCATGCTGCAAAACAGCTGACCAGAATTGAAAGTATCGAGGTCATGTAAAACAAGGAAAGACTGAGAAATAGTTATGGGTCAAAGGAAACTAAGGAGACATATTCACCAAACAATGTGGTGTCATGGATTGTTCCTCAAAACAAACCCCAGAAAGGACATTAACGGAAAGCTGGTAAAATACAAACACATTCTGTGCTTTAGTTAATATTGCTGTAATAAAGTAGTTACTTAGTTTTGAGAAATGTGTTGTGATTATGTAAGATGCTAACTCAAAGGAAGATCGGTGAAGTGGATAAAGGAACTCTGCACTCTTCTGACACTCTTAGATAACTCTAAAATTATTTCAAAATATATATGGAAATATATATGGAATATATATTCAAAATATGTATGGAAATATAAATATATGCGACTACTCAGTGAAGCATTGTTTATAATTGCAAAACATTGGAAACAAGCTGAATGTTCATATACAGTAGTGGTTGAATAAACTATGGTACATCTATATAAAGAACAACTGTGTAGTTATAAAAAGAAGGAAGAAAACTCCTGCGATTATCATCAGAGCAACTTCCAGGATCTATTAAAAATTGTGTACACAATTTTTGCCTTTTGTGTAAGAAAGAAGAAAGAAAAAGAAAGTAAAGAAAAAGAGGAAAGGGCTCTCCCTCTCCTTCCCCGTCCCCTCCCCCTCCCCCTCCCCTCCCCCTCCCCCCCCTCCCCACGGTCTCCCTCTCCCTCTCTTTCCACGGTCTCCCTCTGATGCTGAGCCGAAGCTGGACTGTACTGCTGCCATCTCGGCTCACTGCAACCTCCCTGCCTGATTCTCCTGCCTCAGCCTGCTGAGTGCCTGTGATTGCAGGCGCGCGCAGCCACGCCTGACTGGTTTTCGTATTTTTTTGGTGGAGACGGGGTTTCGCTGTGTTGGCCAGGCTGGGCAGCCAGATGGAAAAAGAAAAAGTAAAACCGTCTCTTCAAACTTCACATGATCTTTCATATAGAATATCCTAAGAAGCCCACTAAAAACAGTATTATTTCTAACAAAAGTAATTCAGCAAGACTTCAGGGTATGAGATCAATATGAAAAATCATTTGTATTTTCTCTACTAGTAATGAAGAATCTGAAAAAGGAATTAAGAAAATAATTCCATTTTCAATACCATCAAAAGGAATAGAATACTTAGGAATGCATTTAACAAAAGAAGTTCAACTCTTATGCTCTGAAAACTACAGAACCCTGCTGAAGAAAATTAAAGATCTAAATAACTGAAAAAGCATCCCATCCATGTTCATGGGTCAGAAGACATGATGTTGCTGAGATGACAATGCTCCTCAAATCTATCTACAGATCCAGTGCAATCCCTATCACAGTCTCAAAGAATCCCCAAAGAATCTCTTCTTTGTAGAAATTGGTAAGCTGATTATACAATTCATATGGAATTGCAAGAGACCCACAAATGCCAAAATAGTCTTGAAAAAGAGTAAAGTAGAAAGACTCACACTTCTCAATTTAAAAATTTACTACAAAGTAGCAATAATGAAAACAGTGAAATACTGGCACAAGGACAGACAGATAGATCAATAGAACAGAATTGTGAGTCCAGAAATAAAGCCATACATCTATGGTCACTTTTTAAAAATTATACTTTAAGTTCTAGGGTACATGTACACAACGTGCAGGTTTGTTACATATGTATACGTGTGCCGTGTTTGTTTACTGCACCCATTAACTCATCATTTACATTAGGTATTTCTCCTAATGCTATCCCTCTCCAAGCCCCCTGACCCCACGACAGGCCCCAGTGTGTGATGTTCCCTGCCCTGTGTCCAAGGGTTCTCACTGTTCAATTCTCACCTATGAGTGAGAACATGCGATGTTTGGTTTTCTGTCCTTGTGATAGTTTGCTCAGAATGATGATTTCCAGCTTCATCCATGTTGCTACAAAGGACATGAACTCATCCTTTTTTATGACTGCATAGTATTCCATGGTGTATATGTGCCACATTTTTTTGATCCAGTCTATCATTGATGGACATTTGAGTTGGTTCCAAGTCTTTGCTATTGTGAACAGTGCCGCAGTAAACATATGTGTGCATGTGTCTTTATAGTAGCAGTATTTATAATCCTTTGGGTATATACCCAGTAGTGGGATCGCTGCGTCAAATGGTATTTCTAGTTCTAGATCCTTGAGGAATCGCCACACTGTCTTCCACAATGGTTGAACTAGTTTACAGTCCCACCAACTGTGTAAAAGTGTTCCTATTTCTCCACATCTTCTCCAGCACCTGTTGTTTCCTGACTTGTTAATGATTGCCATTCTAACTGGTGTGAGATGATATCTCATTGTGGTTTTGATTTGTATTTCTCCAATGACCAGGGGTGATGAGGATTTTTTCATGTGTCTGTTGGCTGCATAAATGTCTTCTTTTGAGAAGTGTCTGTTCATATCCTTTGCCCACTTTATGATGGGGTTGTTTGATTTTTTTCTTGTAAATTTAAGTTCTTTGTAGATTCTGGATATTAGCCCTTTGTCAGATGGGTAGATTGCAAACATTTTCTCCCATTCTGTAGGCTGCCTGTTCACTCTGATGGTGGTTTCTTTTGCTGTGCAGAAGCTGTTTAGTTTAATTAGATCCCATTTATCTATTTTGGCTTTTGTTGCCATTGCTTTTGGTGTTTTAGTCATGAAGTCCTTTCCCATGCCTATGTCCTGAATGGTATTGCCTAGGTTTTCTTCTAGGGTTTTTATGGTTTTAGGTCTAACATTTAAGTCTTTAATCCATCTTGAATTAATTTTTGTATAAGGTGTAAGGAAGGGATCCAGTTTCAGCTTTCTACATATGGCTAGCCAGTTTTCCCAGCACCATTTATTAAATAGGGAATCCTTTCCCCATTTACTTTTGTCAGGTTTGTCAAAGGTTAGATGGTTGTAGGTGTGTGGTGTTATTTCTGAGGCCTCTGTTCTGTTCCATTGGTCTATTTCTCTGTTTCAGTACCAGTACCATGCTGTTTTGGTTACTGTAGCCTTGTAGTATAGTTTGAAGTCAGGTAGTATGATGCCTCCAGCTTTGTTCTTTTGGCTTAGGATTGTCTTGGCAATGCAGACTCTTTTTTGGTTCCATACGAACTTAAAGTAGTTTTTTCCAATTCTGTGAAGAAAGTCATTGGTAGCTTGATGGGGATGGCATTGAACCTATAAATTACCTTGGGCAGTATGGCCATTTTCACGATATTGATTCTTCCTATCCATGAGCATGGAATGTTCTTCCATTTGTTTGTGTCCTCTTTTATTTCATTGAGCAGTGGTTTGTAGTTCTCCTTGAAGAGGTCCTTCACATCCCTTGTAAGTTGGATTCCTAGGTATTTTATTCTCTTTGAAGCAATTGTGAATGGGAGTTCACTCATGATTTGGCTCTCTGTTTGTCTGTAATGGGTGTACAAGAATGCTTATGATTTTCGCACATTGATTTTGTATCCTGAGATTTTGCTGAAGTTGCTTATCAGCTTAAGAAGATTTTGGGCTGAGACAATGGGGTTTTCTAAATATACAATCATGTCATCTGCAAACAGGGACAATTTGACTTTCTCTTTTCCCAATTGAATACCCTTTATTTCCTTCTCTTGCCTGATTGCCCTGGCCAGAACTTCCAACACTATTTTGAATAGGAGTGGTGAGAGAGGGCATCCCTGTCTTGTGCCAGTTTTCAAAGGGAATGCTTCCAGTTTTTGCCCATTCAGTATGATAGTGGCTGTGGGTTTGTCACATATAGTTCTTATTATTTTGAGATACATTCCATCAATACCTAGTTTATTGAGAGTTTTTAGCAAGAAAGGCTATTGAATTTTGTCAAAGGCCTTTTCTGCATCTATTGAGATAATCATGTGGTTTTTGTCTTTGGTTCTGTTTATACGCTGGATTACATTTATTGATTTGCCAATGTTGAACCAGCCTTGCATCCCAGGGATGAAGCCAACTTGATCTTGGTGGCTAAGCTTTTTGATATGCTGCTGGACTCGGTTTGCCAATATTTTATTGAGGATTTTTGCATCGATGTTCATCAGGGATATTGGTCTAAAAAAATTCTCTTTTTTTTGTTGTGTCCTTACCAGGCTTTGGTATCAGGATGATGCTGGCCTCATACAATGAGTTAGGGAGGATTCCCTCTTTTTCTATTGATTGGAATAGTTTCAGAAGGAATGGTACCAGCTCTTCTTTGTACCTCTGGTAGAATTCAGCTGTGAATCCATCTGGTCCTGGACTTTTTTTGGTTGGTAGGCTGTTAACTATTGCCTCAAATTCAGAGCCTGTTATTGGTCTATTCAGCGATTCAACTTCTTCCTGGTTTAGTCTTGTGAGGGTGTATGTGTCCAGGAATTTATTCATTTATTCTAGATTTTCTAGTTTATTTGCATAGAAGTGTTTATAATATTCTCTGATAGTAGTTTGTATTTCTGTGGGATTGGTGGTGATATCCCCTTTATCATTTTTGTCTATTTGATTTTTCTCTCTTTTCTTATTAGTCTTGCTAGCAGTCTATCAGTTTTGTTGATCTTTTCAAAAAACCAGCTCCTGGATTCACTGATTTTTTGAAGGGTTTTTTGTGTCTCTATCTCCTTCAGTTCTGCTCTGATCTTAGCTATTTCTTGCCTTCTGCTAGCTTTTGAATGTGTTTGCTCTTGCTTCTCTAGTTCTTTTAATTGTCATGTTAGGGTGTCAATTTTAGATCTTTCCTGCTTTCTCTTGTGGGCATTTAGTGCTATAAATTTCCCTCTACACACTGCTTTAAATGTGTCCCAGAGATTCTGGTACATTGTGTCATCGTTCTCATTGGTTTCAAAGAACATCTTTATTTCTGCCTTCATTTCGTTATTTACCCAGTAGTTATTCAGGAGCAGGTTGTTCAGTTTCCATGTAGTTGTGCAGTTTTGAGTGAGTTTCTTAATCCTGGGTTCTAATTTGATTGCAGTGTGGTCTGAGAGACAGTTTGTTGTGATTTCTGTTCTTTTACATTTGCTGAGGAGTTCTTTACTTCCAACTATGTGGTCAATTTTGGAATAAGTGTGATGTGGTTCTGAGAAGAACGTATATTCTGTTGATTTGGGGTGGAGAGTTCTGTAGATGTCTATTAGGTCTGCTTGGTGCAGAGCTGAGCTCAAGTCCTGGATATCCTTGTTAACCTTCTGTCTCGTTGATCTGTCTAATATTGACAGTGGGGTGTTAAAGTCTCCCATTATTATCGTGTGGGAGTCTAAGTCTCTTTTTAGGTCTCTAAGAACTTGCTTTATGAATCTGGGTGCTCCTGTACTGAGTGCATATATATTTAGGATAGTTAGCTCTTCTTGTTGAATTGATCCCTTTACCGTTATGTAATGGCCTTCTTTGTCTCTTTTGATCTTTGCTGGTTTAAAGTCTGTTTTATCAGAGACTAGGATTGCAACCCCTGCTTTTTTTTGCTTTCCATTTGTTTGGTAGATCCTTCTCCATTTATTTTCAGCCTATGTGTGTCTCTGCACGTGAGATGGGTCTCCTGAATAGAGCACACTGATGGGTCTTGACTCTTTATCCAATTTGCCAGTCTGTGTCTTTTAACTGGGGCATTTAGCCCATTTACATTTAAGGTTAATATTGTTATGTGTGAATTTGATCCTGTTATTATGATGTTAGCCTGTTACTTTGCCCATTAGTTCATGCAGTTTCTTCCTAGCTTTGACGGTTTTTACAATTTGGCATGTTTTTGCAGTGACTGGTACCGGTTGTTCCTTTCCATGTTTAGTGCTTCCTGCAGGAGCTCTTGTAGGGCAGGCCTGGTGGTGACAAAATCTCTCAGCATTTGCTTGTCTGTAAAGGATTTTATTTCTCCTTCACTTACGAAGTTTAGTTTGGCTGGATATGAAATTCTGGGTTGAAAATTCTTTTCTTTAAGAATACAGAATATTGGCCCCCACTCTCCGCTGGCTTACAGAGTTTCTGCCAAGAGATCCACTGTTAGTCTGATGGGCTTCCCTTTGTGGGTAACCCAACCTTTCTCTCTGGCTGCCCTTAACATTTTTTTCCTTCATTTCAACCTTGATGAATCTGTCAATTATGTGTCTTGGAGTTGCTCTTCTTGAGGATTATCTTTGTGGTGTTCTCTGTATTTCCTGAATTTGAATGTTGGCCTGCCTTGCTAGGTTGGGGAAGTTCTCCTGGATAATATACTGAAGAGTGTTTTCCAGCTTGGTTCCATTCTCCCTCTCACTTTCAGGTACACCAATCAAACGTAGATTTGGTCTTTTCACATAGTCCCATATTTCTTGGAGGCTTTGTTTCTTTTTACTCTTTTTTCTCTAAACTTCTCTTTTCACTTCATTTCATTAATTTGATATTCAATCACTGATACCCCTTCTTCCAGTTGATCGAATTGACTACTGACGCTTGTGCATGCATCACATAGTTCTCTTGCCATGGCTTTTAGCTCCATCAGGTCATTTAAAGTCTTTTCTACACTGTTTATTCTAGTTAGTCATTCACCTAATCTTTTTTCAAGGTTTTTAGCTTCCTTGCGATGAGTTCGAACATCCTCCTTTAGCTTGGAGAAGTTCGTTATTACCGACTTTCTGAAGCCTACTTCTGCCAACTCATCAAAGTCATTCTCCGTCCAGCTTTGTTCCATTGCTGGCGAGGCACTGTGACCCTTTGGAGGAGAAGGGGTGCTCTGGTTTTTAGAATTTTCAGCTTTTCTGCTCTGTTTTCTCCCCATCTTTGTGGTTTTATCTACCTTTGGTCTTTGATGATGGTGACCTACAGACAGGGTTTTGGTGTGGATGTTCTTTTTTGTTGATGCTGATGCTATTCCTTTCTGTTTGTTAGTTTTCCTTCTAACAGTCAGGTCCCTCAGCTGCAGGTCTGTTGGAGTTTGCTGGAGGTCCACTCCAGACCCTGTTTGCCTGGGTATCACCAGCAGAGGCTGTGGAACAGCAAATATCACTGCCCGATACTTCCTCTGGAAGCTTCATCTCAGAGGGCCACCCAGCTGTATGAGGTGTCAGTTGGCCCCTGCTGGGAGATGTCTCTAAGTTAGGCTACACAGGGGTCAGGGACCCACTTGAGGAGGCAGTCTGTCTGTTCTCAGAGCTTAAATACGGTGCTGGGAGAACCACTGCTCTCTCCAGAGCTGTCAGACAGGGACTTTTAAGTCTGCAGAAGTTTCTGCTGCCTTTTGTTCAGCTGTGCCCTGCCCCGAGAGGTGGAGTCTACAGAGGCAGGTGGGCCTCATTGAGCTGTGGTGGGCTCCACCCAGTTCGAGCTTCCCAGCTGCTTTGTTTACCTACTCAAGCCTCAGCAAGGGTGGACGCCCCTCCCCTAGACAGGCTTGCTGCCTTGCAGTTCAATCTTGGACTAGCAGTGAGCAAGGCTCCATGGGCGTGGGACCTGCTGAGCCAGGCATGGGATATAATATCCTGGTGTGCCATTTGCTAAGACTGTTGGAAAAGCTCATTATTTAGGTGGCAGTGTTCCGATTTTCCAGGTATAGTCTGTCACAGCTTCCCTTGGCTAGGAAAGGGAAATCCCGTGACCCCTTGCACTTCCCAGGTGAGGCAATGCCCCGTCCTGCTTTGGCTCACACTCCGTGGGCTGCACCCACTGTCCAGCCAGTCCCAATGCGATGAACCAGGTATCTCAGCTGGAAATGCAGAAATCACCATCTTCTGCATCGATCACACTGGGAGCTGCAGACTGGAGCTGTTCCTATATGGCCATCTTGGAATGGACCACCCCTGTCACCTGACTTTTTTACAAAGGTACCAAGACCATCCATTGGGGACAGAATAATCTTTCCAACAAATGGTATTGAAACTTGATAACTATGTGGAAAAGAATGAAGTTGGGTTCTTATCTCAGACCATATATGAAAATTAATCTGAAATTGATCAAAGATCTAATCATAACAGCAAAAAATAACAGTCTTAGAAGGAAACATAGATGTAATCCTTACTGACCTTGGGTTTGGTGAAGGTCATGGCACCAAGAATATGAGCAAGAAAATAAAAAATAGATAGTTTGGACTTCACCAAAATTGAAAACATGTGTGCTTCAAAGCACACTCTCAAAAGTGAAAGGACAACCCACAGAATGGGAGACAGTATTTGCTAATCATCTATATGATCAGGGATTTGTATCATGAGTATATAAAGTACTCTTACAATCAAGAAGATAAACAGATGGCCAAAAAACACAGGCAAAGATACTCAATGTCATTAGTCATATGGGAAATGCAAATCAAAACCACAATGAGATGGCACTTCACATCTACTAGAAAGACTAAAATAAAAAACATCAGATAATAACAAGTGCTAGAACCCTCACACATGGCTGGTGGGACTGTAAAATGGTGCAGCCACTCTGGAAAACAGTCTCATAGTCTCTTTAATAATTATCTAGAGAGTTACCATAGAACCCAACAATTCCACTACTAGGAATATACCTAAGAGAACACAAGTCCAAGTTTCCATGATGGCAGTGTACAAGCAAGCTGGCTTCCCTCCCATCTCAAAGAAAACCAAAACCAAATACACAGCACTGAGATTATCACCAGCAATATCCCAGGACTCAAATATAAGGATGAGATAGTTCCTGGGGCCACAGAAAAGTAAAAAAACTCCTACAGCAGATGTAAGAAAATGGGATTTACATGCCCACAATGCCCCTCTTCCCAGTCTGCTCAGCACCAAATGTGCAGAACATTTCCCCCTGACTCACAGTTTCTACACTGGACAAAGTGACATGGAGGCAGACAACCAGCTTCCTTCCCATGTTGGGTTTCCTGGCAGGAGACCTGCCCCTGCTTCAACCCAGAGGTATCATCAGGAGTGCCTGAAGGGAAAAATATTTCTGAGGAAAGTCAGAGACAAAAGGGGAAATGGGACTCCCATCCCACCCTTGAAAACTCTGCTGTGTAACTCAGCCAAAGGAGACAGTAAATCAGGGTGGCTGTTCACAGTGCCATGCTGTAGGAAGTAAGTCCCACAGGCCCCCAGGCATGCAGCCCTGGTCAGCCTTCCCACATGACCGGGATATCCCCTTGGGGCCTCTCTCTTTGGGACTGGCAGTACTCTACTGTTGACTAGAACCAAGGCAAAGTTGGGCTTAAGTTGCCATCTAGTGCAGAAAAGGAGGCGGCAACCTAGCAGGAAAAAAGAAAAAGGAAAGAAACAGATAAATTACAAAAATCTCTAATGAAACATATCCAGTAAAAACCAGGCTGGGTGTGGTGGCTCACACCTGCAATCCCAGCACTTTGGGAGGTCGAGGTGGGAAGATCACTTGAGCCCAGGAGTTTGAAAGCAGCTTGGGCAACACAGCAAAACCTCATCTCTACAAAAAAATATAAAAATTAGCTGGTCTGAACTACTCAGGAGACTGAGGTAGCAGGATCACCTGAGCCTGGAATGTGGAGTTGCAGTGAGCCACAATCACCACTACATTCCAGCCTGGGTGACAGAGTGAGACCCTGTCTTAACACACACACACACACACACACACACACACACACACACACCCACAAACAAAAAAACAAAGAAACAAAAAGAAGCCAGACAGAGAAGTCTGAAATAAATACATAATTCTTCTGTGCAAGGACACAGACATACATTCACAAGAAACAACAGCAAACAGGGAGCCATGACCTCCCCAACCGAACAAGGCAAGGAACCAGTAACTGACCCTAAAGAGAGAGCAATATGTGAATTCTCTGACCAAGAATTCAAAATAGTAGTTTTAAGGAAACTCAGTGATCTCCAAGATAACAAAGAAAAGCAATTCAGAAATTTAGGAGAAATAATTAACGAAGACATTGAAATAATCTAAAAAGTCAAATAGAAACCTTGGAAATGAGAGATATATTTGCTGAACTGAAAAATTCATTACAGGCTTTCAACAGCAAAATAAATAAAGCAGAGGTAAGAATCAATGAACCTGAAGACAGCTATTTGAAAGTACACAAAGGAGAAAAAAGAGAGAAGAATGAAAAGGAATGACGATAACCTATAAGATATAGAAAATTACCTCAAAAGACCAAATCTAAGAATTACTGGTGTTTAAGAGGGAGTTAAGCAAGCACCAGGGGTAGGAAGCTGTTCAAAAAATAATAACAGAAAAATTTCCAAAACTTGAAGAAGAGATAAATATTCAGATACAGGAAAGTTAGAGAACACCAAAGAGATCTGACCCAAATAGGACTACCCTGACACATATAATAATCAAACTCTTAAAGGTCAAGGACAAAAAGAGGACCCTAAAAGTGGCAAGAGAAAATAGGCAGACATGTAAAGGAGCTCCAGTTCATCTGGCAACAGAATTCTTAAGGGAAACTCAACAGGCCAGGAGTGAGTGGTATGACATTTTGAAAGTGTTGAACAGAAAAAAAAAATCCTCAACTGTCATCCAAGAATAATGTATCCAGCAAAACTGAACTTCAAATATGAAGGAGAAATAAAGTCTCTCCCAAACAAAAGCTGAGAGAATTCACCACCACCACATCTGTCTTACAAGAAATGCTAAAGGGAGCTCTTCAAACTGAAAGAAAAAAACACTCACGTATAAAAAGAAAACATCTGAAAGTATAAAACCTAGGGTAAAATTAAGTACACAGACAAACCAAAATATTGCAATGCTATAACTGCAGTGTGCAACCCACTCATAACTTTAGTATGAAGCACAAAGACAAAACTACCAAAATCAATTAATAGCTACAGCAACTGATTATAATAAAACCACAAAGTAATCCCTGAATACAGAGCAAGGGAGGGAAGAACAGATATGAATAGAGACTCCACTATGAGTGCTCAAGTACATGCAGGCAAACAAATGCTCATGAACATCTCCACTAAACAATATTTTTTTAATTTTTCTCTTACAACAAACCATAAATGGGCCACCTAGAGGAGCAGTGGATAAGGGTCTCTGGCTTAGAAGGGAATAATGGAGAGCAACATTTCTCTGCGGAACAGGTGAAGATGGTCAGACCCTCCAAGGTGGGGTCCTCATGGCAATATATTGCTGACTATGATAGAGGCAAAACTCAGCAACAGTTTTGATACCCCCAGCCTCACAGTTCCTTCTGGAAGCTCCTCCTCAGTTACTTCATCGGGTAACATGTCCCTTTCAAGATTAGTAGGTCCTCCTGCATTGCAAACCATGCTATTACAACAACAAACCCAGTAGAAGCTATTAGTTTTGAAGATTTTTCCTGGGGCTTCAGGAGGCTGTTCAGCTGCATATACAAATGTGCAGTTGTTTGTACAGTTCTTATAAACAAGTAGTTCACGAGAATTTATGCCTAAAAAAAGAAGCAGCAATGAAAATAATTGATTTCACATTTTCTGCTTGTAAATATTGAGGCACATACACCTCACATTCAACCATAATTAGCTCCATGTACACATTCTACACTCCCAGCTGTGATAAAATTGTCTAGAACACTTGACTAAGAGAGAACATCCAAGTCCACTAGCGGGTCTCATCACTCCCAGAACAACTTCTTCTGGAGATAGTTTTCTATCTAAGCTGCCATCTTTAGGCCTCTGGCCCTCCCAAAATGGTATCATGGTACCTTGTCATGTAGCTACACGCAATGAAATGTCCTGTTCATTTCTTATGGTAAGAATTCTAGAGCCCGAGAAATTAAATGCAGACCAGAAATCATGTTTCACTTATGGTCTAGAGATCACATGGACCTTTAACAGAGGTGTCCATATTAATGTAGCCTTAACTAGATTTTCTGCAGTTGGCAAGACCCTTCTAGGGTAAACTCCTTCCTGGGACCCTCAGCCTGGTGTTTCAGTCTCCTGGACCAACATATAAATGCTCTTGACCCTTGGTGCCAACCTCCTCCCCAGTACAGACTTGATGCACCTTTCCAACTAGGTACGTGTTATCCGATGGACAAGCCCTCTGGTGAAGGTTATCGATCGCAACTAATGTGATCACGACTAATGTGATCAATAATCTTCACTAGAGGGCTTGTCCAGTGGCCTCAGCTGACCAATGCCACCTGACCAAAGCTCCATCTAACACCTCCTTCAAGAATCCCAGGGTTAAATACCTTGGCCCTCATCACTACTTCTGTTCCCCTTGAAGTCTATCCAGTGTTTACACAAATACTTTATTCTGGAACTTACCATAATTGATTTATCTATTCATGGCTCTGGGTCTTGTCTCCTCTATAACACCAGAAACAAATGATGAATACGAACCAGTCACTTGTTTTCTGTTATTTTCCATTTAAAAAGTTTATTGGAGTTCACCATTCTACAGAAATGTGCCTGACCATAAGTCCACAACTCAATGGATTGTCACCAAGTGCCCACAGCCAGTACTCAGCATGCAGCATCAGAAACAGAGCTGCAAGAGAGCCCCAGGATTCTTCACTCTGTTCCTCCATGCAGACACTGCTGTGAGCAGCCCAGGCCAAAGACAGGAAATGTATGGGCTTCTAAACCTATAGGTTAGTTCTGTTTGGTTTTGAACTTTATGAAATGAAATTATACATTACATCTGCTTTTGTGGATGGCTTCTTTTGCTCTAATCTGTGTTTATGAAATTTATCCCTATTGTTGCACACTGTTGTATATTGTTCATTCTCAAAATTGCATAGCATTACATTGGTGAACATACCACAATTTATTGTTGATGGACATTGAGGTTGTTTCTGGTTTTTGTCTACTCCAAATAGTGCTGCAATGAATACTCTTGTCTTGTATTTGCCTTAAGGTGAGCCTGTATAAGCTTTTTTATAATTAGCTATGTACCTAGGAGTAGAAGCGCTGAGTCTCAGTGTTTGATACGCAGCTTTAGCCGACAACATCGAAGAGTTTTCTACACTGGGTTGAACTTATCTATAGTCTGAGGGATTGTGCACAGTTCAGAACCCTGACAACACTTGTTATGATCACTTTAGGATACTGAGTCATTTCCTGTGGTGTTATTGTGTTGTGGTTTTAAGCTGCATTTCTTTCAAGAAGAACGACAGTGAACAACTTTTCTTATGTATGTTACACATTCAGACACCATTTTCTGGCAAATTCCCTTTAAACCTTTTGTTTAAATTTCCATTGATCAGTTTTTTATTAATTCATAGGAATAAGTTCATTATATTATGAACACAAGTACTTTAGTAAATACATGTTTTGAAATGCTTTCTCCTCATCCGTGGCTTGCGGTTATACTATTTCACAGGTATCTTCTTAGGAACAGAAGTTTTGAAGTTAAAGGTAATTCAACCTATCAATTTCATTCTTATGTGACTAGCACTATTTTGTTCGATTTTTTAAATTCTTAATTCCTAAAAGTCATAAATACAGCATTTTACATTTTTCTCTAAAAACTTTATTGGTTTAATATTTACATTGAGATCTACAAACCACCTGAAACTGCTTCTTTTATATGGTGCAGATATTGTGTATAAATATCTAACATATCCACTACTGCTCAGCGCAGAGAAGTGTCTTTACCTACTGCACTGCAGGGTCAACTTTGTCAGAGATCAAGAAACCAGAAGTATGTGGCTTTTTCTGAATTATTTCTCTTCTAATGTTGTTATTTTTCAATCCTGACCACAGGATCCAACACCAAACCGTTTTGATTAAGGAAACGGTTTGATAGTTCAGAGCACAAGTCCTCGAGCTTTTTTCTTTTTCCCCAAGACTGCTTTGGTTATTCCTAGCCCTTCATATTTTCAAAAAGCATTCGGCACCAACTTGTCAAAACACAAACATACCCCTGCTGAGACTTTGACTGAAATTCTTTTGGATTTGTAGGTTAATTGGAGAAGAGATATCCTTACTCTTTTGATTCTCATGATCCATAAGTATAGTGTACAATTCCATGTGTTTAAGTCTTTAATGGTGTTTTAAGTCTTCAATAGTGTTCTTGCAGTTTGAGTGTTGAAATCTTGCACAAATCCAGTTAGATTTGTGGTACTTGATTTTGTGATACTTTAAAGAGCACCATTCCTTGGATTTCATTTTCAATCTGTTTCTTGATGTACAAAAGGACAACTGATTTTGTAAACTGATTTTTGAATACTTATCTTGTATCCAGGATCTTTCCTAAAGATATTTGTTATTTGAAGTTTGTTGTCTCTGATGAATAGTAAGCAGTTTAAATTCTTTCTTTCTCCTCTCCATGAGACTTAATACTTCCTCTTGCCTAACTGAACTACCTAACAACTCCAGTTCCATTGGGAATAGAAGTGGTGATGGTAGACATTTCCCTCAGAGATTTGGAAAGGGTGTTGGATTTTATCAAAACATTTCAGCATCTACAATCATCTCTGCCCTTTTCTTTGTTAATATGGTGAATTAAACTGATGGGTTTCAAATTGTAAACCACATTGCAATTCTGTTATTGAATCCACAAGGTAGTGGGGTTATGGTGTGTGTGTGTGTGTGTGTGTGTGTGTGTGTGTGTGTGTGTGTATGAACCTTTTATTTTAAAAATAGTTTTAGGTTTTCAGAAAAGTTGCAGAGATAGTGCAGAGTTCCTATATGCCTCATACCCAGGCCCCTTGTCTCAGGACACTGCCTGCGTTTCTTTCCATAGAGGTCTTTTGCTTACCATCCTGCACAGCCCCAGAAATCAGCAAATCTCCTGAAAGGAAAAATGTCCCAGCATTCCAGCATTCCCAATTTCTTTGTCCTAATATCCATCAGGGTTCATTCAGGAAAATGGAGCCTCTAAAACAGTCTAGGTCTAAGTTATTAAATAAAAGTGTTGCAGCTGCCATGACCATGGGGGAGCCAAGAAAGGAAGTCAGTCAGGTAAGGCTGAAGATCAGAGGAACAACAGTCCAGAGCTAGGTCACTTACACTGGGGCAGGCTGGAACAGCCCAACTCTGCAGGGCAATATCAAAGGCCATGCACCGTTATCCTCTCAAGTAAGGCTGTGCAGAGGAGTCTCTTGCAGAGACATTTAAACTGCGCCACTGGAGTACCCATCACCTAGGCAGGCCAGTGGCCAAATGCCTGCTGGAGTCTTAGAATTGCTTTCAGTCAAAGGCTCAAAAGTGGAGAAGATGGGGTGGACATGAAGGAGGACAGATTGGAGTCCACCAGTGTCCTTCACTTCACTAAACCATCGTGACCTTCCAGAAGAGTGATCTCTGCTTCACCCATACCTTGCGAATCTCACTCAAGTTCCTCTTTTTGCCAACTATTACCCCACGAGGGAGTTATGGGAAAGATAGTTCTCAGCCTCATTTAGAGGCAGTAATCCCAACATGACAAAACCATGCCATCAAGGTCCCCAGCAGTGGCCACTGTGGAGACAAAGCCCAGATTCTCAGCCTCCTGCCCATGTCCCAAATCAGCAGTTGGTCTGAAGAAGAGGTGTGTATGAGTCTCTTCTCACGCTGCTATAAAGAACTGCCCGAGACTGGGCAATTTATAAAGGAAAGAGGTTTAACTGACTCACAGTTCCGCGTGGCTGGGGAGGCCTCAGGAAACTTACAATGACAGCAGAAGGGGTAGCAAACACATGCTTCAAATGATGGCAGGAAGGAGAAGTGCCGGGGAAAAGCTCCTTATAAAACCATCAGATCTTGTGGGAACTCACTATCACGAGAACATCATGAGGGTAACCACCCACATGATTCAATTACCTCCCACCAGGTCCCTCCCATGACACACGGGGATTATGGGAGTTACAATTCAAGATGAGATCTGGGTGGGGACATAGCCAAACCACACCGAGGTGGTAATCAGGGGATTATTTTTGCACAAAGCTTAGAACACAGAATGACATGTGAAGTTGCAAGCACAACCACAGACACCGGGGACAAAAGGGCTACAGGAAAGGCCCTGAGCAGAGCCCCAGACGAGGCTCCACCTGTGCGCCAGGGCATACACTGGCTGCACCCTCCCTGCTTGCTCCATTGGTCACTGGGCCTCTGGCCATACATCTTCTGCAGGTTAGGGCCCTGGGGAGAGAGGGCACCAGAGGGCTCTGAGGAAAAAGCAAGAGCATCCTGGAAGTGCAGGCTGTGCCCTGACCTCATGCTTGTCCTTCCCATCTGTGTGTGGTAGGTTTTTCCCTGGGGGGAGTCCATGGCCCATCCACTGCTTTGACCTGCCGAGCTGGAAGCACTCTCTAGACTACCAGAAATTGAATGGCCAGTGAGGACTCACCCAGGCAGCATGGGGTGTCTACACACACAACCAGGGACAGTAGAGGCTCTGAGGTCCAGCAATGCTCCTACCCCCTGGAGACGCTGCAGATGTGTGGACAGATTGTACTACTTTGCAGAGTACCTGGCTCTACAAGATGATGCATGCTGGCCTATCATGAGGCTGAGACCAAAGCGTGCAGAAACGCACTCAGGATGGGAGGACATGAGGGAAGGGGAAACAGAGCTGGGTGCAGAGAAGAAAGCAGACTGGCCCTGGCCCCAGAAACTACCCAGGTAGGGGACTAATCTACAATGTGTCAAAATGACAAAGAGGTACTTACGAATGGAGATTGTCATACAGCGCCTAATATGATACGGACATACTCTAATGTTGGGACAGTTGAAGTCATTTATGACCGCACAGTCATGGCATCTCAAACTGTAAGTCCCTGAGAGGGGAGAAAGCAGGCTTCAGGCTTCTGCTCCACTACGCCTTTTCCACCCATTACCAGCTCACTCCACCCTTCTTCAACGGCCAGCCCTTCCCCTCTGCTTCCAAGGACTTCTCCTAGCCTGCACAGCTCAGCTCTCTATGCAGTCTGAGTCTGGCCCAGGCTAGCTCCTGGGAGGGAGGCCAGGCACAAGGAGAGCTTTCCCTGCTCTCCAACGCAGGCTCCAGAGAGCGCCACTGGTGGTCACATACGGGATTGCTATGCTCTGCAGACCTGGCTCACCTCGCCAAGGAAGACTGGATACTCACAGGGGTCCGCCATCCTCCTGGGTTTCCCTGGACAGAGCCCCTCCTGCCTGGCGCTGATGGAGAAGGGCCACATCAAGGTTCCCCCTTGGTCCCTGGTCAGCTGCTCCTTCATCCTAACCCTCTCCTTGCTCATGACTACTCCTGGACTGCCCTAGTGCCCACCCCTGATTACACAGACAATGCAGGCCCCAGCTAACGGAGGCTTGCTCCACGTTGCAGCCAATCATCCCAGTGACCCCCAGCACCCCAGGTGAATTCTCGTCCTCTCCAGGACAGTGAGAGGGAATGATACTTACACTGAGCGCGCATGGTGGCACTGGCTGCCACCAATGGGAGCTCCATGGCTAGGAGTAAGGCAAAGAGGAGCATCACTTCACGCAGGAGCCTGGACCTGAAGGGAAGGAGCCCCATACAACACGTTAGTGAGCCATGGCTCCTTGGCCAGCTCTATGCCCCTGGCCTCAACGGCCTCATGAGTCTCCCTGACTCTGCCCACCTGAATGCCTCCCCCACTGGGCCAGTAGCTCCTCGGGTAAGGCACTGGGGTCGGGCAGGTCTCACCCACACACGAGGCTTCGCCAGGCCTGTGCCCTCACCTCAGACAAACTCGCTGTCACTCCTTGAGCCAGGGAGGTCCTGGGGCTGCTTCATGTGGCAGCTCACCCAAGGGTCCCCACGCTCCGAAATATGTTTCTGTATCTGCTGGTTGATTCTGAACCTCAACAGCGGCTTGTGAAATGTTCTCAAATACTCCGCCCACTGACGCGCTTCCCGCTCCCTCCGCCCACTGACGCGCTTCCCGCTCCCACACACAGCTCAGCAACACGAGGGCCAAGGTGACTACAGAAGGGGAGCGAGGGCAGAACATGCCAGAAGCCCAACTTGAAGGCATCCTCAGTGTCATTACGAGAGAACTCCCCTCCCAAAATCAAGTCTTCCTTCACCCTGGGCATCACCGAGCCATCAGCTAATTACTGGCAAGGGGAGGGTCTGGGGCACCTCACACCTGAGTCCTGATGCCAGCACTGTGGGCTCAGAAACGCCCCCCAGGTCACCAATCAGTTGCCACAACTGAGACATTTTCTCGCAGGGACCCAACTGCACCCTTACTCCTGCAAACGCACTGTCTCCATCCCCTACCCCCCTTCAGCAGCCCGACTCAAGGGGGAAGCTCCATCTCCCTGGTTGGGAGCAGGTCAGCCCGCAGTGCTCAGTGGGGCAACTCCCTGGGCCCAGCTGCTGATGCGTGCTGACTCCCCTCACGCGAAGGCCCCACCTGGAGGGGGTCAGAGCCTGATGTGTAGCTCCCTCCACCGCAGGAGCAGCTGGGGCTACAGAACTAGAAGCTGACTGTGCAGCAAGAAGCCACACCCCAGGGATAGGGATGATCAGGATCCAGTACCCACTTTGCCCCACCCTGTGTACCAAGTCCAGCGCCAGTGGGCGAGGCTGAGATTCAAAATGCCCCTAGCCCTAGGTCATCAAGTTTAGGAAAAAAGATGGGCTGGTACCTCTGGCATGCAGGAGACCAAGACTGGGGGCCTGTCAGTGTCCACCCTTGGAAGGGGCTCCTGACTCGTCCAGCCAGCCAGCCTCCCTAGGTGGATCTCCTACCCACTCCATGCCCATTCCCCTGAGACCCAGCAGCCCCGTCTCCACTCTGTCGTGCCTGCTTTCCCTGGATGCCTCCTTCACTCATCCAACACTTGCTCCCAAAGCTGGGCTCAAGGGCACCTACTGACCCAGAGCATGTACACTGAGGCCCTCTTCCTCCATGAGGGCACAGCAGACATTCTGAACACCCTTCTACTGTCAATGCCCAGAGCACATGCAGGAAAACTCCCATCAAGTGTGTTCACTGATTTCCAGCTGGATCTTGGGGTGGATGGGAAAATACCCAAGAGCTACAATGGAATACTAGAAGACAGCAAACTGGAAAGTCCACAGTAACTGTATGATTTCCTCGGGCACAGGTTGACACCCAGCTCCCAGAGCTTTAGGATTTTGTAGTAGAAGAGGTCCTGGAGACAGAGCCAGGGCCAAGGTGAGTGCGAAATGAGAGCTTGGATTCCTTCACAGAGCATGGATCCTCAAGACTAAAGGTGTCAGAGAAGCAGAGTGGGCTAGAAAATGTGGATCATCAGCATCAGCAAACAGAGACCCTGGTAACTTCAGGCCTCATCTTCCAGAGGATGCATGAAAACAGTGTGTTTCCCAGGAATTCCTTACCCAGAGGCTTTCTCAACAGTCAGTCTGGAGTTAGAACGTGTATGACTGTGTGATCATAAACCCCAGACACAAAAACCACTTGCAAGTGGTCATGAGTCATCCTCACCCTGGGAAGCCAACAGAAACCATCACTGGAGGGGGACATACCCTCCACTCAGACCCCGAGTCTCCGGTTGACTAATGACAAATACAAATGTGCCACAGATAACCAGAGGCACAGAAGTGATTAAGCCCCCAGGAGCAAAGGCAGAAGAAACAAAATCTCCAAGTTAGACTCCCAAGGAATTCCCATATAGGAATGATTGGAGGCAAATGTAAACATACAGCCTTGAAAAGTCAGGAAAAAATCAGGTCACTTCCACTTCTACATGGGATGCAGTAGGTTGTGGCTGCTCAGAATGTGACAACCAGGCAAATCAATCCACAGAGTTAAAAGTCACATTTGAAAGGCCCTTGGACAGATGTGGAAGCACCAAGGCCCACGTAAACTGAAATTCCGAAGAGGGCGAGCCCTTCCCAGGGTACCCTTTGTCATTGCAAATACATTTGTCACTTTGGGCACCAGCTGAAAGCCAGGCTGGCTACAGACAGGGACTCCAGTAGGGAATGCAAACCAGAGTGCCGTCTTGGCTCACGGGGAACCAAAGTGGCCCAGAATCTCCAGGTACCTAAAGATCAAGACAGTTTTCCCATGGAAGAGCCTCCAAGTGCTGTGGTGGGAGGGACCCTGGGGAGTCAGAGAAGGCCAAGTAGAATCCCCCCCAGTGTGGCAGATCCCAGGAGACAGAGTGCCCCTAGAAGGAGCCTGCCACAGTCATACCACTGGTCTCCATCATAAGCCAGTGGCCCCGATGGAACAGGTGTGTGGGATGAGGTTCAAGGGGAAAGTCAAAGCCTAGACAGGGAAACCTGTCCGAGCTGAGGATTCGGTGTGAAAGGTGAGCATACAAATTGGGTCACCCTTGTCACACCCAACTAAGGCAGAGTGCCAGGTAGGGAGACCATTCAGCACTCAGGATAGAAAACATTGCTCCAAGAATGTACTTCTCTGAGGCCTGACTGCTGAAACTGCCTGCGGTAACCTGAAACCAGTTTTATCTGATGGCTACTGAGACCACCTGCTGCAACTCTAAGCCTCGGTTCACCCACTGCTGTCACTGATTCACTCATCAACCAGAGCTTGCCAGCTCCCCAAAATCCTACTAGTGCCAATGAAACTCAGACAGCAATATGTACTATTTCTCTTCTTTATAAAAAAGAGACATAGTTTCTTTTTTTGAAACAGAGTCTCGCTCTGTCCTGCAGGTTGGAGTTGGAGTGCAATGGCGTGATCTCGGCTCACTACAACCTCCACCTCCAGGGTTCAAGCAGTTCTCCTGCCTCAGCCTCCTGAGTAGCTGGGACTATGGGCGCACGCCACTACGCCCAGCTAATTTTTGTATTTTTAGTAGAGACGGGGTTTCACTATGTTGGCCACGCTGGTCTTGAACTCCTGACCTCAAGTGATCTGCCTGCCTCAGCCTCCCAAAGTGCTGGGATTACAGGTGTGAGCCACTGCAAATTTTAAAAATCCTTCTCTTTGTTCTTTGGACATACTGAATGCCAGCCCGTCTACCCCCATGCCCCTAATTACAATTATTTCCTCCGAAAGAAAAGATTTCAATTTCAGAAAGTCATCTATTTTATTTGACTTCAACACGAGACAAGCCACACTCTGTAGGAGAAGGGGAAGGGCACCGCTCAAGATGGCTTCAGTTAGGGTTAGAGACAGGGCCGGCTCCAGAGGCAGCCAGGGTCAGGTTGAAGCTGCAAGCATCCCACTTGGCCTCCACCTTTGAGCAAGCCAGTAGTCCAGGCCTTCCCACAGGCTCCTGGAGAGAGGAGAGGGCACACATCCCCAGTAGTAACATACAACCACCTCCAAGCTTTCCAGCTATTTTGTACGCAACGCAAGATGTTCAATAAAAACATCACAGGATATGTAAGAATTAGGAATAAATTATTGCTAATCAATAAAACAACAATAGAAATAAACCCACAGTTCACTCAAATGTTGACATTAGCATACAAGTACTTTAAAAATTCTAATGAGAGCATTAAAGAGAAAAAGATTACTAAATTGATTTTTTAAAGATGAAAAAATTTTAAAAATAACAGGATGTGTAAGAGGCAGAAATAAGGGACTATAGTATGAATTATTTCTACACCACCATACTTCTGACCCTAAATATGTGAGTTTTTACACACAAACCAGTTCTCCAACTCTCTGGACACTGACCGTCCAACATTTCAATTCAATTCTGACACTGCCTTGAGCAGGGCAGACCCCACAGGTGAAGGGCTCAGTCCCACCCTAATGCCCCCACTTCAGATGCCAATCACAAGTCTGGGCCACGTGTACTTCTGACTGCCCAGTTATAAATCAAGGGTTTCCAAGACCACCTCCTCCTAGATAATTTGCTAGAACAGCTTACAGAGCACAAGAAAACAGTTTACTTACTATTACCAGTTTATCACAAAGGTGACAACTCAGGAACCGTGAAACGGAAGAGATGCATGGGGCAAATACAGGGTAAGCTTAAGATGGCTTCAGACAAAAAGAGTAGGAATATCTTATTATCAGCAGACCCACTACAAGAAATATTGAGTTCATAACATATATAGAAATAAAGTATATGACAATATCACAAAGCAAAGGAGGCTGTAGAACTGAAAGGCAGAAACAGTTACGTCAGCGTCGGCGAGTGCAGGCTTCCAGGCAAAAAACATTGCAAGAGGTGACAAGGACAGACACTTCAGAGCCGAATGCAGTTTCGGACACTGAGAGTCCATTTTCTGACTATGGTGGCATTAAGCAATAAGTCACCCCAGAAGGATTAACTGGAAAATCCTCATCTGTTTGGAACTTAAGAACACACCTCCAAATAAGAAATAGACCCCCAAATCCTTCTCAATAGAAGTCAAGAATATTTTGGGCAAAGTCATAATAAAGAATGAAAAATAGAAACCTGGCAGAAGTAGCCTGAAGGGACACGGAAGGAAAAGCAGGGCTCCATTAGAAAAGGCAAAAAGACTGGAAACGAAGGCCTCCTTCTCTCCTTCGAAAGCAAGGAGCCAGAAAAGAACGAGCAGCAGAACGTGGAACAGGCTGCGGCCCGAGACCCGCGCCTTGGGGAATCACAGACAGTGTGGGGGTGGGCGGCCCCGGGACACCCCGAGGGAAGGGGACTCAAGAACTGAACGGAGCCCCAGCCCCAGACTCTCGAGGGAAGTTGAGCTGTAAGGGGAGGGGGGCCCCAGGGAAGCGGAGTTGGGGTGCTGGCATCTCCCTGGGACCCCTGAGCATAGTTGGGGGGTCTCCCTGGGACCCTGATGGGAGTGGAGCTCGAGAGGTCCCCCAGTACCCCTGAGAGGAGCTGAATTAGGGGGTCTCCCTGGGACCCTGAGGGGAATGGAGCAGGGGGCGTCTCCCCAGGAACCTGCGGGGAGTGGAGTTTTGAGGGGTCCCCCTGGCACCCCTGAGAGGAGCTGAGTTCGGGGGGTCTCCCTGGGGCTCCGAGGGGAGTGGGGGCACCCCATCCAGGGAAGCGCGGCGCACCCCCGGCGGCGTCCTGGCGGCCCAAGCAGCTGACGAGGAGGCTGCCTCAGCTGGGCCCCTGGGCAGACTCCAGTCTCACGCCTGGGTCCCGACCCGCCTCAGGAAACTGACCTGTGCCCCTCGGAGCCCCGCAGTGTGCGTGCCCGCCGCCTCCAGCCATCTGAGCCTCCCGCGCCGACCTCCCCACCCGCTTTCTGGAACTTTCGGGGGCCTCCGCCGGCCGCACAGCCCCGCCCTCCTTCCGGACCCTCAAAGCCCCGTCCCCAGGCTCCAGGCCTCCAGCCCATCTGCCAGTGTTCAAAGGTGGGCAGGGTCCCCCTTGGGGCTCCCAGGTGAAAATATTTCTCACAGAAATCTGCACACCCTGGCTCCATCCACGCTCCCTTTAGGAAAGCCACGGGGAATGTTCTAGAAGCGCACGGCCCTGGCTGCTGGAGAAACGGGACAGCAGCCACCCTCGGCAGCCTGTTGGCACCGCCCAGGCCCACCCTGCCCTCAAGGTCCCAGTCCACCTGCCTCGTTCCTGGACCCTCCCTCTAGGGGGTCCCGCCATCACCATAACCCCTGGGGACCCCGGGAGCCCCTCCGCTCAGGGTGCGACCCCGTCGCCTCTGGAGCCGGCCCTGTCCCTAACCCTGACCAAAGCCAGCTTGAGCGGTGCCCTTGCCCTTCAGCCCCGCCAGCGCCCACCTGTGCAGAGGTTTCAGGGGGAGACCTGCCTGGCTTTCGCTTGAGCTCCTGCCATTTTGCCTTCAAGCTGTGTGTGGCCAGGGACAGCTGGCTTCACCCGAGCATCTCCTACACAGTGTGGCTTGGCTCTTGTCGAAGTCATATAAAATAGGTGAATTTCTGAAATTGAAATGTTTTATTTGGGAGGAAATAACTGCAATTAGGGGCACGGGGGCAGACTGGCTGGCCTTCAGTATGTCCAAAGAACAAAGAAAAGGCTTTTTTAAATTCGCGGTGGCTTACACCTGTAATCCCAGCATTTTGGGAGGCTGAGGCGGGCAGATCATTTGAGGTCAGGAGTTCAAGACCAGAGTGATCAACATGGTGAAACCCCGTCTCTACTAAAAATACAAAAATTAGCTGGGTGTGGTGGTGTGTGCCTGTAGTCCCAGCTACTCAGGAGGCTGAGGCAGGAGAATCCCTTGATCCCAGGAGGTGGAGGTTGTAGTGAGCCGAGATCGTGCCATTGTGCTCCAACCTGCAGGACAAATCAAGTCTCTGTCTCAAAAAAAAAGGAACTATGTCTCTTTTTTATAAAGAAGAGAAATAGTACATATTGCTGTCTGAGTTTCATTGGCACTAGTAGGATTTTGGGGAGCTGGCAAGCTCTGGTTGATGAGTGAATCAGTGACGGCAGTGGGTGAACCGAGGCTTAGAGTTGCAGCAGGTGGTCTCAGTAGCCATCAGATAAAACTGGTTTCAGGTTACCGCAGACAGTTTCAGCAGTCAGGCCTCAGAGAAGTACATTCTTGGAGCAATGTTTTCTATCCTGAGTGCTGAATGGTCTCCCTACCTGGCACTCTGCCTTAGTTGGGTGTGACAAGGGTGACCCAATTTGTATGCTCACCTTTCACACCGAATCCTCAGCTCGGACGGGTTTCCCTTTCTAGGCTTTGACTTTCCCCTTGAACCTCATCCCACACACCTGTTCCATCGGGGCCACTGGCTTATGATGGAGACCAGTGGTATGACTGTGGCAGGCTCCTTCTAGGGGCACTCTGTCTCCTGGGATCTGCCACACTGGGGGGGATTCTACTTGGCCTTCTCTGACTCCCCAGGGTCCCTCCCACCACAGCACTTGGAGGCTCTTCCATGGGAAAACTGTCTTGATCTTTAGGTACCTGGAGATTCTGGGCCACTTTGGTTCCCCGTGAGCCAAGACGGCACTCTGGTTTGCATTCCCTACCGGAGTCCCTGTCTGTAGCCAGCCTGGCTTTCAGCTGGTGCCCAAAGTGACAAATGTATCTGCAATGACAAAGGGTACCCTGGGAAGGGCTCGCCCTCTGCGGAATTTCAGTTCATGCAGGCCTTGGTGCTTCCACATCTGTCCAAGGGCCTTTCAAATGTGACTTTTAACTCTGTGGATTGATTTGCCCGGTTGTCACATTCTGAGCAGCCACAACCTACTGCATCCCATGTAGAAGTGGAAGTGACCTGATTTTTTCCTGACTTTTCAAGGCTGTATGTTTACATTTGCCTCCAATCATTCCTATATGGGAATTCCTTGGGAGTCTAACTTGGAGACTTTGTTTCTTCTGCCTTTGCTCCTGGGGGCTTAATCACTTCTGTGCCTCTGGTTATCTGTGGCATATCTGTATTTGTCATTAGTAAACCAGAGGCTGGGGGTCTGAGTGGAGGGTATGTCCCCCTCCAGTGATGGTTTCTGTTCGCTTCCCAGGGTGAGGATGACTCATGACCACTTGCAAGTGGTTTTTGTGTCTGGGGTTTACGATCACATAGTCATATACGTTCTAACTCCAGCCTGACTGATGATTCTATGGGCTTATGCTTTGCCTAGTATTGGAGGTGTAAAAATCTCTGGATGCCTGATCTAAGGGGCCTGAGGCAGGATGTCTTTATTTCCAAGGTCAGAAGACGGGATGGGTTGCCAGAATAATCTTTATGTGGAATTGTTGTAATCTAGAAGACACAAACTTTACCATTAAGTTAAACAAGCAAAGGCGAAAGATTACTAATAATGAGATAAATATCAAAGGTCCTAGGAAGGGCAAAAACCAAGTGAGACTCAGGAGGGTGCTTTTTATTGTTGACCAGCTATAGTTAGGATCACAGCCTTGGTTGTATTTATGCAACTGGGCAGCTCGCTCATATATTTTACGTTCATCTTCTTCTATTTGACCTGAGGTGTTTACGTAAGTGCAGCAGGTTTTATTACTTATAGTGCATACTCCTTGTTCAACCAATAAGTATAATACTCTCGTGCTAATCTGTCATCAATTATTATATCTGCAAAGGAATCAAGGGAGAGTTTTAATGTTTCTAAAGTGTCTCCTGTTTTATGAGACAGTGCGTAGAATGAAGAAGTAAAGTTTTGAAGAGTTGCCTCATAATAGGCAAATTTTCCCCATGGGGTGGGTAAGCCAATGGCAGCCTCAACCCCAGCCAATATAAGGCGAATTGCCCACTTAGCTCTCAGGTAAGTGATGGTATATAATTGTACATTATAGGGTGTTGTACATTGACCCCTGAACCAAATGTTATCAATATGCTGGTAACCATTGAGTTCATGGTCCCAAATGAGAGATAAGCTATTTATATGCTGATTGAATAGGTGACCACATGACCATAGGTATCCACTGGGGGTGCAAACCTGTATGGGATGAGAGTTGTTAAGGAGGCTGAGTAGGAGGGAGGGACTAAGGATGCTAGTTATCTGTTTATTTCCAAAACAACAGCTTTAGGTATTCTAAGAGTTCACAGGTGTTGGCCATAGTGTCTTTCTCAGGTGCCTGTGGGGACTCATAAGAAACGGGCTTAATCTTAGACAGGTGTATCCAGCTAGTGAGTCCTTGAAGTTTAACGGCAATGGGGGTGCTTAACAATACCTGATGAGCCCCTCCATCTTGGCTGTAACTGATCCTCAGAGGATCCTTCTTTCCAGGTTTTTAATAAGATGAAGTCTTCTGGTTGAACAGAGGAGCTATGAATATTCATGAAGGTGGTCCTGACGCAAACATATTTTAAAACGTTCCTGTAACTTACACCTCTGTCTACCCTGGGGTGCAAACTTCATCCCTGCCTGGCAGGGTCTTCGATCCAGTCTGTTTTGTCAGTCTTATGACCTCTTTTAATTTTAATGCTGGTCAGTTGTGCCTGAATTCCAAGGTGGGGGAAAGGTATAGTGAGGCTTGTCCATGCCTTCCCCGCCCTCTGACTACCAGCTCCACTTCCCCTCCTGGCCTAAACTAGTTTTTCAGGTTTTTGGCCTAAGGGGGCCCCATTCTGCTGGGGATGGGGGTGCTTAGGATTTTATTTATTTATTTACGTTTATTTTCCTCCTTTTTTGTCAAGGTATGCCAGAGGCAGTGTCAACAGCCATGCTTCTATTTTGTCCCATGTGGACACTGGAGTGGGAGTGGTGGGCAACCTGCCCTGGGTCCATCATGCCCCTTGGTGGAATTCCTGTGGCCAAGGGACTTTGAGTCAAAAGACTTAGAGCCAATGAAGTACTCTAGGCCAGATGGGAATGTAGGTGGGCAGGCACTCATTAATCTTAAACCCCCTTCAGCAACATGAGAACCAAAAATCAAAAGCCAAAAGGCAAGGTTACAAAATTGGCTTCTTTATACATTCTGTGTATGAGCTACTGTCATCATGGTTTGCGGCAATTAGCTACACAAAACACAAGCACTTTGTTCAGCCATTTAGGCATTTGTGTGCCTGTCCTTTATTTGGAAGGTTTGCACTCATTTTATTCCTCAAAACTGGCCCTGAAAACACTTATGACACTCCCTGGGCCTGGTGGGAGTAAATTTTGGAGGTAAAAGAAAACATAAAGAATTAACAACATTTTAAAGAAAAGGTCATAAGCCCTATCTAATTTTGAGAATGCCAGGAAATAAGTTAAACATTTAAATTATTTAGTATAAAGGCATAGAACAAATTATATTATTTCAGATAAAGGCAAAATTATGAAATGAATCATAATGTTTTGGAATACAGGCCTGTCCTTGTGTCTCATGAAAGCAGTTTACGTTGTCCCCTTTGCCCAGGTCTAAAGACGAGCCTTCAGTTAACTTGAGTTTTTGTCAGATACTGGTGGAAGTCAGTGCCTTCTTTAGACATGTGTGCCCAGGAGTCAAGGGCCTGCAACAGGTTATTAACTGAGCACAAGGATTAGCTAACAACTCCTGATAAGGGCAGTTTCAAGGGGGCTGAAGGGAATCCTTTAACTAATTTTCTTCCAATATATAATTATCAGGCTGGAGGTGGTGATACTGGAGTTCATGGTCTACCTGGAAGCTATACAAAGATTTTATAACCTCACAGAGATTAATTTTTATAGGTTTAATAAGCCCCAGCGAGGACACTAAATCGGAGACTTAATTTAGGATTTTGATTTTGAGAATATTTGTTAAAGATGTTAAAAGGCTCAAAACATTTGATCAAAACAGAATCACAGGTCATTGTAACAGTTATTCATTTTGAAGGGGTGGCCTGCCCCTCCACACCTGTGGGTGTTTCTCGTCACATGGGATGAGAGACTGAGAAAAGAAAGAGACACAGAGACAAAGTATAGAGAAACAATAATGGGCCCAGGGGACCGGCGCTTAGCATAAGGAGGACCCGCACCTGCGGTCTCTGACTTCCCTCAGTATTTATTGACCATTATCTCTACCATCTCGGAGAGGGGGATGTGGCAGGACAATAGGGCGATAATGGGGAGAGGGTCAGCAGGAAAACATGTGAACAAATGTCTCTGTGTCATAAACAAGTTTAAGAATAGGTGCTGTTCTTTGATGTGCACATACATAAACATCTCAGTGCATTAAAGAGCAGTATTGCTGCCAGCATGTCTCACCTCCTGCCTTAAGGCGGTTTTCTCCGATCTCAGTAGGTGGAACATACAATCGGGTTTTACACCGAGACCTTCCATTGCCCAGGGACGAGCAGGAGACAGATGCCTTCCTCTTATCTCAGCTGCAAAGAGGCCTTCCTCTTTTACTAATCCTCCTCAGCACAGACCCTTTATGGGTGTCGGGCTGGGGGACGGTCAGGTCTTTCCCTTCCCACGAGGCAATATCTCAGATTATCACATGGGGAGAAACCCTGGACAATACCTGGTTTTCCTCGGCAGAGGTCCCTGCGGCCTTCCGCAGTGTATTGTGTCCCTGGGTACTTGAGATTAGAGAGTGGTGATGACTTTTAACAAGCAAACTGCCTTCAAGCACTTGTTTAACAAAGCACATCCTGCACCCTAAATCCATTAAACCTTGAGTCGATACAGCACATGTCTCTGTGAGCACAGGGTTGGGGGTAGGGTTGCAGATTAACAGCATCTCAAGGCAGAAGAATATTTCTTAGTACAGAACAAAATGGAGCTTCTTATGTCTACTTCTTTCTACATAGACACAGTAACAGTCTGATCTCTCTTTCTTTTCCCCACACATTTAACCAAGAGTAATAATAAAGAAGACATTACGAGCAATACAGAAAGTCATATGGATGTAAAAACCTTAAGCCTTTTAAATTTCAGGGTTTTTTTTTTCAATAGAAAACCTAATAAAGACAGCATAAGAATTATCTTGATAAAATATAAAATCTTGCATTTTTAAAAAAAGCCAGCTGATAGGCTGGGTGTGGTGGCTTACACCTGTAATCCCAGAAATTTGGGAGGCCGAGGTGGGCAGATCACTTGAGGTCAGGAGTTAAAGACCAGACTGGCCAACATGGTGAAACCCCATTTCTACCAAAAAAATACAAAAATTAGCTGAGCATGGTGGTAGGTGCCTGTAGTCCCAGCTACTGGGGAGGCTGAGACAAGAGAATGGCTTGAACCCGGGAGGCAGAGGTTGCAGTGAGCTGAGATTGTGTCACTGCACTCCAGCCTAGGCAACAAAGTGAGACCCAGTTGCAAAAAAAAAAAAAAAAAAGTAAAGCCAGCTGATAAAAAGGCAGAGAAAACCTTCTGCAGTGAGACCGCTGCTTCTTACAGGAAGCCCATTTAGATAACCTGGAAGACAAACTTGAGGAAAGAAGTGCTTGAATGCAATCAGACACAGGAACAGTGTTTAAGGTTATGAGCATATGTGACCCTTAGGAACAGCATGAGAAGTTTTCTGATTACACTGAAAATTTAGACACAGCAAGAAAAGCCAAGAATATAAAATCAACTTATACTAGAAGAAAACATTGCTTTTCTAGACCTTCAAGATAAAACATTAGCATCAGGTCATTCCAACAGTTAAAACTGGAGGAAAAAAGGGGTGCAGGAGCCGACAAAAAAATGCTGAAGGAGAAGGTCATCATCTCAGGCCTGCTCAAGGGGGAAAAAGCTGAAAGCAGTGAGACAGAAAAAATGGAATGTCTGAAATACTGAAATATGGATCTGAGAAGTTTTGAGCCTCTGCCTCTCCTTCTCCCTCTCCCTCTCCGTCGTCTCCATCTCCCGCTTTCCACGGTCTCCCCCTCTCCCTCGTCTCCGTCTCCCGCTTTCAACGGTCTCCCTCTGTTGCCAAGGCTGGACTGTACTGCCGCGATCTCGGCTCACTGCAACCTCCCTGCCTGATTCTCCTGCCTCAGCCTGCCGAGTGCCTGGGATTGCAGGCGCGCGCCACCACGCCTGACTGGTTTTTGTATTTTTTTGGTGGAGACGGGGTTTCGCCCTATTGGCCGGGCTGGTCTCCAGCTCCTGACCTCGAGTGATCTGCCTGCCTCAGCCTCCCGAGGTGCCGGGATTGCAGACAGAGTCTCGCTCACTCAGTGCTCAATGTTGCCCAGGCTGGAGTGCAGTGCGTGATCTCGGCTCGCTACAACCTCCACCTCCCAGCCACCTGCCTTGGTCTCCCAAAGTGCTGAGATTGCAGCCTCTGCCCGGCCGCCACCCCGTCTAGGAAGTGAGGAGCGTCTCTGCCTGGCCGCCCATCGTCTGGGATGTGAGGAGCCCCTCTGCCCGGCCGCCCAGTCTGGGAAGTGAGGAGCGCCTCTTCCCTGCCGTCGTCCCATCTAGGAAGTGAGGAGCATCTCTGCCTGGCCACCCATCTTCTGGGATGTGGGGAGCACCTCTGCCCAGCTGCCCCGTCTGGGATGTGAGGAGCGCCTCTGCCCGGCCGCCCTGTCTGGGAAGTGAAGAGCGTCTCTACCTGGCCACCACCCCGTCTGGGAACTGAGGAGCTCCTCTGCCCGGCTGCCCCGTCTGAGAAGCGAGGAGCCCCTCCTCCCGGCAGCTGCCCCGTCTGGGAAGTGAGGAGCGTCTCTGCCCGGCCACCCCGTCTGGGAGGTGGGGGGCGCCCCCGCCCGGCAGCCACCCCGTCTGGGAGGTGGGGGGCCCCTCTGCCCGGCCGCCACTTCTGGGAAGTGAGGGGCCCCTCTGCCCGGCCACCATCCCCTCTGGGAGGTGTACCCAACAGCTCATTGAGAACGGGCCATGATGACGATGGCGGTTTTGTCGAATAGAAAAGGGGGAAATGTGGGGAAAAGAAAGAGAGATCAGATTGTTACTGTGTCTGTGTAGAAAGAAGTAGACATAGGAGACTCCATTTTGTTCTGTACTAAGAAAAATCCTTCTGCCTTGGGATGCTGCTAATCTATAACCTTACCCCTAACCCCGTGCTCTCTGAAACATGTGCTGTGTCCACTCAGGGTTAAATGGATTAAGGGCGGTGCAAGATGTGCTTTGTTAAACAGATGCTTGAAGGCAGCATGCTCGTTAAGAGTCATCACCACTCCCTAATCTCAAGTACCCAGGGACACAAACACTGCGGAAGGCCGCAGGGTCCTCTGCCTAGGAAAACCAGAGACCTTTGTTCACATGTTTATCTGCTGACCTTCTCTCCACTATTGTCCTATGACCCTGCCAAATCCCCCTCTCCGAGAAACACCCAAGAATGATCAATAAATACTAAAAAAATTTAAAAAAAAAGAGAAGTTTTCGAGAGAAACAGTTTATAAAAGTGAAAGTTGGCCAGATGTGGTGGCTCATGCCTGTAATTCCAGCACTTTGGGAGGCCGAGGCAGGTGGATCAGGAAGTCAGGAGATTGAGACCATCCTGGTTAACATGGTGAAACGCTGTCTCTACTAAAAATACAAAAAATTAGCCAGGTGTGGTGGCGGGTTCCTGCAGTCCCAGCTACTCGTGAGGCTGAGGCGGGAGAATGGTGTGAACCCGGGAGGCGGAGCTTGCAGTGAGCCGAGATTGCGCCACTGCACTCCAGCCTGGGCGACAGAGCAAGACTCCATCTCAAAAAAACAAAACAAACAAAAAAAAAGTGAAAGTAAAATTTCTTGTAATGTCATTAAGAGCAAATCAGTGCCTTAAGAACATTTTGTTTTAACATAGGAGACCAATTTTTAGAAAGACTATTATAAGTGGCTTCCTTTTAATAATAACCAACTTAATTACATACGAAATTTCTTTCATAAATTCCCCTTCATGAACTTGACCCTGACATACACAGATCATTGAAGACATGCTTGGACTTTCTGCCTTGCCCAAACTTTCCCTCTTTCCTAAATAATCAGCCATTTTATTTTAGGACAAAAATTTACCATACAAGATCCTTTTTCATACAACGTTATTCTCTTTTCTTGATAACCTTCCTTACCAAAAATACATCTTCATATTCATAACTTTTATTCACATCTCTCGCTCCCCTACTTACTGGCTCTTTTCTAACTTGTTTTGTAAGTAACTGTTTTCAAGTTCATCATTTGAATTGACCTTTAGATAACTTCTGAATTAGACAAAATTATTTTTCTTCTCAATAAGACTAGTTCCTGGGAGGCTTTTGGCCTCCAACATTGCCCAGAGAGATGCCAAATTAAATAGCCCAAAGAATGAAAATCACCAGGACCAGAAGGAAAATGGCAGGTGTAAACTTCAGAGCATGCAAGCTCAGGATGACAGATGTCACTAATGAGGCACAGACAGCAAATACACAGCTGACAAAGGGGACAAGAGGGACCTAGCAGTATGTGCTGGCAAATATCCCTCTGAGACTCAAACAGGCTCTCCATTGGGGTGTCACTGCAACCCTGGGCCCCTAAAGGCCGAAAAGCCCCATGCAACCGGGTAGTGGCTGACCTGGAGGATCCCTGGCTCCAGGCTCCCCAGCAGATAGAGCCCAAAGGACCTCACACATTGGGGTGAGGACTGCTAACCCCTAGTCCCTAGGGGAACATAAAGAAGCATGAGAATCCCTGCTTCTCCCAGGGCTCGGAAGGCTGAGCACATTGCATACAGGAAACCGGAGCGGGAAGGGATGGGAAGGGATGGGAAGGGACAGCTAAGGGCACTCATTCATCTGTGAGTCTGAAAACCGAGGAAGCAAGAGATCCTACACTGTTTGCCAGATGTTAGCACTTTATAGATAAGACCCGCAATTCTAGAAACATGTTTCCCAGAGCATAAACTTTTCTTAATTGACCCAGACATACAAGCAATCCAAGGAAAGCTGTGGACCAAAGTTTTGGTAAAGTAGTCTTTAAGGAAGTTTGGTTTTAAGAAAAAAAAAAAAACCTTTTCATCACTTTTTTCTTCAGTTTTAAATGAGTTTTTAATGTATACATTTTAGCCAGAACTGGCTGAACTGTACAAGAAAAGACAATCTCTAAGTAGCCTTGAATCAGTAATACCAAAAGCAGTGAGTCTCACCTCAACACCGTGAGATAAGCAGAGTTGCCACTCGGCAGCAGCTTAGTAACAGCCGATCCAAAGCAGGCAGAGAAGAACAGAGAGAAACACATAAAGAACATTAGAATCCACCACTGGAAGGTGGAAACCTCTGGACCAGCCATTCGGGGCTGCCCCAAGGCTGCTGTACAGCAAAGCAATGAGCTGGGAAATGATGAGAAGTAGAGCTTTCCCATCCCCAGCAGAGGGCACAAGGTGGATTAGTTCAGATCACACACTGACAAACATCTTGCAAAGAGATTCCATTGTTCCAGATATACCCCAGGGCATCTAACCTTGTGGGCCGAGCCTCTAACCTGAGTTTCTAGGCGAGCATCGTTGTCTAAGCGTGACATAGGATGCCAACAGGATCCCAACCCACTCCTCTTATTGCTAGCCTCTTCCTAGCCACTTTCTTCTAGACGAAGAGTTAAATCAGGCTGTAAAATACATCATTAACTTGGGACAAGTTCAGCAGGCCATCTTCCAATATGATAATAAGATGTGACCTCAGCCGGGTCATGGAGTTTCAGATCATTTCCCTGCTAGCCCAGGTGCACAGGTCCTACTCAAGACATGGCGAAAAGGAAGCCCAGAGGCTCAGTTCACTGAGAAATGAAAGGGTCCATACCAGGTTTCCTTGGCCACTCCATCAGCTGTACAGTTGGAAGGACTTGTCTCTAGAATAAAACCTTTTGCTTCTCCTGATGGACGACAGGCCTGCTTGGAGAAAACAGTCTACTCCCATAAACCTATAGAGGACCTCAAGTATTTGTTCAAGAAGCTGCCTCTGGAAGACAGCAATAGTTAAGTAACATCCTTATATAAATGATATATACCAGGGGATATGCAGACTATCTTCAGGACCCTGGCTTGATACCCCCAACTGCACATTTCATAACCTGAACTCTCCATTCTCAATGACACCAGGGGATATGCAGACCATCATCAGGACCCTGGCTTGATACCCCCAGCTGCACAATTCATAACCTGAACCTCTCCATTCTCAATGACACCAGGGACATTCGAATTTGGGCTCCTCTTGGAATTGTTTTCCCTCGAGGCCACCCTAATAACCTCCTGTGGTCCACTGCCTGCTTTCCTTATACTTTTCCTCTGTTGGCTCAGGCCTATTCCTGCAGAGCCAATGTGTGATTCACAGGTGAATGTGCCTTGGGATCGATGGGGATAAACGGAGTAACCACAACTGCACCTCCCAACATCAGGCCACTGTCTGAGCAAGGTAAGGCCTTGGCATGGTGCCAGTGGGAATAGGCCTGACTATTGGTCTACCAGCCCCTTGGGGAGGCCTGACATGGCAGATTGGTCATGTAGTGGATCAGACTGGGCAGGCTCTAGAAGGTGTGAAGCCCTCCCTCAGTTCTCTCGATAACGTGGTGTTGGGTAACCATTGGCCCTTGATTACCTAACGGCAGAACAAGGAGGTGTATGCATAGTCACCAACACCTCCTGCCATGCTTAGATAAATACTACAGGGCAAGCAGAGGTGAACATCCAAGCAATCTACAATCAGACAATGTGGCCACACTCTCTGGTAAAGGGAGCCCAGCAGAGGAGTCAGTTCCGAATGCTGCCTCATCACCTCTCTCTCTACAAGTTGGTTTCTTCCTTCCTTAGGACCATCAGCGGCTATCCTTCTTTTGATTTTTGGACCATGCTTGTTTAACTTCCTGGGAAAACTTTTGTCTTCTAGATTGCAACAATGTTACTGACCGTGCAGTGCTTCCAGTGTGTTCCAGAAGCCCTCAGCCCTAGCAGATTGTCCCCTTAAGCTGAAAGGAGTTCCATTCCTCTCAGGTAAAGGTAAAGGATATAGGAATGACACTCGCCTCAGCAGGAAGTAGCTCCAGAAGAAGAGACCTTTGCCCAAAACCCCTTAAAATGAAGATGAAATCTCTCAGGGGGAATGAAGCAGGCTGGCTGGCTTCCTGTGGTGATCTGGCCTAGGGGAGAAAAACAAAGCCCCTTACTCAAGCTCTAGCTCACCTAACTTTCAGCCAATCAGCCCCCTGAAGCAGGGGGCTAGGGACTTCCCTGAAGCCCCACATGTGTAGTTAGACCTAAATTTCAACCTGGAGTTACCCCTTCCTCATTTTAATGCTAAAAATCACACCCAGAGGTGGAGATTTAAATTGCTAATGCCACATGCCATGTATGAAGAAACATGCCAGCCACTGCATCAGTGCTAGAAAAACACCCCCTCTACACACCTACCTTGCTGGGAGAAAATGGAATCCAGGCCAAGAGCAAACCCCAGCCAAAGATGTGCAGCCTCCAACCAGGCACAGGCATGAGGTAGCCAGGCAGGGGCACAGATGGTGTCTGTGGGCATGGTTTCATTAGATCTGCATGAGTATTGCCAAGGTTGGCTGCCCAGGGCCCCTGTGGTAAGGAGGAGGACGATGACATGGACGGCAACCAAAGACCTCACACTGGGAGAGCACAGCCAGGCTTAGGAGCAGGATTCTGTTTCGATGCTCATCAGTAGGTCTTCTAAGCTGCCTGGGACTACGGGAAGCATGTTTTCCGTGCAGGAGCCATTTCCCACCATCTCAGGCCCACATTCTTACCACCCCCATGGCCCCCAGGCTGTGTGCCCTTAAGCTGCTGGCCCTGTGGATGCCAGTCAAGGCCACTGTGGCAAATACCCAGCACAGTGTCCAGCATGTAGGAAGTAAATGAATACTTGCCGAGCAAATGAATACATGAATGCTTTACCTTACACAACCTCATACAGGCTGTAGTGTGGAAGCCTTACCTGCTTCCTGCCTGCAACCCCAGAGACCTGCCAGGGTCCCAGTGTTAGGACAAGCCCCAGCCCACATGCCAGCCCAGCCTCTGCGGCAGAATCAGCAAGGTGGTGCTTTCCACAGACATTCCAGCCTCCAGAGGCGTCTACAGGCCCCCTGGGCCCAAAGGCTCACAGAGCCCTCTAAGCACCGGGCTCTGGGCTGAGTCCTGCAAGCTCAGGGAAAGCGCTTCCCTTCTGCTGAGTGGACTCAGCACATTGGGGGTGGCCTTCCACTGCGAGAGGTGGAGCAATGGGACCTGAGGCCACTGGCATGTGTCCACTGAGGAGCGGCCTGCCTTCTCCCTCGCTGACTGGGTGGGGAGCCTGAGCTCACAGATGCAGAGCTCTGGAAATAGAGACCCTCAGAGCCATGCTGGTGATGCCACCCGAGGGCCTCCTCAACGCCGGCCCCTGCTGGCATCCTCCAAGCTGCAGGAGGAAGAGATCCAAGGGTAATCTCATACCTGCTTGACCCGCTTTGTCCCCAGCCGATGCCCTCTCCCAACCTGGCAAAGGGGTATGAACTCAACATCTAGGCCCAGCAGAGGAGCTCCACACCCCCGCAGGTATGACCTTGCCTGTCCCTTTGCTCTCCCAGGTCCTAGTAAGGCTCTGCACCTGGACTGGGCAGGAACGGCCTTCTGCAGGCTGGCCTTGCTGGATGGCCCTGCACCCTCCCTCTGGGCTCCTGCACCCTACGCTGCTGCCCCCACCTGGGCTGTAAACCCTGCCCCTTGTGTCTCAGCCATCCCTTCTGACCGACCTTGCTGTGGGCAGGCTCTCACGGGGTCCTTCTGCACATACAGGATTTGGCCCAGCCCCGGCATAGGGCCCAGCCAGCCTGTCTATGACATGGGGCAGGGGGGAGGGGAGGGAATGAATGAATGGCTGAACCAAGGACCCACCATGGGCAGGACTAAGCTGTAGGGAGGCAGCACTGCCCTGCTTCTAGGGATCTTAGGCTCCAGAGTCAGGTGCAGAGCCTGCAGGGCGTCTTGGCTTCTGACCCTAAGGGATGCAGGCGTGGCCTTCCCTTCATGGGTGAGGTTGTATCTGGAAGATAAAGCAGAGGTTTGCAGGGTGGGCCCTAAGAAGGCCATCGGGGAGGCTGGGCACCGGTCCAGCTTGCACCTAGGGACACGACAGCTCCACACCCACTTATCCCCAAAGCCAAAAGAACCCCAGGAATTCAGGGACAAGAGGGCTCTGGGTGGAGTCACGGGAGGCTTCCTGGAGGAGGCAGAGGAGAGAATCTGAGGAGAGGGTAGAATGAGGGAGACCTGCAGGCAGGGCACAGCCAGTGGCAGTGGCAGGCGCCTGAGCTTGGCCAGCATCCAGGCATGGGTGCTGTGGGACTCACTGTGATAGGAGTGTGCTCTGGTTACCTGTGAGCCAGGCTTTCCTGGGGGTGGGCTGTGGAAATGCCCGGAGGGGTTCCAAGGCCCATGAGGGCTGGAGGCTGGGGTAGGCAGGCTTTGCGGCGTGAGCTGGTGAAGAGGCACCCCTGCCAAGATACTCACCGCTCCACACTACCTCCTGCCTCAGTTTCCCCAAGGTGCTCAGGACAGGAAGCACAACTGCTCAGAAGAAAGCCCTCCTGAGGTGGTCCCTCTGTGAGCAGACGTGCTGTCCGGCAGACCACATCCTGCCCTCAGGGCCCTTGGCAGACAGGGCCGGCTCTCCACCTGGCAGACCCACCCAGGTACCCACTCGCCAGCCCTGGGTCACACCCTTGGTCCAGGGGGTGTGCGCCCGGCCTCCCCTAGATGTTTTGGCCTTGCCTACAGAGGTCGCAGTCCCTTCGGGAAACTCCTGAATTTGTCGCAACTGGGTAGAGTCCATCTCTGTACTCTCCTCCCACCAGTGGGCAGCATCCCACCTCTACCCCTTCGGTGAGTCGTGCCTCTGGCCCTTCGGTGAGTTGTGGCCATGGTCCAGCTGCCCGTGTGGCCAGCGACGGTCATTCAGCAATGGCGACGGCTGTGTCTGAGGGTCCCACAGAAGTGTGAGGGGGGATGCCACTCCAGGGGTCGCCAGCAGGCAGCAAGTGTGGGTGGCCTCACAGAGCCTGTTCCGTTTAGGAAATTCTCTCCAGAATACTCCTGGAGAGGCCGCAACACCCACCCCAGCTCTTAGCCACGTCCTCCTCCTGCCCATCTCCCCCAGGGCTTCCCCTAGCCAACCTGTACGACTCCTGTCTCCTGGCCCAGGAGGCAGCTGGGGTCTCTGGGGACAGCCTGATGGGCTCTGCCTTACCCTCCCCAGGCCTGTGAGGGGCACGGGGACTGTCCTGGCCCACCCTGGGCTGTGCCACGGTTCCCAAGACTGTGCAGCCTCTGTGGCTGCCTGCTTCCCTCAAGGGTCTTTCTTAGCTGGGCTACAGGGAACAGGACACTTAGCCGTTTGCTTCCCAGAAGCCCAGCAGAGGCTTGGGGGCCCAGCGCTGTCGGCAGCCTCCTCCTCAGTACAACTGCCCCTTGGGACCCAGCCCCTCTCAGTTCTCCCACCCCTTCTCGCTCCCAAACTGCGCAGCTCTTGGCACCCCCTTCTTACCACCCCCAGCACTTGGCAAACACTTCTAGAGGAGGCCTTTGCTAAAAGGAGTCTGGGCCATGGGTCGGCACGGCCCTGTGGCGTCCATCAGAGCAGCCCTGGCTGTGGGCTCCTCTCCCTCTTGCTGCAGGGTCACTGACTTCTAGGCGTCTGGAGTGAGGGTCTCCAGGGAGGTCATGCCCTGGCAGGCCAGAAATTGGGAGCCTCATGAGGGCCTCTGAGAGGGCTGAGTGATTCGCTCAGGCCCCACATCCACAGGGGCGGACTTAGACTTGAATCCACTGCCCTGGGCTTCACCAGGCAGATCCCCTTCCGGGAGCGAGAGCCCCGCCCCAAGGCTGAGCCAATGAACTCAGGATCTGAGTGGACCTTGGGACCTGCCCTCCAGACTTGGGCCTTCAAATGTTTCAAACACTTTCCAGCCTATGGGCTCTCATTTCACCAACAGAGCCTCCCCAGCTGGCCAGTAGAGCAGGCAGCATTAGCCTATTTTTCAGGCAAAGTGAGCCGTGGAGAAGAGTGGAAGATGGGAGATGGGCCAGATCTGAAGCCTGTGGGCCCCAGAACCACCGAGACCTCAAGGGTGCCTCCTGCTAGTCAGGTCCCCAGGAGGACCCAGCATGGCCAGGTTGCAGGTTACTCTCTGATGATGTTCGTCGTCCCCGTGGTCTGCTGGGCCCCGTCACAGCCCCCACAGCGTGCCAGGGCCTGTGAGCTGTGCTACACTGTTTTAGATGTGTTTGCTGGGTGCTGGGAGTGGTACGAAGAGGGTGCTGAGAGCTGCGCAGTTTGGGAAGGAGAAGGAGAGGCGAGCAGAGGCCGGTGGGGTGGTCCCATCCTGCAGGTGAGGAAACTCGAGGTCCTGCCCAGCATTGGGGAGCAGTGGGCAGGCAGCAGAGGAGGCCTGGTGCAAGCCGGCCAGCCACAGACCTCCTCCGCCCCATCCTCCCCGGCTCCGCGGCTCCCTGGGCCCGGGTCCCTCTTGCCCCCATCTTCCTAGGTGACTTGGATCAGGCCCTCACAGCCAACACTTCCTTTTCACAGCACCGTCCCCCTGTTTCTCTGGGGTTTTCCTTGGTCCCAGGACTCTGCCAGACACACACATGCCCCTTTAATTCTGGGGACAACTTAGGGCTGGAGGGATCATGATTCCCACTTCATGGAAAAAGAATGTTAAGGAGAGGAAGGAGATGGCCATGCAGCCCACACTGCAAAACCTGGTCTGCCAGAGCCCAGAGCCAGGCACCTCAGCACACAGTGTGGTCGTGGCAGGGGAGCCACAGGTCCTACCCTCCTCCTGCCTGGTCCACCGAATCTGACTCCCCGAAGCCGCTGGGCCTCCCTGGCCCTGCTCTTGATGAGAGGCAGCGGAGCAGCTAAGCTCTGGAATGGCCCTCATCTCCCCTCCGGAGGCAGGACAGCTTCCTCCCTCCCTCCTACACCAGCCTCGGTCAGTCGCGGGGGAAGCGCCGGGGGGCTGGACCAAGCCTGGTGCACTCTGGGGTTGGTGTGTGAGTGCAGTCCAAACAGTGTGCAGGTGTGTGCACAAGTGTATGTGTGCTTACAGGTGTGTTCACATGCAAATGTGAGTGTGAATGTGACTGTATGTGAGTAAATGTAAATGTGTGTGTGAGTAAATGTAAATGTGTGTGTGTGCAAATGTTTGAGAGTGAATGTCAGTGCATGTGTGAAAGAGGATGTGTTATGTGTGAGTGCACATGTGAGCCAGTGTGTGTCACTGATGTGAGTGTGCTTGTGTGTGTACGTGTGTGAGTAGATGTACGTATGAATATGCTTGTGTGAGTGCTTGTCCGAGTGTGAGTGTACTGTATGAATGCACTGTGTGAGTGTGCGTGTGCGGGAATGTACCTGTGTGCATGTGTATGTCTGTATTGTGAATGTGTGTGAATGTGCATGTGAGTGCAGTCTGTGTGTGTGTTGTGTGTGAGTGCGTGTGTGTGTCTGTGTATTGTGTGTGAGTGCACATCAGTAAGTGTGCATATGTGTGCACATGTATGCATATGCTTGTGAGTGCATGTCTGTGTGTGAGTGTGCATGTGTGGGAGTGTGTGTACATGTGTGCATGTGCTTGTGTAAGTAACGTCTATGTGTGTGAATGTGTGTCTGTGTGTATTTTGTGTGAATGTGTGCGTGTGTACATGTGTGGGTATGTGTGTACGTGTGTCCCTGTGCTTGTGTGTGAGTACACGTCTGTGTGTCTTGTGTATGTGAGTGATTTTGTGTGTGTGAGTGTATTTTGTGTGTGTGTGAGTGTGTGTGTATCGTATATGTGTGTGAGACAGGAAGAGGTGCAGGGCTGAGGCCGGGGGCGTCTGCAGAGCAGATGGGGGCTGTCTTGTAGAGGGGCTTTGGGTGTACTGGATTCTGTTGTTCACACCAGATGCCAAGGCAGGACTCTATGTGCAAGAACATTTTGCCAGAAAAGCCTGTGAAGGATGAGAGGGAACAGGAGTGGGAGGCGAGAGCTGTGGGACTCCGCATAGCTCTGACAGTTGCGGAAGGAGGGGGCCTCCTGGATGGCGGGGCCATTTTGAGATGTCGGCTGGCCTCAGAGACATCCCAGCCAAAGCTGCCCTAATAGGAGGCCACAGAGGAGCAGCCCCCGCCATGCCTCATCACTGGCTGGGAGCACCATGGGGCTGGCAGGTGGGGCCAGCTCCTCTCCGCTGAAGGACCCCGAGGGTGCACTGCCGGGGCTGCCCAGCGGGGGTGCTGGTGGTTCAGTTATGAGTTTGGCTCCGTTCCCACCCTCTGCTTGGCTTCAGATGCAACTCTGCAAGCCACATTTCCACTTTGCCAGCAGGGGCTGCAAGAGGGAGCCTGAGTGATGGTGACGTGGAGGCTGTCCCTGGGCACCGCTTTAAACAGGGCAAGTCATCTATCTCACGGCCAGGCTCTGCTCGGGGGGGTGCTGAATTTCCACCCCACTTCGCGGGCAGAGAACTTCAAGACAGTGTGTTCGGAGATGGAAGCCCTTGCGGGTGTTGCCTGGCTGGTGAGCTCCTAATGACCCTTCCCGGGCCACCTCCAGTGCCCCCAGCTGTAGGCCCTGCAGGAGCAAGGCATGGCTCAGCCCCAGTCTGCAGGGAAGGCAAACTGAGCTGTCCCGGGTGAGCCCTGCAGCCTGCTGGGAGCTGAGACAGAAGCCTAGACACCCTTGTTTATCCAGTTTGCCACCTCCTTGCTCCTGGAAAATACCAGCCACACCCCACGCTCAGGAACACAGGCATCCTTGCATCCTGGCTCCTGGCTGACCAGATCAGCTGGAAACATGTGCACCCAGCCTGCCTGGGAACCCAGAGTGAATCATCTGTGTCCTCCACCTCCCCGCCCCAGTCTCTGCTCCCAAAGGAGCCAGCACAGCTCAGGGAGGGACCAGCCTGGACATGCCTGGGCAAGCATTCATGGTGCAGCTGTGTGCCACACTCAGTGAGCCTGGAGCCCAGAGGCTGGGATCCTTCAAAATGGGTTTCCAAAAGCTGGTGTACTCCCTGCTCCAGGAGGCCAGAGGCAGCAGGGAGAAAGGGGTTGCAGGGCAAGGTTCTGGGTGGGAAGGAAAGAGGGAAAGAAGCAGGATGGCCAAGAGCAGGTGCTGGGGCACCTTGCAATGCCCAGCTTTTTCCCGGTGCCTCCCGGCTCATGCCCCTTTAAGAGCCCCATCAGCCTGAGCCCCCAGCTGCTCTCTGATCCCTTTGTGAAGTGCTCTGTGTCTCTGAGCAAACTGGCATTCCTTTGCTTCCCCCAAACTCTGTTCCTAGATCTTAATACATCTTCCAATCACTATGACCAGGGCCAGGGCTGAGAATGTGAGCCATGGCAACCCGAAATAATAGAAAGGATCAGAATCCAGTCTAAATTTATTCAAGTGCAAAGCTAAGAATGACCATCCAGGTAACACAGACCCTAGAAGAATGAGGTCAGTGCTCCGAAGCTGGAAAGTTAAGGTCTTGCTTTTCTAGACAGATAAAACAAAGACATTTAACAGGCTTATGTTTTTTTTTTCGTACAAGGCCAGTTTATGAGATACAGCAATTTGATTACAACTTGTTTTCCTTTTCCAGTTTAAAAGTATATTTAACATTCCATCTTAGACAACGTGATAGTCGTGAAGTCTTTGTCTGGGAGAAGTAAAAGGGAAGTCAGTGTATAAAGAGATCAACAGTGAAGAGGGAAAGTGGTCTTCTTTGGCACCCTGTTGTCTTTTACAACATACTGCACAATGATGCAGGTAAAGAAGAGGCTAATCTATAATGAGAAGAACAAAGGTTACAGCTGCCTGTTTACATGATTCAGGTCTTATAGTCACACTCCTTTAAGTCTCAAAATAATTTAAAGTTCCAACAGCTTTGATTTCGAATTACTTAATTTTTACAGCAAGATCAGCATTAATTTATGTCCAGAGTCAGGTCACAGTGTGGGGTCACATTCAGGACTCAGCCTGTGACCACAGTCAGAGATCAATGTGTGTCCAGAGTCATATATAGTGTGACAGCATGACCCAAAGTGTGGGAATGGGTCTCAGTATGTGATCAGAATCCAGGCTCAGTGTCAGATCAGGGCTCAGTGTGTGACCAGGATCGGGGCTCAATATATATCCAGGATCAGGGCTCAATGTATGTCCAGAGTCAAAACAGAGTGGAAGCACGATCAGGGCTCAGTGTGTAGCCAGGGTCAGACCTAAGTGTGTGTCTAGGGTCAGGGCTCAGGGTGTGACCAGGGTCTAGGTGCAAGCCATGCCTGTGAGAACGTCTACTGTGCAATGATGATTGAAGGGCGTGACCTGTGGCCTTAGCTTCATTATCTTGGCATTTTATCTCCTGAGACAAGCTATTCGCAGGTCTTCTTCAGGTTACCAAAGACAGAATGTTACTGCCTGCATGGCAAACAAGACCCAAGATGTGGTCTTCTGGGGACCAGGAGAACAGCTGCTCTAAGCATGTGGCCTAGGAAGTGTGGCGATTGCCCTGAAGAGCTCTGCCAGCCACACAAACCCCACCATCGAGCCCCTCACTTCTATAGGCATTGCCACATTTTTTATAGAAGCTTATTACTTTTATAATTGTTTTAGATTTACAGAAAAGTTGCCAAAGATAGTACAGACAGTTCCTATATTCCCCACACCCAGATATCCTTATTGCTATCTTCTCCTTCTCCTTCTTTTTCTTCTTCTTCGACAAGGTCTCACTCTGTTGCCCAGGCTGGAGTGCAGTGGTGCAATCACAGCTCACTGCAGCCTCAACCTCCTGGGCTCAAGTGATCCTCCCGCCTCAGCTTGCCAAGTGGTTGGGACTACAGGCATGCACCCCCATGCCTGGCTAATTTGCCATTTTTTTGTAGAGATGGGATCTCACTATGTTGCCCAGGCTTGTCTCAAACTCCTGGGCTCAAGTAATCTTCCCACCTCAGCCACCCAAAGTGCTGGGATAATGGGCGTGAGCCACCTCACCCAGCCGAAATCCCTATTTCAACATCTTATATTCCTGTGGTCCATTTGTCACAATTAATGAACCAATATTGACCCATTATTATGAGCTGAATCCACACTTGATTCAGATTGGCTTCATTCTCCCCTAATGTCTTTTTCTCATCTATTACCCTCCAAGAGCCTGTGTGGTACATACTCATGTTTACAGAGGCTCCTCTGGGCGGTGACAGTTTCTCAGACTTGCCTTGTTTTTCGTGACCTCGACAGTTTTCAGAGGTACTGGTTGAATATTTTGTGGCGTGTCTCTCAATTTGCCTGGTGTTTTCCTGGTGGTTAGACTGGGATGGTCGTTTTGAGAAGACTGAAGCAGAAGTGAATCACTGTTTCTGTCACCACATCAACAGTAGGCACTGACACTGGGATTCACCACTGTTGATGCTGACCTTGACCACTTCCATGGTGTTGTATCTGCCAGGCTTCTCTCCTACCAGGAGAAGCCTGTTTTTTCCCCGATACGGTTTCACTGTGTCCCCACCCAAATCACATCTTGAATTCCCACATGTTGTGGGAGGTGCCTGGAGGGAGGTGATTGAATCATGGGGGCAGGTCTTTCCCATGCTGCTCTCATGATAGTGAATAAGTCTCATGAAATCTGGTGGTTTTAAAAATGGGAGTTTCCCTGCGCAAGGTCTTTCTCTTTGCCTGCTGCCATCCCTGTAAGACATGACTTGCTCCTCCTTGCCTTCTGCCATGATTATGAGCCCTTCCCAGCCACGTGGAACTGTAAGTCCATTAAACTTCTTTCTTTTGTAAATTGCCCAGTCTCTGGTATGCCTTCTAAGCAGCGTGAAAACACACTCATACATTCCCCCACCCTATTTCCATGCTGTCATGGTTGGAAGGAAGTCACTAAGTGCAGCCACATCTGAGGAGTGGCAATTTAAGCTCCACCTTTTCAAGCAAAGTATCTATGTAAATTATTTGGAATTCTTATGCAGAAGATTGGTCTTTTCTTTCCAATATCCTTCTTTCTTCAATCATTTATTGATATCATTATGGACTTGTAAACATTTATTTTATGCACAGGAGTATAATCCAATACTGTTATTTATTTTGCTGCTCAAATTGTTCCAGCTCTGGCCATTGGAAGGGTTTTCAGCTGCCTGATCTATTCCTTTCACAGTCCGCATCATTTTGGGTCTTTTTTTTAGGATTTTCTTCTTTTCTGGCCCCACATGGTCTTCCACAACCCAAATGTCCTTCAACTGATGAACCGATAGACAAATGTGCTCTATCCACATGGAGTACATTCCGTGGAATCAAGCACTGACATAGGCAACAAGGCAGTGAGCCTTGAGAACTTGGTGCTCAGGGACAGAAGCCAGACACAGAGGCCACATAGTATATGATCCCCTTTGCATGACAAGTGCAGAACAGACAAATTCACACGGAGGCAAAGTGAAGCAGGGGTTGCCAGGGGCTGGGAGCAGGGAAGCTGGCACTGACGGCTGATGGGCACAGGTTTCTTTTCGGAGTAAAAACATCCCAAAATTAGATTGTGGTGATGGTTGCACAACCCTGCAACTATGCAGTACTGAAACCACTGAACTGTTCACTTTAAATGGGTGAGTTTCATGAAATGAATTATATCTCAATAAAGAAGTTTGGTTTTGGTTTTGTTTTGTTTTTAAAGGTACTTTGGCTGGGCGCAGTGGCTCGCGCCTGTAATCCCAGCAATTTGGGAGGCCGAGGCAGGTGGATCACGAGGTCAGGAGATCGAGACCATCCTGGCTAACACGGTGAAACCCCATCTCTACTAAAAATACAAAAAATTATCTGGGCGTGGTGGCAGGCGCCTGTAGTCCCAGCTACTCGGGAGGCTGAGGCAGGAGAATGGCGTGAACCCGGGAGGCAGAGCTTGTAGTGAGCTGAGATCACGCCACTGCACTCCAGCCTGGGTGACAGAGCATGACTCCGTCTCAAAAAAAAAACAAAAAAAAACTACTTCAGGCTCATCTTGTGTTCCCGCATTCCATCCCTAGAATCAGCCCTTTCTCCAAGTAGTGCTCATTCCTGTGAGTGAAGAAGGATGTCAGGAGTCAAGATACGGGTGCTGGGTGGGCACTGCTGGTTGCTGGCTGGGTTTTGGGCCTCCCCATCCACCGCTAAGCCCACCCCAGAGCAGCCTTCTGTGCTGGTCAGCATTGCTGTCACTCTTTTTCTTCAGACAACCAATTGCAGGCTTGGAGAGATTGAGGGGCTGGCCCAACACCCCACAGCATGGGCATGAGTGGGGCTGAGACCTGAACTGGGGCTGGTGGGTGTAGATACCTTTCAAGGTGGCCCCATCTCTCCCTGCGGAAGGAACTGGGATTCCTTGCGTCCTCTCTCTGGTTCGAGCCCAGGCCGTGAACTCCCGAGTGACCCCACATTCCCCTGGCACAGGGGCCCTCATGGGGCACATGGGCACGGGAGCCCCACGCCAGCATCTGAGTCCCCAGCACAGCTCCTTTCCTGCGCTTGCTGCCGGCTTAGGGGCCTTAGTTGAAATCCTGACTCCTCCACCTGCACCCGGACTCAGTTTTCCCTGTGTGAATTGGGCAGGGAGGTGGCACTGGCTACACTCCCAGGATCCTCCTCTACTCGGACAAGCTCATGCCACTAGGGCACCACTTGGGCCTCACCCACTCTGGGCCAGTGACTGGGGGGCCCCAGAGGGCGTAAGGGGCCCTGGGCAGCCTCAAGGAGGTGTTGTGGGGCTCTGCAGGCATCAGGTGGAGGAGGAGTGGCCCGAGTGGGCCTTGAGCTGTGATCTATGAAGCGCTTCCTCACTGTGAGGCCAGGACAGGGATGCCCTCCGCCCATTGGTTAGAGGACAGGACAGGGATGCCCTCCGCCTGTTGGCTAGAGGACAGGACAGGGATGCCCTCCGCCATTGGCTAGAGGACAGGACAGGGATGCCCTCCGCCCATTGGCTAGAGGCTGCTATGAGGTGAATGCAGGTTTCCAGCTACCGAACTGGGCATGAAGAGAACAAGGTCCTGAAAATCTCTAGAGACTCAGTGTGGCTGGCATGTGCCCACTGCAATTCTGGGGCCTGGGTCTAATGCCCCTCCAGCCCCTGCCCCCTGCACTGGCTAGAGAGAGGCAAGGCTGAGAGAAAGGGAAGGATGGAAGGAGGGAAAAAGGGAGGGGTGGAGGGAAAGAAAGAGGGAGGAAAAGAGGGGGGGGTGGAGAGAGGGAAAGAGAGAGAGAAAGAGGGAGGGGTGGAGGGAGGCGTGAAGGGAAGGAAAGAAAAATGAGTGGTTGGAGGGGTGAAGGGAGGGAATAGGGTGGAGGAAGGGAAGGAGGAAGGAGGGCAGAGAAAACTGGAGGGTGGGAAAGAGAGAGGGGTGGAGGGAGGGCTGGAGGGAGGGAAGGGCTTTCAGAGGGAGGGAGCGGGAGCAGGACTCATCCACTGGTTCACTCAGAGGTCTAGGGCTCCTAACCGGGGTCCCAGGTCCCTTCCTGTAGGCGGGATCGAGCTCCTCCGGGCTGGCAGGTTCCTTGCTGGGATGTAGCTCCTGTGGAACCTCACCCGTGCCCCTGTTCCTTCACCTGCCCTGCTCATCCCTGAGTCCCCTCTCAGCCACCCTAGGGAGTTGAGTCTAATGCCAGGCTGGGGAGGCCCCATTAATTATGGCCCTGAGAGAAAGCCTGGGCTGTATTTGGAGAACACCTAGCTTATAAAAGACTCGGACTCGGCTTGTAAAATGCCTGATTAGCTTAAAGAGGAATGGCCCAAGCCTTCCCCCAGGCAGAGGAAGCCAGGGCAGCTGGCAGTAGGGCAGCTGGCAGTGGGCGGCAAGGCTTCATTCCAACGCCCACCCCCAGCCCAGCCCAGGGCAGCCCCTGCCCTCAGCTCTTCCCTCGGAGCCTTCCCTGAGAGCCCAGAAGGATGGCCCCTCTCCTATACGCCCACCTTGTGGGGGCTGCAGAATCTTGCTCCTAAAAGGCCTTTTGAGAAATCATTGAGTTGAGCATTTGTCAGAGCCTTCTGCTGAAGGAAAAACAGCTTTCACTCCCAAGAATATAGACGACAGTTTGAGAACTGTGCACGGGTGCACGTGGTGTGCACGGGGTAAAATCCAGCTGATGCCCATACTGAGTTTCTGGGATTCACTGTGCCCTGGTGTGCCATCTACACAAGCTAGTCCTCTCTCTCAAGTTCCCGCCTCTCTGTGCTTGTACTTCAAAATGCAGCCGAGCCCACCTGGCCTTCTCCAGGAAGCGGCGGCTGGCCCTGCACAGCCAGACTGCAAACTGCCATCCCACTGGTGTCATCTGGCTGTGACGATTTATGCTAATGTGTGTCCCACCACACACACACTCAGACTCATACACCCGCACACCCTCACACACACACTCATACACCCTCTCACACACGCTCACACTGTTTCTCACACACACACTTATGCACACACACATACTCTCACACTTAGTCACACTGTCACACACACATTCAGTCTCACATACATCCTCATACTAACACACACTCATACACTCACTGACACTTTCACACTCATATTCAATCTCACATACACACTCATACACATGAACTCATTTCTCACTCATACACTCATGCTATACTAACACACTCACACACATTCTCACACTCACTCTCACACTTATACACACACTCACATTCACTCACATATACACATGCACCACACTCGCATCCTCACACTCACACTTGCACACTCACATTCATACACTATGCTCACTCACACACACACACACTCGTTCACACTCATTCACATTCTCACACGCATACACTGACACTCACACTTTCACACACATACACTCACTGCACACACACTTTCACATTCACTCTCACACTCATATACATGCACTCATACACTCACACTAACACACTCAACTCTCACACTTACACTCATACACTGTCATTCACACACATATTCGTGCACACTTGTACACTCACACATAGCATCACACACACAGTCTTACACAGTCTCATTCACACACTCATTCACTCACATACACACAGTTATACACACGCACTCACACTCATACACTATACTAACACACTTACATCCACACACACCTTACACACACACTCACACACACTCATACACTTATTGTCATTCACACACTCATACACTCACACATCCCCATACACTCACACACACTCAAGCTCATACACTAACACACTCACATGCACTCATTCATTCACATACTTATACACATGCACTCACACTATACTAACACACACTCATATTCACACATTCTCACACTAACACTCATACACTCACTGTCATTCACACTCATACACACACTCATACACACACATGCTCATACACTAACTCAGTCTCACACTCTCATACACTCACACTCTCACAGTCTTACACTCACACACAGCCTCACACACAGTCACACTCACACAGGCACCCATCCGCCCCAGCCCCTGTCCTGCCTCTGCAGCGGAAGGGGCCCAGCCTTGTGCAGATTGGTTACTACTCAGGGCAGGTGGAGCCCAGCACCGGGGATCTCTCCCCAGCCCACTGCTGCTGCTGCTGCGACCCTGCCCCTTCTTTGCTTTCACAGACTCAGAGCCCTGTGGCACTGGGATGGGGGGAGGAAGGGCACATCACAGTCTGTGCCATCCACGGTGGCACTGGCAGCTCACCATGCCTTTCTTCCTGGGGCAGGGCCCTGCAGGGAAGCTGAAGAAATGCTCCCTGCCTCAAAGTACCCATAAGGGGCCTCCTGGCAGGTGTGTGTGGAGCCCCCTCCCCTCCCCTCAGAGGCTGTGTCAGGGCCTGCAACGCCCAGCTGTCCTGTTACACCACGGGTCTCGGTTCCTCCCACCGGCCCTGACCCTCAACCCCACCAAGGGGTGGATGAGGAAACCTTCCCAGGCCTGGGCTGAGGACTGAGGTTGTGTCTGCAAAGGTGCCCGCCCCAGAGTCCAGTCCCTGTCCCATGGCAGCTTTGCAGCTCACACGCTGCCATGACCCATGGCCAGGAAGCCGCTAAGCCCAGAGGTGACCTGGAGTGAGCGGAGCAAGAGGAGCTGAAAGGAAATGATCCTTCCTTTCCACTGGGGGTCAAGGCAATGGGAGCCCACATGCCATGTGTGTCCCCAGATATGTAAGTTTTCAAAGGAGCTAAAAAACAGTTAAAATAAAATACTGTTGACAAATATAACATCAACACCACAGGGAAAGCCTGGTGTTCATTCAAATTCCAGACTCCTTGGCCTTCATGCTGGGAGATGGCTGCAGAGAGAGCCAGTCCCAGCCCTGGAGCTTGCCTGCCCCACCCCCCGACATCCTGCATGGCCCCGACCTGGGCATCCAGCCCCACCTTCCAGCCTTGGGGTGGGTGCCCAGCAGCTTGGCCTAGCTTCCGAGGGTGGATGGAGAAGAGGGCCCTTGGGCTCTTGGGTCTGTGCAGAGGTCGGGAATGGGATTCAGGCCCTCAGGGGCACCTCTAGGGCACAGGTCCAGACAGAGGGGATACAGAGTGCTCCAGACAAGGCAATCTTGCTGATGGGGCAGCAGGGGAGAAGCGTGTTCAGGGTACAAGGGAAGGCCTGGGAAAGGCTGAAGGTGAGTGTAAGTGTCTCATGCAAGGGGTAGAGAGGACTGGAGCCAATCCCAGTGGGGAGGGCAGACAGGATGAGGAGGGGGAGGTGGAAGGAGACCAGAAGGGGAGCCATCCTGAAGCAGGGAGACATTGGGGGTTGGAGGAGAGACTCCCAGGGGATTTGAGCTTGTGAGCTGCTGCCCCTCAGCCTCCAGAACCCCAGAGAGACCCTGAGGATAGAAATGGGGCCAGCCCCACTGTAAACAGGCCATGTCCCGTGACCCTAGAATATCCCTGTCACCCCACAGTCCCCCAGGCCTGGCCTGGGGTTGGATGGGTAGTGATTCAGACATGGCCAGGCTGCCCTGTGCACCTTGGCTCTGCCACTGGCCCAAGCTAAGCCTACCCTAGACAGGCAACACCACCCCAAGGAGCCTGCACCATTCCAGGCCCCGCCCAGGCCTCCACAGCCAGCATTTCGACCGGATCCTAGGTGATTTGTGTGCACACTGAAGATTAAGAAGCACTGGCTCAAAGCTTCCAGCCTCCAGTGCCTCAGTTTCCCCATTAGAATGGGTTTGGTGACCCCTGCCTACCCTGGTGCAAGGGAGAGTGCAGAGGGGAGGGGGCCATAGATATTCAGAAGCACCAGGGATGAGGCTGTACCTACTCAGAAGCGGCGGGGAGGGGGCTGTACGTACTCAGAAGCGGCGGGGAGGGGCTGCACATACTCAGAAGCAGCGGGGAGGGGGCTGTACGTACTCACAAGTGCGCTGGGCAGTCCCCCCAGGCTGCAGAGGTAGAGCCATGACCCTCTGAGAACACCCAGGACAGGGCCCAAGCTGCAGGGAGTAGGGGCCCAGAGGCTCAGGACCAAGGGACAGCAGAGAGGGGGGCACAGGAGCCTTCTGAGAGTCCTGGAGGTGGGGCAGAGTGAGGCCTAGTGGCATGAGTCAGGCCGGCCCTGCTCTCCCCAGCGCATCTTCCGGCTAAATTACCAGGTCTGGCTCAGTCGCCGGCCACCATATAAAGGCGCCTTTGCACTGTGGCTCCCAGTCCCTGGCGGACAACCCCGCGATGAGGCTTCTCCTGGTGCTGCTGCTTCTGGCTGCTGTGTGTGCTGCCCTGGGTAAGACGCTGGCCACACCAGGGGAGGGACAGGGGCAGGTGGCTCCTGGGCTGGGCACCCCGGGACCGGGCGCTGGCAGGGCAGGCTTTGCCAAGGATCACCAGCCTGGACTGCGGGCTGCAGGGAGTTGGGGGAGGCCTCTTCCTATGGGCACAGCTTCTGGTGTCTTTGTGGCTTGTGTGGGGAAAGCCCCGATGCTGGTCCTGGGTTCCAGCCTGGGTTCCATCCCCCTTTTCCCAAGACAGAGGGGAATTCTTGGGATGTTGGACTCTGAGTGCTAAAAAAGAAAGTCCTAAGAAAACCAGGGCTAGTTGGTCACCGCCCTAGCCCCACTCTACCCTGACCTTGATGACCTGGCTTTGGGGCCTGAAAAGGGGCCAGGAGGCAGGGGGTGTGGGTGGGAGGGACAGAGCATGTGATTATCAGCTGAAAAATTATCATCTAGCGATAATTAGCCCCATCAGCTTCTCCTGAGCGTGGGGTGAGGGTAGGGGGGAAGTGGGGAGGGCTGGAGACTTTGGAGAGCAGCCCCAGCTTGAGGAGGGGCCTGCAGTGGGAAGGCTGGAAAGACAGATGGAGGGGGCATCAGGAAAGGGCAGGAGTCAAGGTCAGGCTGCCCAAGCTGATCGGATCCCTCCAGCCCCTATACGGAAGGGCACAACCCTTCCATATATCAGGGCACAACCATGGGAGAGAAGGGGCCAAGGGTGCTAAGTCAGGACATGGGGACACTGGCCTGGGACACCTGTGCTCTCTGGGGCTTACTTTGCTTTTCTGGAAAGTTGGCCCATATGATGCTGACGGTCAGACAGCACCTGCTGGGAGCTGGTCACTGCTCCCAGGATCTAATGAGGGTGACCCCTTCATTCCCATCACAGCCCGAGGGCTTAGGGATTACCAGGATCCCTACGGAGAAGTGGCGGTAATGTAAGGTCCTTGTTCAGAGGAACCTAGGAGTGTTTCCCGGCCCCACCAGCACCAGGAACCCAGCTGTAGGCAGGGAGAGCAAGAAAGGTCAGGGTCAGACCCCAAGAACATGGATATCAGCTGCACAGGTGCGGAAGATGCAATCACCCCACGCAGCAGGCACTCGCTCTGAAGTCAGAGCAGGTGTGCTTTGCCCAGGGAACTGCTACAGGACACCCCCATCAAGACCACCCTACAGGAAGCCTACAGGGCACCCGTTATAGAAAACCCCTACAGAACATACCTAAAAGACACCCCTACAGAACACCCCCTAAACAACATCCCCTACAGAATACCCCATAAAAGACACATCTACAGGACATTCCCTACAGAGCACCGCCTGCAGTACACCCTTACAGGACCCCTGTACAGGGCACTGCTACGGGACACTCCCTACAGGACACCCTTACAGGAAACCCCTACAGGACACCCCTGCAGAACACCCCTAGAGGACACCCCTACAGAACATCTCTACAGGACGCCCCTACAGAACACCCCCTACAGGAAACCCCTTCAGGACACCCCTACAGGACCCCCGTACAGGGGCACTGCTTGAAGACACTCCCTACAGGACACCCCTTACAGGAAACCCCCACAAACCCCCCTTACGGGAAACCCCTAAAGGACACCCCTAGAAAACACCTCCTACAGGACACCCCTACAGAACACCTCCTACAGGACACCCCTACAGAACACCTCCTATAGGACCCCCCTACAGGATACTCCCTACAGGGCGTCCCTACAGAACACCTCCTACAGGATACTCCCTACAGGATACTCCCTACAGGACACTCTCTACAGGACACCACTACAGGACACTCCCTACAGAAAACCCCTACAGGAAACCTCCTACAGGACACTCCCTACAGGATACTCCCTACAGAAAACCCCTACAGGAAACTTCCTACAGGACACTCCCTACAGGATACTCCCTACAGGATACTCCCTACAGGAAACCCTCTACAGGACACTCCCTACAGGACATTCTCTACAGGATACTCCCTACAAGAAAACCCTACAAGATACTCCTACAGAAAACCTCTACAGGACACTCCCTACAGGACACTCCCTACAGGAAACCTCCTACAGGACACCCCCTACAGGACACCACCTACAGGAAACCCCTACAGGACACCCCTATATGACACCCCTACAGTACACCCCCTATAGGACACCTGAACAGGACACCCCCTACAGGACGCTCCCTACAGGACACTCCCTACAAGACACTCTTACAGGAAACCTCTACAGGACACTCCCTACAGGCTCCCTACAGGAAACCCCTACAGGACCTGCCTTACAGGAAACCCCTACAAGGCGCTCCTACAGGAAACCTCCACAGGACACTCCCTACAGAAAACCCCCTACAGGACACTCCCTACAGGACACCCCCTACAGGACACTCCCTACAGGACACCCCTACAGGACACCCCTACTGGACACCCCTATAGGACACTGTACAGGACACCCCCTACAGGACACTCCCTACAGGAAACCCCTACAAGACACTCCTACAGGAAACCTCTACAGGACACTCCCTACAGGAAACCCCCTACGGGACACTCCCTACAGGGCACCCCCTACAGGACACCCCTACAGGACGATCCCTATAGGACACCTGTACAGGATATCCCCTACAGGACACTCCCTACAGGACACTCTGCAGGACGCTCCTACAAAACACTCCCTGCAGGACACCCCCTACAGGACACCCTTACAGGACACTCCCTACAAGACACCCCCTACAGGACACCCTTACAGGACACCCCTACAGGACACTCCCTACAAGACATCCCCTACAGGACACTCGTACAGGACACCACCTACAGGACACCCCTACAGGACACCACCTACAGGATACCCCCTATAGGGCACCTTTCTCACTACCTCCACCCCCAAGTCCTGGTACAAAAGGCTCAAAGATGCCTTTCCAGGCAGCACAGCCTCCACACCAGGATGTGGTGTTTCTGGCTTCTCCACCCACTGTCACGCCCTGTCACAGCTCCTGGGGCCTCACACCCTGAACAATCTGGCCTTCCCTCTTCCTTGCTGCACCTTCTGTCCAAATGTCTCTCCTCCAACTACAAATAGAAATCCACCACCCATGTCCCTACAGGGCCACCCACTCCAGGAAGCCTTCCCAGATCTCCCTGCCCTCTATCAAAACTGTGTTCCCTCTTGGCCAAGTGTCTCCCCAGGGCATCCATTGTACCTTGCCCTTCTTCCATAGGTCCCCATGACTGTACATCTCAGCCTTGTCCATGGAGCCCGTGGACCCAGTCCTCAATGTCGTTGGAAGCTGGGGGCAACCACACAGCACACAGGTGCCAGCCAGGAACACAGCCCACCCATGTTCCTCCCACTTGCAGCCTGGACCAGGGCCTGGCTGCAGATCCCTACATGGCTGGGGTATGGGCATCACCAGCAGGCTTCAGGCAGATAGCCCTCTCAACAGCCCTTAAGCACCTTCTGTATGTGAAGTCCCCAGAGCCACACCTGCCCTAGGAAAGGCAACCCAGCTGCCTCTGGCTTCCCTGCCTGGAGCTTCCTGCAATCCTTTTCCAGTAAAGAAGGGTGGGGCAGGGGCCAATGTTTTGTGCATTTCATCATTTCATCCTCCCAAAAGACCACAGCATGGGCTGTTATTACTCCCATTTGGTAGGTGAGGAAACTTTGATTCAGACAGAAGATGGGGACAGTAAGAAGTATAACACAGGTCACCTTGAAGTTACCCCTCCTTGTATGCGTCATGCTGCCCCATCCCTTCTCTCCACCATTTGCCACTCTACCCATGCATCCTTCCATCCACCCACTTGCCCATCCACCCACCCACCCAACCACCCTTCCATCCATCCATCCAACCATCCACGCACCCACCCATCCATCCTTCTATCCATCCACCCACTCACCCATCCACCCACCCACCCATTCACCCTTCCATCCATCCACCCACCCATTCATCCACCATCCACCCACCCATCTACCCTCCCATCCACCCATCCATTCACCCATCCATCCATCCACCCACCCCTCCTCCCTTCTACTCGTCCACCTGCCCATCCACCCACTCAGCCATCCACCCACCCATCCACCCTTCCATCCATCCATTTGCTCTTTCATCCATCCACGCACCCACCCATCCACCCACCCATTCACTCTTACACCCACCCATCCATCCACCCACCCTTTCACCCATTCACCTGCCCATCCATCCACCCTTTCACCCATCCACCTTTCCATCCACTCACTCACCCATCCACCCTTCCACCCACTCACCCACCCATTCACCCTTCCATTCATCCACCCACTATCCACTCTTCCACTTATCCACCCACCCATGCTTCCGACCACCCATCCATCCATCCATCCACCCACCCACCCTTTTATCCACTCACCCACCCACCACCCACCCGTTCACCCTTCCATCCATCCACCCACCCATCCACCTTTCCACTCGTTCACCTACCCACCCACCCACCCATCCACCCACCTAACAACCACCCCTTCATCCATCCATCTTTCTCCTGATTTAGCTGATGTGGCTCCACTACATTCTCTAGCATCCCCAGTCCTCTACCCAGTGGCAGTTTCAGAGGGCAGGGAGGCAGATGTGTGCATGAGTTTACAGGTGCTAGGGAAGCCGTGGGAAGAAAAGTGGCTGGGAAGACCCTTCGTGAGACCTGGGGCAGCCTACACCTGCCCCACACATATCCCTCCCTCATGCTGACAGCCTGACATTCACACACACAGGACAAGAAGGGACAGAGGGAGTGGTCACCACCACGAAGTCCCTAGCCCTTTGGCCCATCCCCAGGGACCCAGAGGCTCCCCTGGAGGGAAGGCGGAGGAGGTGGCTCAGAGGGGCAAAGCTGGGTGGGCTGGGAGCCTGGCGCTCGGTGCCAGCCCCAGGTTCAGACTGAGGGGCCTGTTCTTCCTCCCCCAGCTCAGGCCCTGCACTGCCACGTGTGCTGCGGCCATGAGCACTGCGAGTCCCTGGTGGAGTGTGCCCCCACTGACAAATACTGTGTGATCACACGGGCCAGTGAGTACCCGGGCCAGGCCCGCCCACCTAGCCCTGCCCCACTGGGCACCTCCCCACCTGGGTGCCCCTGCCCTGCCCTGGTCCAGACCCCAGGACACCACTGCCCTCCCAAAAGGAACCTGCAGCATCCACACCCTGCAGGCTGTCAGTGGCAGTGGCTAATGCACCTACGTTCATCATCGCATCTTTCTGCGAGTGTTAGAGGAAGCCCCGCAGCTCCCCAGCAGTATTGCCAAAATAGGGCCAAGAAGGGGCTTTACAGTTTAAACCAAAGGGTGCCCGTTTAAAATAGCAGGAGAGAGCAGGTGGCGTGTATGTGGAAGCCTGGAAAACGCAGCCCTCCTGGGAGGTGCCCGCATGTCCCTCTCCGCCAGCCTCTGCCCTGGGTGTCTCTAGCTGAGCCTGGAGCTCTGCCCTCCTGACGACACACCCTTTCTTTCCTCTGGCCTCCTGTGGACCCTTCTTCATTTAGGTCTGGTTCTTCTGAGCTGCAGGCTGAGCGGGGTCCCAGAGCTCACATGTAGGGCAGTGGCAGTGACAGGCAGGGTCGGCATTCAAAGGCTGGAGGAGCCTGGGGGTCATATCTGAATCCTGAGGACCTGAGGAGGGTGGGAGGGAGGAGGCTCTCTGCAGAGGCAGTGGAGACCCTGAGAGTGTGAAGCCTGAGAAAGGGCAGTGGGGCTGGAGACAGGGGGGACCCTGATCTGAGGAAGGTCCTGCCCCTGAGAAGGAAAGAGGCCGGGGATATGGTTGGAGGGGGCAGACTGATGGGCTCACACCCAGGACGGCCACATATGCCCTGTGAGACCCTGGAGTCAGAGTCACCCCCGAGCCTCAGTGTCCATGTCTGGGAAGGGGATGAGGGATCTCTCCTGGTGGGTCTCTGTCACCACTGGGATCATGTCTGTGGGGGCCTCTAGCCCCCATAAATCACAGCAGTTGTGGTTCTCGCGCAGCTCTCCCGGACTCCCTGTTCTGTGCAGGGGCAGGGGTGTTAGGGCAGCCTCCCTGTGTGGTCCTGAGGACCCATCCTCTGGGCCGGTTTTCTACAAATCCCAATGACCACAAAGTCCCCTCCAGCTTGGACTCAGAGCCACCCCATTTTACGGGGAGACAGCGTCCCTCCCAGCATGCCAAGGTGCCTGGCCCTGCCCAGAGACACCAACTGTTGCTCTCAAGGGCTAGGGGACGCTCCCTCCCCACTCTGGCCACACCTGACACAGGGGGCGGCATGGCGAGAAGCTGCTCTTGCCTCCATCCCCCAACAGCTGCCCGTCGAGCGCCTAATGTGGGCCCCACACTGCAGTGGGCACTGGGCAGGAACAGGGAAGCCCGAAGCCCTGCCCCGTGGAGGGCCTGCTGTGGGTGGTGGTCAGAAAACAACCCCCAAGCCACAGGCAAAGCCAGCTAGAGAGGGGCCAGGGGCACTCTCCTCCCCGGGCGCCCCTCGCTGGAAGCCTTGGCGCTCCTCCCATACCCCCAGGGCTGCTGTCCGTACCCTGCCCCTCTTCCAGCTGGCCCCTCACTGTGCCTGCTTCTGTCTGTCCATCTGTCTGTCTGGCCAGGCAGCATTTCCTGAGAGAGATCCCCAGGGCCCATCCTCCAGGGGCCTCAGAGGTTACAGCCAAGCCTGACATGGGGTAATGGGGTGGCAGAACTGACAGACGGGGTGGGTAGCCGGGAGGACAGTGTGGACAGAAGGCATCCTGAGCATGCACCAGGGGCCGAAAGCCTCTGGCAGGCGCACATCCAGGCATGGGTGGGCAGAGGAAATCTACCAGGTGCCCTTGTACCCACCGGCAGTGACTTCAGCCAGTGACTACAGACCCTCGATCTGCTGGAGTCACTCCATGTGGGTGGAGGGGCAGGGGCTGCCTGGCCCCCTGAGGGTCTGGGGGCAAACGGGGAAGGGCCCCTGGGTTCAACACCAACGGGTGCCACTACCAACCCCGCAGAGCGCCAGGCCTCGAGTGGTTCTGTCTGACTTCTGCTTGCTCCCTAGCAGGCCAGCTGAATGTCGCCATTTCACAAGCGAGGAAACAAGAGCCTATGGCCCACGCTCTGACGCGGCCTCACTCTCCCTGGAGCCCAGGGCCTTCTGTCTCCAAACCATCTGGCCAATGACTGGTGCCTGGGCCCGTCCCAGGTCTCCCGGGGGATTACTCAGAGACGGGGCCAGCTAATGCTGCCTCTACTCCATTTTACCCATAAAAACGCAGCTCCTTACTTAAGAACGGAGTGTAGGTTCACTAACCATGGGACTTATGCAAAGAACTGCACACTGGGCAAGAGGTAAGGGGTCCCTCCGCGATGCTCTCTTCGATCCAGGAGCAGCTTGCTTTCATCCAGACCTGGCAGCAGCTCTGTCTCTCTGCTTTGCCAGGGCCGGGAAAGGGCTGGACAGAACGTGGCACTAAACCCTGCTCCTAGCTACACGCAGCTATGACTGCTGTGCGTTTGGCCTCAGCCGTGCAGCGCCGCTGCCCTGAACACTCGTCAGGAATTCATTCCTTTCACCGAAAACAGTGGCGATGAGGAAACAGAGGCATAGACCTAGCGAGCATCTTGAGACAGAAGCCCCCATCCCCACACCCAGCTTTCAACAAGAGGACCCTTGGGTCAGGGTCACAGCTTCCAGAATGTTCTGAGCAGTGCAGGTTCAGGGAAGCAGCTCCCCTTTACCCAAGGCTGCCGGGCTCTGAGCGGCCCCCACAGCGCGGGTGCAGAAGCTGGCGGAGTCTCACACAGACAGCAGTGCTGCCTGAGGCCGCGAGCCCGCTCCTTCTCACCTGCTCCCCGGGGCCCCTGGCCGACCCTGCCTCCCTTTCCCTACGGGACATGAGCTTCTGCAGCTGACAGCCTGCCCCGTCCTCATCCCCCGCCATTTCCCGACTTGGTCGAGCGTGGGACCTGGGCTTTTCCTCTGCTCCCTGAAACTCTGCAGTGAGACTGGGGAGGAAGGAGCCACTCAGTTGCTCCTGGCCCCAGATGTCATGGAGGAGCCTGGTCTGAGGAGAGACAGGTCCCCTTATGCCAGAGGAAGGACCTGGCCCGCAGCAGAAGGTCTCTCTGAAACCCACTCCTCCAAGCCGCCACCCCAAGCCCCGCAGGCAGGGGCCTCCCCAGGGTCTCCCAGCACACACAGGCTGTGCCCGTGGTGCCGATCGATGGGTCCCAGGCTTCGGGCCTTCCCGGGGCCGGGCAGCTTGGCACACAACATAGGGTACCCACAGAGCCTCCTCCTCTCTCCACAGCCAGCCCCGGTGGCATCCTGGTCATGAAGTCCTGCTCCCCGACGTGCCCCAACAGCACTGTGTCCTCCGACAGCCGCGCCCTCTCTGTGTCCTGCTGCCAGGGTAGCCAGTGCAACCGCAGTGCAGCCGCAGGCCTGGTGGGCAGCCCCGGGACCCTGTGGGCCAGCATCGCAGCCAGCCAGCTGTGGGCCCTGCTGCAGGCAGCCCGCTGAGGCCCTGCGCCTGGAGCGCTCAGCGTGGGTCCCCTCAGCCTGACCAGCTCCCACACACCCCACCCGGGGCAGCAGGGTCCTAGTCTCAGCTGCCACGCCCCCCTCCCTCCTTTGCCCAGGCCACACCCAGCACCCCACCCCGGGCCCTGGAGAGAGAGGAAGGACCCCACCCCCTTGGGCTCCTGCCCTGGTGAGGGAGCTCTACCCCCACCCCAGGGAATTGCTGATGGGATGCTTCAGAGGGGACGCCTGCTTCAAGATCAATACCTGCAGGACCCTTTGCTGGGGTCCTGGGACCCTTTGCCAGCTGCGAGTGGGAAGAGCCCCCCACTTCTCTCCAGCACCCTCTATCACTATTTCAGAGGCTAGGGGTTGAGGGACTGGAGCCGGGGATTTCTCCCCCTCTCCCATGCCCAGCCTAACAGAACTCCCGTGCGTGTAGCCGTCAGACCCTTTGGGCCTCCTCTTCTGCCCACAGCGGCCCTGAAAGAAAGGACGTGGCTCAGGGGTTCAGGCATTGCATCCCTTTGACTCTATCCTCTCCGCCAGCCACCCAGTTCTCACCCCATCCCTCCTTTCCTCCCTTCCTCCCTCCCTCCATCCATCACAAACCTGCCCAGGGTATCCTTGCAGCAGATACCCTGAGGAGGGGCCTGTCCCCAGGGCTCTCACTGGGGGTTCAGTCTGTTGGTCAGTGTCCCCAGCCCAGGGACCCTTGCGAGCCCCATCCAGGTGAACACCGGCATTTTAAATGGTCCCCTGGCTGCGCACTGTCGGGGTAGGGCAAGTCACCTTGGGGCTGAGTGTCAGGCACTGGAATTGGGGGGTGGTCTCCATTCTCACTGTGCGGGGGGATCGTCCTGGCTCTCCAGGCAGTGACACCTGCCAGCCCACCCCAGAATAAAGCGGCGAGCTCTGCCTGTCCTCATTCTCAGAGATGCCGGGTCCAAGGGGTATTTCTTGTCCCTAGTCAACTGTGCCCTGGAAAAAGGGAAGGGCCCCTGCAATTAGAGGTGGGCAGGGGGCGCTTTACAGAGGAGAGCATGGAATTCTTGGTGTCGAGGTTCAGGTGTGGGAGAAATGCTCGTGCCTTATTACCTGGGAATCTTGAGTCCACACTGAGCCCTGCTTGACCTTCAAGGCAGAAACACACATGCAGTCAGTCCCAGGTGGACGGGTTACCTGGGGTCCTCTGGGAAGCCCTTCTGAGCCTTGGTGTCCCTTGTCTATGCAGCCCCACCACAGGCCCACATCCTGTGTCCTTGGTCCTCAGCCCTGCAGGGTGCCCCCACACCCCCGCAGCCCTACGTCTCTGGTGGGGGCACGGGACTGCTTCGACCACCCTGGACAGGCCTCTGAGGGCCATGTCTCCTCCCGGGGCTATTCCAGGGTGGCAAGGCCAGAGCCACCCTCTGCCCAGGGCTTGGCTATAGGGACAGACGCAGGGCCCTTCCTCAGGAAGCCAGCCAGGTCCTGGCGCCCACAGTGTTCTCAGGGTTTCTCTGCTTCTGTGGCCTGGAGGGGCCCTTCCCTGGCCCAGAGGCCCTTCCCTGGCCCAGAGGCCTCCTCCATCCAGGTCTTGAGTCCTCGCCCTGCTGTTCTGCCCTTTCAAGCTTGGAAGCCAGGAAGAGATGCCCTTTCCCTTCCCTGACTCCTTTATCCCTGGCCTCCCTTCCCCAGGTGATGGGCACAAACTTCCAGGCCAGATGAGTGACGGTGGGCCTCCTGCCTGGCAGAGCTGGTTCCCACGGCCCAGGCGCCTAAGCCAGGAGCCATCGTGCTGGCTGGGAGCCTCCCTAGGCAGGTGTTTGCCTCCTTTCTGGGAATCTGAGCAGGCAGGTGTGCAGGCCAGATGCCCAGCCTCCCCTGCGGCCCTCGGCCTCAACCTTCCGCACCTGCCAGGCCTCCAGGCAGTGAGCCAGGCAGGATGTTCCCACAGCCGCCCTGGTCCGGGGCTGCTGCCTGCCGCTGGACTCCTGCTCCAGAAGGAAGAAGGCCTCCCAGCAGCGCCCTCGGCCTGCCCAGTGCTTCCTCTCAGCCTCCCGGGGCCGCTGCCCCCACCCAGCCTGCCACTGGTCTCCCGAGCCCGTGCCCGTGCTAAAGAAGCACTCTGCAGGGAGCGCTGTGCTCCCAAGCACCCAGGAGCAGGGAGCTCGGGTCAGCGGGAAAAGCTCCAGAAGCTCCTGCTGCCTCAGCGGGCTTCTCCCCCGTTATCGCACCTTGAGCTGTCTGGAGGCCAGTAGAGGGCCGAGTGGGTTGAAGGGACCTGAGTGAACCCCCTGGGAGCCAGGCTGTCAGGATTCCCACGGGCTCCCCAGCATAGCTTTCCACAGGCCCCAGCCTGCTGGGCTCTAGGGATCCACGGGGAGGTTGGTGTGCGGTCAGGTGCTCTCAGCCACCCTGAGAGTAAAGTTGGAGTTTTCTTTTCTCAAGGAAGGTGGGAATCCTGACTCCTGCCCGAGGAGCTTTCCCAGGCAGGCTGACTCAGGAGGGGCTCACCCTTCAGGGCAGGCCCCACCCTTGCAAGTCCCAACAGAAACCGCATCTGATGCCACCCAGCAGCCCACAGCCTCTGCCTGCAGGAGCCTCTGTGTCCAGAAGCCAGGCATGGCAAGGAGGCTGTTTCCACACAAAGCTGACCACAGCCCCTCGCCACAGGGGAAGAGCTGGGGCACAGGGAGCCCCACTCCTGGGTTGGTGAGTGCTCAGCTGCACCCCTGGGCCCTCCGGCTTCCACATCACTAAGTCAGCAGCTCTGGAGGGCATCTCCTGCACACCAGGCATCATGGCTCTCAGATGCCACAGTGACAGACTGTCCCTGCCCTCGAGTGGGCAGGTAAGAGTGGGCACAGCAGGCAAAGTGACAAGCTCATGTGGGCTGCAGCGCCTGGCCAAGGTGTGAGGGAGGCAGGAGGGTAGGAGGGACAGGCCTCGGGGGCCGTGGCTGGGGCCCTCTGGAAGGCACCAGTGTCTCTGACAATGAGGTCAATGTGCAAAGGCCCGGAGGTAGGACAGGGCTTGATGGCCTGAGAGGAGACCCGGGCACCGAGACAGAAGGGGGTACCCAGCCCCCCGAGATGGACAGAGCACACAGACCGCCCAGTCAGGGCCCAGAGGCAGGACAGGGAGGCTGAGAGTGTGGGAGAGCACTGAGGGGGTCCAGGGGAGGGACTGCATCCAACCCAAGTGCAGGGTAAGGAGTGAGGACTGCAGGGCGGGGCGGTGCAGGCAGAGGCAGGCACAGCCCCCAGCCAGGAGGAGGCAGGGCCAGACTGGGGCCAAGGGAGAGGCAGAGGGAGGGTGGAGATGTAGGCCTCTGGGGGCCCTTGCATGGCCTCTGCGGGTTTGAGGAGGAGCAGTTTGGGGGAGAGGTGGGGCTGAATGGGTTGGAATGAGTTACCCCTGAAATGCCCGAGGGAGGTCTGGGTCCAGGGAGGAGAGGCCACCAGGCTCAGCAGGGCTCAGGCTGAGATGTGCGGGACAGTGGAACCCAGAGCCAGCATTGTGGTTAGACCCTGCTGTCAGCAGTGCCAGCTCTGAAATGAAGGTGGGTGGGGCTTTCTCAGGTCCCTTCAGTGCCGACCTGGCTCCTTGTGACCTGGGCTGCCCGTCAGAGTTGCTCCTCTGTCCCGGGCACAGCTGCATGGGCTCAGGGGCTCCTGGGCCTCCATGCTCCTTCCATTCGGCATCTCCTGCTCCCCAAGGACCCACCCGATTCCCTTCTTATGTAACACCCTCTTGATCCCTTAAGCCCCTGGGGTCCTGGTGAGTTCCCTGGCAGGGCCCAGCATGGGCCTCTCTTCCCTCCCCTGGAAGCCTGGCCTGGCCCGGTACCCAGTGAGGACTGCAGCAACACGCACACCTCCTGCAGGGACAGCCCACCCCAGGCCCTGCCCAGGACCCAACATCCAAGCTGAGCAGGGAGCAGCCATGCTGGGACGCTCCAGCCTCAAAGCTCAGCAGTCACCTGATCCCAGGAGGAGCAAAGACAAGCCTCCTCCACCCAAGTCATGTGGTGACAACTCACATGGCCCTGTGGAGGTGCTGGTGCCAGCAACAGACTGAAGACAGGGCATGCAGTGCATGGAAGATAGTTCTTTCATTCCTAAGGGCTAGGATCCATGATGTCCCCCCAAGTTATCCTGTAACCTTTAAAAAGCATGTGTCTATGGTCTGGGTGTTGCCAGCCCCAAAGCTGCTATGACCTGCTGCAGACCCAAGGGTCTCGGAACCCTTGCCAGGATGGACTCCTTGGCCTTTGAGAATTACTGTTTTGTCAGGGGCAGGTGTGGGTGAATAGAAAAGGAAGAGCGGGGAGAGAGACAGAGAGACATCATTCTAACTAACTCCTAGAGGACACATAAGTGGTATAAGGGCAGTGCCCACTGGTGGGAACACTGAGTTGGGGACAGGCCCTGGAGGGACAAAGCCACTGCAGACCACCAAGTAACCCTTGCCTGAGAAGCGCGGAAGGCTGGTCCGAGGTCTTGCTAGGACTTCCCGTGAGGGAGCTGGTCTGCACTGACTCATGGTGGGGAGTCCTTTGGTGGGACAGGAACTCCTACAGGGCAAGGGAGGACCACAGGCAGAGTAAGAAGAAGAATGCCTGTCCTGAGGACAGGAGAGCAGGAGTGAAACAGCCCACCTATCAGGAGACCCTCTGGAAGGATGCACTCAATATCTTGGGGATTTTCCTTACGACTAAGGGAAAGGTCACACTGCGCCATCAGCACTAAATTCATCCCATGTCTCCCAAGGTGGTCAAAATGTCTGACTCACTTGCCCAGAGGAGGCAGGATGGATGGAGGTTGAATGAATGGATCGCTGAATGGAGGATGGATGGATGGAGCATGGATGGATGAGTGGGTGAATGGATGAATGGAGGATGGATACAGGATGGATGGATGGAGAATGAATGGATGAGTGAATGGATCAGTGGAGGATGAATGATGGCTGGATGGATGATGGATGGATGAGTAGATGGATGGATGAATGATGAATGGATGGAGGACAGATGGGTGAGTGGGTGGATGGATGGAGGATGGATGATGGGTGAATGGAAGATGGATAGATGAGTAGATGGATGGATGGAAGATGGAGAACGGATGGATGAAGTGTAGATGGAAGGAGGATGGATGGATGGAAGGTGAACGGATGAGTGGATGGATGGATGGATGACGGATGGGTAGATGAGTGGATGGATGGATGGGTGGACAAATGGTAGATTTTTTTATTATTATTATACTTTAAGTTTTAGGGTACATGTGCACAACGTGCAGGTTTGTTACATACGTATACATGTGCCATGTTGGTGTGCTGCACCCATTAACTTGTCATTTAGCATTAGGTATATCTCCTAATGCTATCCCTCCCCCCTCTCCCCACCCCACAATAGTCCCCGGTGTGTGATGTTCCCCTTCCTGTGTCCATGTGTTCTCATTGTTCCATTCCCACCTATGAGTGAGAATATGTGGTGTTTGGTTTTTTGTCCTTGCGATAGTTTGCTGAGAATGATGTTTCCAGCTTCATCCATGTCCCTGCAAAGGACAGGAACTCATCATTTTTTATGGCTGCATAGTATTCCATGGTGTATATGTCAAATGGTAGATTGATTGATGGATGACTGGATGGATGGAGGATGGATGATGAGTGGATGGAGAATGGATGGATGAGTAGATAGATGGATGGATGGATGATGAATGGATGGAGGACAGATGGGTGAGTGGGTGGATGGATGGAGGATGGATGATCAGTGAATGGAAGATGAATGGATGAGAAGATGGATGGATGGAGGCTGGATGGATGGAAGATGGAGGATGGATGGATGGAGGATGGATGGATGAAGGCTGGATGGATGGAAGGTGGGCAGATGAGTGGATGGATGGATGGATGGGTGGACAAATGGTAGATTGATTGATGGATGACTGGATGGATGGAGGATGGATGATGAGTGGATGGAGAATGGATGGATGAGTCGATGGATGGATAAGTGAATGAATGGATGGGTAGACAGATGGTAGATTGATTGCTGGATGAGGGATGAATAGATGGATGGAGAATAGACAGATGAGTGGATGGATAGATGGGTGGGTGGATGAGTGGAGAATGAGTGGGCAGATGGTAGATGGATGGATGCATGGATGGATGGAGGATAGAGGATGGATGAGCAGGTATGTATTGGGAGCAAATGAAGGCAGGGGAGTGGGGGAGGAAAGTGAGGTGGGCCCTGTGCTCACCAGCCTTGAACCTACCTCATGGAGCTAAGGGTTGGCAGCCACAAGTTCCAGGCCACAACAGGAAGTAGACTGAGCTGTGGCCTAGCAGAGGGGAGAACCCAGGAGTTCAGCATTAACACAAACCCTCTGACATTCCCTAGAATGCTGGTGGGAGCATGTCCTAATGTGTGAAAATAACCCCCGTCCAGGGCACCTGATTCTCATCCAGGTTCCTTAGGTCTTGCAATTCTAGGGTTCTGTGTTCTGCAAGCCCATGCTAACAGCCTGCAGTCTTGGGACTCTGAGGTCCCCACAGTTGTTTGCGCTATGGTTCCGTGGCTCCAGGGCTGCACTCTGCTGCAACCTCTCTCCCCCTACCACAGGCTGGACACAGTTCACACCCTGAGGGATTCTCCCTCATCGCCCAGACTTTGGCACTGGGCACCCTTGACTAGCCCCCTGAATGCCAGCGCTTCGCAGGGACCATGCCGGTCCTAGGTGCTGAAATGGTGCCTCTCCCAGGGAAGGTGCCAGCCCCGCCTGTGGGCACCACCAGCCAGGCCTGGGAACAGGTTTGTTTCTCTTGGGCCTTAGGAACCTAGAGCCCCAGTCCAGCCTTTGCTGGGAACAAGCTGTGCCCCAAGGTAGAAGGGTTTCTCCATCCACGAAACTGCTCCCTAGATTGCCCCCCTGGCAGTGCAGGAAAGAGAGACCTGGCAAGGATGAGGGGCCTGTGTGGAGGGGCAGAGCTGGCCTCCATCCCCGGCCCCTGGCCCGGCCCGGCCCGGCCCATGGACACTAGGTGTACCCTGGGAGGGGTGGCTGGTAGCCAGGGTCCCAGGGGGTGACCTAAGACTAGGGCAGGGCCAGGCTTGGCCCTGGGAAGCAGGTGAAAGAGACTTTGCCTGAGATTGTGGTGCTATGTGTAAAGGTGACTCCGGCACTAGAAAGAGGAGTGGGGAGGCCAGGTGTGAGGGAAGAGCCCAGGCCCAGAGGCCCAGCCCAGCTGTGGCTCCCGCTTGCTGGGTGATGCCGGGCAAGGCCGGGCCCTTGCTGTCCATCTGAGGCCCCATCTGTGCAGGTGAGGGGGCTGAGAGGATCAGGGCAGCCTCTAGAAAGACACCACACACTCAGCCGCTCAGCTTGGGGCAGCCACCTGCCCCTGCGGGGGAAAGAGACAGAAAAGCGGCCTGGCACCTGGGCCCCAATGCCCTTGCCCGACACCCACCTGCTTACCAGGTAATGGCCACACACCCTTCCCTGCTTAGACAGCTCCAACAAGGTTGGTCCTCCCTTGGCTTCTCAGCCCCAGATCCTCACCCTCCACATCATCACACCCCTGCTGTGGGTCCCACAGAGGCAGCAATTGTCTGTTCCCACTCCCTACTGGTCTGCAGGCCCTGGGACCTGGGCCCTGTCTCTCTTCTCTCCTGGTTTCCATTATATCCAAAGTGCCTTGCATATGGTTGGTCCTTATAAAATGTTGAAGAATGAATGAATGAATGAGTGAGTGAATGAATGAATGAATGGAGTGCCTCAAGGCAGACGGATGCATTTTGGAACCCCTGGGGTGTGGCTGGGATTCTGGCTTGCCCAGGTAACAGCCTGAGGGTGAAGAAGCCCTTCCTTGTGCCCTGGGGCTTCCCAGCTCCTCCAGCCCAGGCAGCTCCTCCAGCCCAGGCAGCTCCTCCAGCCCGCGGCCCCGCCTTGTCCACCGGGCACCCACTCAGTCAGCTCCTCCAGGCCAGGGCCCTGACTTGTCCACCAGGCACCCACTCAGCCAGCTCCTCCAGCCCAGGGCCCCGCCTTGTCCACCGGGCACCCACTCAGCCAGCTTCTCCAGCCCGGGGCCCCGCCTTGTCCACCAGGCACCCATTCAGCCAGGACAGGGCCCAGGGCTGGGCTGGTGCAAGCCTGGAGTACGGTGCTGTGCCGCCCTAAGCCAGGCGCTTCCCTCTCTGAGCCACCACACCCTTGTGTGTTCCTAGGGGCCCAGCATAAGGTAGAGGGGGCAGAAGGTGGGGGAAGGGGCATGAGCAAGGAACTTCGGCTCCAGACAGAAGCCTGGGCTTGTCCCCGTGCCGGGTTTCCTGGTTCAGGGAGCAGGGGGCAAGGCTAACGGGGTGGGGCGGTGGTTTTCCCTGCCCCAGGCCCCTTCGTCGCCTCTCCCAGGTGTCATTTCTGCTGCCAATACCCTGATGGTACCAACCAGGCCCAGGGCCCCAGCTCCAGGGGCTGAGTGGGAGGGGTGGAGTGGGGGAGGGCCCAGGCCCTAGAGAACAGAGGAGGGAGGAGGGGGGAAAGGCTGGCGGTGATAGTGAGAAGTGCTTGAGACCCCACCAGGTTCTGCCCCAGAACGTGCCTGGAGCTCTCTGGCCCTCACTTCCTCACCAGTGAACAAGCACTGGGCAGGGACTGACATGAGGGGCCACAGTGTCTCCTCTCCACATTCCAATCCCTGGCTCTGAGGCTCTAGTCAGGTCACTGCCTACAAGAAACCCTCCCTGACTGCACTGTCCCCAGAAGCTCAGCTGTCCAAGGGCTCCTGGCATCAGAAGCACCCGCTTTCTCCTGAAAGTGAACTGTGTAGGGCTGCTGTTCATGCTTTTGCTAGGACCACCTGGGATGGGCAGCTCATCCTCGTGGGCAGCCCTGCCAGGTCAGAGGCCCTCATCCCACAAAACTGGAACCCCGCTCCGGCTCCCATGCCTGGCAGGGACGCAGCCACAGTGATGCCTGAGGTGTCCCACGGGGGTGAGCCAGGTGTGCAGGGCCCTCCTCCAGCCCCAGGTGTGGGGAGCACACTCCCCCATGGCCCCACACTCAGAACCCACTCTCAGGCCACCTGACATCCCGGACCCTCCAGCTCCACCAGACCCAGCAGGAATTCCAAACCTGTTTTTCCAGCAGCTCTCATGCCCCTGGCCACAGTGAGTCACCCTCCCCACCTGCCATGCCCACCGAGTCATCACCCCGCCACCAAGCCCTGAGCTCTGCCTCCCAAGGCCCCTGGAAGCACCTTCCCCCAAGCTGCCCATGCCTCTCACTGTGACCCATGGACACAGGGCCTTGGAGCTGGAGGAAACCTCCTCTCTCTGGGTGGGGGCATGGACCTTTGGGTCACCTGCCTTGGCAAGTGAGACTACACACGTCCCCACCAAGCTCCAGCCAGGGCCAGGCACCAGATGCAAATGTGGGGCTGCCCCAGGGGGCTCCCGCCTGCACCCTGGTTTCTAAAGGCACCACCAGGCAACCCCTCCTGTAGGTGGATCCTCCAGGCCCCGGCACTGTGTCAGGGAGAGCCCGGCCAGGAGCATTCTCAGGAGACATTTGCTGGGATCCCCGGCATCTGAGACGTGGGGCTCAGCAAGGGAGAGATGCCGGGAGGAAGGGCCAGAGGGTCTGTCTCAAGCCCAGGCCTGACTGGCCCCAGTACCCACGGTGCTCCCAAAAGCCTCAGCCCAGCCCAGGACCACCCTCCTCGGAACCGGCCCTGCCCTGCCCTGGGCCTGTTGTTGTCTGTTCATCAGCCACGTGGCAGCGGCGGCAGGAGGCTGGGCCCAGGGCTGACCTCCATCTGTGCCCCGGCTCCCACTCACCTTCAGCCTAGCCAGGGCAGGGGCAAAGCAAGTCTGTGGGCCCCTCCACACCACTCAGGTGGGTGCTGCCCAGCACAGGCGAGCGGCAGAGCGTGCTGGGCTGAGCAGGTGGATGGGGGCCCCAAGAGGTGGGCTCCTGCGCGAGGCGGTGGGTGCTCAGAGACCCCGTCTCCAGGGAAAGAAAGTCCCTCCTGTGAGTATAAAGAGGGTGAAGGCGGGGACTGGCCTCCACTCAACGGGCAGCAGACCAAGAACCTGCTTTGAGGCCCTGGGTGCTGGGGCCCAGCCCCAAAGAGTTCACGATTTTGGGGAGACTGGAGCCGGGACACCTAGAGCAATAGTTACAAAGTGGCCGGGATGGCGCTGCCCCCAACGTAGCAGGAGGGGCCTGGAGAGTGGGGGAAGGAATCCCACGGGGAGGGCTTCTGGGGCCCTGGAGGGCGGGAGGCAGGGCTGGTGGAGACCAGGAGGGCTCAGTCTCTCCCTGCACAACGCAGGGTGGAGTTGCTGCCTCCACAGCCCGGGCCTTCTGCCCACAGGGCTCCCCAGGCAACTTCGAGGGCCGGGTCCTCACAGTCCTCACTCTGTCCAGTGCTCACCTCACTGCTGCCCCAGCTGCCCTCCCTGCCTCGGAGTGGCCTCTGCCTCTGCCTCTGCCTCACACACCCCATCAGCCCACAGCCACCCCGAGCCCTTGCAGCTCAAGGACCTTCTGCATCCCCGGCAGCAACCCTGAGCCCAGAGCCAGGAGAGTAGGACCAGCACCTGCCCTTCCTACCTCCCCTGCCCTGGACACCCACGGGCACCCACAGGGCACCGGGCACAGGCTGCAACTCTATTGAGGGAACTATGGGGGGAATGCAGGGACAAAGACACAGGATGGTGATGGATGGTGGGGGGTGGGGGGCGGGGGGTAGCGGGTGGCAGGTCAGAGACAAAGTGACCCAGGAACGGACGGCAGCGAGAGAACAAGACCCACAGAGACAGAGAAGTGAAAGTGGGAGAGATGGAGGCACAGCAGCAGGAACAGCAGGGCCAGGAGGCCACTGGGCCCCGTTGCGGAGGGCAGACCTCTGCCTGGCGGGGGGCAGCAGGGGCAGCGCCCAGCGACAGCCAGGCTGGTGGGCGTGGGCCAGGCAGGGTGGGGCAGGTGCCCGTCCTGGGCTGACGCTTGCACAGAGCCCTGCAGAATGCCGCTGGCTGGCGGACTGCCCACCCCCGCCCAGCCCGTGCCTATAAGGCCTTGGCAATGCAGGGGCCCGCACTGCTCCCAGACGACATCAGAGATGAGGACAGCATTGCTGCTCCTTGCAGCCCTGGCTGTGGCTACAGGGCCAGGTGAGGGGCTGGGCCAAGGGGACGGGCGGGTGGGCGGCTGTGGCCTGTGTGGTCACCAAATACTAGGAGCCTGGAGCTGACGACATCTAGGCACAGAGAACCCCGACACTGTGGGTGCTAGACTCTTCAAATTTAAAACAACATGGAGCCCGAATCTTAACGAGTGTCAGATTTACAATGTTTCAGAATCTGAGGATCTTAGAACTGACTCCTGGAGTCACGGACCCTGAGAGAGTGGAGCAGGGGGTTGTCTTGAGATGCTTCTCACTGGGAGAGCGGCCATCTAGTCCCTGCCACCAGCCCCTCCCGGTCCCCAGGTCTCCCCCAGCACAGCCCAGGACAGCCCAAAGGCCACCAAGCCCTTCCTGTCATAGGCTCAGAGCAGCCAAGCTGGCTGCCCCCGGGGCCTTAGCTCCGTCAGGCCCTCAGAAACATAGCCATCTCCTCCAGGGACATCCCCTGGGGTGGGGACAAGAGCCAGTGTCCTCTTGGCAGTCGCAGAGCTCCCTGAGACCTTGGAGGAAAGGCTTGCAACACACCCTAGACAGGGGCAGGGCAGGACACCTCTTCCAAGCCGGCCCAGGCTGGAATACATGTCCCCTGAGGCTGCACTCAGGGCACATGCCCTGCCAGGACCCAGAGCCCGGGTTTGGGGGCCTAGGGCAAGGGCAGCAGGGCCTCTGTCCAGGAGGGGTCTCTGCAGGTGGGGGAGCAGGCCCTGCTGAGTCACCAGGAGGCCTCTGTTGGGCCCGCTGAGCCGGACTCCCTCCCCGCCAGCCCTTACCCTGCGCTGCCACGTGTGCACCAGCTCCAGCAACTGCAAGCATTCTGTGGTCTGCCCGGCCAGCTCTCGCTTCTGCAAGACCACGAACACAGGTGGGTAGCATCTGTCCAGGTGTCCCTGGGGCTGGGGGACATCCCTGGCTGTTGTGGGTGTTGGCTGGAAGGTTGTGGGGAGGTGGGGGGCAGAGGTGGCTGCCTGGCCTGACCACACTCACCTGTGCCCAGTGGAGCCTCTGAGGGGGAATCTGGTGAAGAAGGACTGTGCGGAGTCGTGCACACCCAGCTACACCCTGCAAGGCCAGGTCAGCAGCGGCACCAGCTCCACCCAGTGCTGCCAGGAGGACCTGTGCAATGAGAAGCTGCACAACGCTGCACCCACCCGCACCGCCCTCGCCCACAGTGCCCTCAGCCTGGGGCTGGCCCTGAGCCTCCTGGCCGTCATCTTAGCCCCCAGCCTGTGACCTTCCCCCCAGGGAAGGCCCCTCATGCCTTTCCTTCCCTTTCTCTGGGGATTCCACACCTCTCTTCCCCAGCCGCAACGGGGGTGCCAGGAGCCCCAGGCTGAGGGCTTCCCCGAAAGTCTGGGACCAGGTCCAGGTGGGCATGGAATGCTGATGACTTGGAGCAGGCCCCACAGACCCCACAGAGGATGAAGCCACCCCACAGAGGATGCAGCCCCCAGCTGCATGGAAGGTGGAGGACAGAAGCCCTGTGGATCCCCGGATTTCACACTCCTTCTGTTTTGTTGCCGTTTATTTTTGTACTCAAATCTCTACATGGAGATAAATGATTTAAACCAGTGTGGCTGTGGCTGTGCTATTCTGGGACGGAGGAGCTGAGGGGCGGATATCAGGCCACATAGGTACCCTGAGCCTCCAGCACATGTCCCCTGGGGCCAGTCGTGGGGTGATGCCTGAGGTGGCACCGTCCGTCCCCACCCTGGAAGGGGCAGGCTGCTCAGATGCCTCCCACCGCCCCAGAGGTGGAGGGCACTCCTGGGGTGAGGCCTGAGTAGGAGCACAGGGTAAGAGGGCTCGCAGGCCCCTCCCACACATAGCACCTAGGGGAGAAGGAACCCCTCAGCCTTTCACCCCGGGTCATGTCTCTGAGACCGGGGTTCAGGAGCCTCCAGAGAGGCCGGCTTGGGACACCCCAGGCCCAACCCCAGCTTTGGAGCCAAGTAGGCACTGACTACCTACAGCCATCGCCAAGGCAAGTCCAGCTGCCCAGGGAAAGTTCAGCCACCATCCAGGAAAGTCCCATGGACCCTATCTATGGGAACCCAGCAGCCCCTTGGCCAGACCTCACCAGGGTGAAGCTAGACTGGGCGGGGAGTATGACGCAGGGAATATGGGCCAGATGAGGTCGCCCAGAGGCAGGGAGGGTTCCGCACCCACTGCGTGGGTTCTGGTATTTCGGGGATGAGGTTGGGACGTGCAGTGAGATGAGGCCCCCGGCAGATGCCCCAGCAAGGGGCCCTTCCACTTCTGGAGAGGGCCAGAGGCTCCTGCAGGCTGACCACATGTCCCCGGCATGGGAAGTCTCAGGCCTCACCAGGGTCAGAGCAGAGCTCTGCCTTCCCCCAGGCCAGCTCCCTCGCAGGCCTGGCCTGGAAATTCCGTGGTGGCAGAGCCCCCTCCGGCCGCGGCCAGCAGACGGTGGCGTAGCGTGGGTGGCAGCTGGTGAGGGGTCAGTGGTGCTCCCTGGCCCTGGGTCCAGGCATTCAGCTCTTTGTCCCACACACCATGAGACCAGCACCATCACCACCCCCAGTTCCAGCTGAGGGGCTGGGGGCGAGTGGGGTGCTGGATGGTTACTGGAGGTGAAGCGTGATTTGGGAAGGCCTGCTCTTACCACCTGTCCATCCTGCCTCCCCTGGGACCCAGGGCCACTGTGCAACCCCCTCCTGGAGGGCTGCCTGCCCAGCCAAGGCACCGCGACCCAGGACTGGGTCTGGGTGAGCTTCACTGTCTCCACCTTGGGATCACCCTTCTCCACACCCAAGGCCCATCTCCCCAGGGCGGCCAAGGTGGGTCACTCCTTGCCCTGACTGAGAGACCTTAGGCAAAGCACTCCACCTCCGGGAGCCTCCATTTTCCTCCACTGGGCACCCACCTGGTGCAGCCAGCACCCCACATGCTGCCTGTGACTAAATGGTGGCCCTGGCCCTCAGCCCCCCTCCCAGCCACTGCAGGGCTGCAGGCATTTCCGTGCGCTCCTGGGGCCTCAGACCCCACCTAGTGCTCCTGCCCTTGGCTGGAACTGGGGGTGGTAATGCTGCTGGTCTCATGGTGCGTGGGACAAAGAGCTGAGTGCCTGGACCCAGGGCCAGGGAGCACCACTGACCCCTCACCAGCTGCCACCCATGCTACACCACTGTCTGCTGGCCGGGGCCGGAGGGGGCTCGGTCACCATAAGTTTTCCAGGCCAGACCTGTGAGGGAGCTGCCCTGGGGGAAGGCAGAGCTCTGCTCTGACCCAGGTGAGGCCTGAGACTTCCCATGCCGGGGGCGTGGGGTCAGCCTGCAGGAGCCTCTGGCCCTCTCCAGAAGGGGAAGGGCCCCTTGCTGGGGCATCTGCCGGGGGCCTCATCTCACTCCACGTCACAGCCTCATCCCCGAAATACCAGAACCCACGCAGTGGGTGCGGAACCCTCCCTGCCTCTGGGCGACCTCACCTGGCCCATATTCCCTGCGTCATGCTCCCCGCCCCCTCCAGTCCAGCTTCACCCTGGTGAGGTCTGGCCAAGGGGCTGCTGGGTTCCCATGGATGGGGATGGGCCCAGGCAGCTGGACTTGCCCTGGGTGGTGGCTGTGGGTAGTCAGTGTCCACATGGCTCCGAGGCTGGGGTTGGGCCTGGGGTGTTCCAAGCCGGCCTCTCTGGAGGCTCTTGAACCCCAGTCTCAGGGACATGACCCAGGGTGAAGGGGTGAGGGCGCCCCTTCTCCCCTGAGTGCTGGCATGTGGGAGGGGCCTGCGAGTGCTCCTGGAGGTCTGAGTATGAGCGCCCTCTGGTGGCCACCGGAGAGCCGGGTGCCGGGGCTCCTGCACAGGGAAAATCCGCCTTCGCCCAGGCCAGTGCCGCTCATGGCCCCATCTGTGCCCTTTTCCACTCCACTCTGGACAGGTGGCCTGAGGCCTGCCAAGCGCCCAGGGCAGGGTGTGCGAAGGCACCTGGGCATGGGAGTCGGGCAGAGAGCAGAGGGGTAGGAGTGCCTAGGCCGCAGGCCCACCCATCCCCACTTCCGTATGGGGAAACTAAGGCTGGGCAAGGGAAAGTGACTCCTGCCACTTCACGGCAGGCTGGCTGCAGGAATCCTCATCCAGGGCCCAGGGAACGGGAGTGCTCTGTGTCCAGTGCAGCCTGGAGGCAGGCGGGAATGCCACCTCCCCTACCACTCCCACCCCTGAAAGGCAGGAAACGGGGGCTGTGGCCACCAAACTCCAGGAATGAAGGAAGAGGGAGTTCTGCTGGTGGGTCAGGGAAGACTGCAAAGCAGCAGCAGGTACAGGGACAACGAAGGCAGCATGGATGAGGCTGCGTGCGGGCCCTGGGCAAAGGCCCAGGAGTGGGAGCGAACCTGCAGGATCCAGAGAGGGCTAGGCTGCCCATGTGGCTGCAATGGGGCCTGGGAGCTGGCAGGACTCCAGACCAAGCCCAAGGACAGTCACAGCTCATAGCCCATCACTGCCCTCTGCCCTGTGCCTCCAGGGGTCCCTAGCTCAGTCTCCCAGCCTCCAGGCTGCTTCTCTGTGACCCTGCTGGACAGCTCCTCAACTGTCCTGGACACAACCTGACCCCAGCCCCAGCCCCAGCCAAGACTCTGTCAGGCATCTTCAGTCCCACACAGGGCCTGCAACCTTGTAGGTGTGGACAGCGCAGCTGGCCAGAGGGGGCCGACAGCCCTGCCCCCATGTCCTGAGTGCCCCTGAAGGAGGAGCTCCCTCTGCCAGAGCCCAAGCTCAGAACTTGCAGGGAGATGCTTAGGCATAGGATTGAGTGGTGGGGCCCCAAGGCACAGCCACTGAGGTTTGGCCAGCACCCAGGGGTGGGGCACTGTCCCTGTCATGGGGTGCATGGCTGACTCTCCTGGCCCATCACCGGATGCAATTTTCTCTATGCCTTAAAAATGGAAATGCTAAAAGCAGTCAAAGCACAATGTCCAGACAGAGGGCAGCTGTCAGGGAGACTGTGCAAAAGCAACTGACCAGGTCCTCTGAAAAGGGATCCTCCCTCCACCTGCTCGGAACTTCTGCTCTCCTCACCGTCCAGTCGGGCCTGAGCTCCCACCCGGCCCCCTCTGGCCAGCTGCGCTGTCCCCACCTACAAGGTTGCAGGCCCTGTGTGGGGCTGATGACGCCTGACAGCATCTTGGCTGAAAGGCCAGGTGGGAGAAAGAAAGGAGCATTATTCAGTCAGATCAGGGGGGCCCAAGAGCCTCCCTTAACGCCCAGTCTCGACAGCCAGATCCCACGGAGGGCTGGAGGGGCAGCCCCAGCCGCCCACTCCACTGGCCAGCCCCCAACTCAGAGGCAGCTAGCTTTGGTTTGCAAGAGGTCCTTTCTCTGGTCCTGCCATGGACAAGCCGGACTGGGGAGGGTTGTTGAGGTCCTCCTCCTGGAGGGGCATTCTCAAACATTGCTCTCATTGATTTTTCTCTATCTTCTTTTTCTACCTCACTTTTTTTTTTTTTTTTTTTTGCTTTTATTTTTGCTATTTTCTTCATTTTGCTTACCTTGGGTTTGATTTGCTCTTTTTGTTCTGGTTTCCGAGGGTGAAAGTTTAGGTGGTTTTTTTTGGAGAACTTCTTTCTCTTCCAAAAGAAGTTTTAGCTCTTTTTTTTCTAAAAGAAGCATTAGTGCAAAATTTCCCTCCAGGGCCCACTTCAGCTGCATCCTTTGACTTTGATGAATTGTGTTTGCATTTTCATTCAGTTGGAAATATTTTCTGATTTCCTTTTTGGTTTCTCCTTTGACCTATAAGTTGTTTAGAAATATGTTATTACTCAGTTTCTAAATATTTGATGATCTTTTAGATATATTTCTGTTATTGATTTCTAATTTAGCTCCATTGTAGTCCAAGCAAATAATCTGCATGATTTTAATCCGTATAAATTTACTGAGATTTGTTCTATGGCCCAGAATACAGTCTGCCTTGGAGGACATTATTGGTAAATAAAGGTGTGTTCCCCTTCTGTGAGGTGGAGTGTCCTACAAACATCAAGTTGGTCATGTTGACTGGTAATGTGATCCACGTCTTCATCCTTACAGACTTTTTGTCTATTTTTTATCAGTTCTCGAAAGAGGAGTGTTGAAATCTCTGTTATTGTGGATTTTCTTTTTCTCCTTTCAGTTCTATCAGATGTTGTTTGTTTTGCTTTGTGTATTTTGAAGCTTAATTGTTAGGTGCATACATATTTAGAACTGCTGAGTCCTCTTCATGAACTGATCAATTTATCATTTGGTAATGTCCCTCTTTTTAAATTTTTTTTCTTTCTTTCTAGTACAGATAGTGTTTTGCTGTTTTGCCCTGGCTGGTCTCAAACTCCTGGCCTCAAGCAATCCTCCCACCTCAGCCTCCCAAAGTGCTGGGATTGCAGATGAGAGCCACTACACCTGGCCAGTAATGCTCCTCTTTATTTCTGATTATAGTCTTTGCTTTAAACCTACTTTGATATTGACGTAGTCATGTCTGTGTTCTTTTAATTGGTGTTAGCATAGTATATCTCTCTCCATCTTTTTACTTTTATCTTATTTGTGTTTTTACATGTCTGGTGAGTTTCCCACTGACAGCATATACTTGGCTGTTTCTATTTTTATCCAATCTGACAACCTCTGTTTTTAATTGAGATGTTTTTGTTTGTTTTTGAGGCAGAGTCTCACTCACTCTGTCGCTCAGGCTGGAGTGCAGTGGCACCATCTCAGCTTACTGCAACCTCTGCCTCCCAGGTTCAAGCAATTCTCCTGCCTCAGCCTCCCAAGTAGCTGGGATTACAGGCACCCACCGCCATGCCCAGCTAATTTTTGTATTTTTTAGTAGAGAGGGAGTTTCACCATGTTGGCCAGGCTGGTCTGGAACTCCTGACTTCAAGTGATCCACCTTCCTCAGCCTTTCAAAGTGTTGGGATTACAGGTTAGGATTACAGGTGTGAGCCACCGTGCTCAGCCTGATTGAAGTGTTTAGATGACATAGTGTCATTATTGCTGTGGCTGGGTTTAAATATATGTCATCTTGCTATTTGTTTTCTATTTGTCTCATTGTTTTTTCCTTTCTCCTCTTCTGCAGTCTCTGTAACATGTGCTTTTATAAATAAATAATTCTGTATCATCACTTTTGTTGATTTATTAACTACAGTGCTTTGACTTTTGCTTTTTTCTTTGTCTTTTTTTAGTGACACTTTAGCGTCTTAGCATACACCTTTGACTTACTAGTCTACCTCCAAGAAATAGTAGGCCACTTCACATAGAGTAGAATAAATCTACAACAGTGAACTTCCATTGTCCCTCTCCTGGTCTATTTGTATTACTATTTTTTTTTAAATTTATTTGACACAGCGTCTTGCTCTATCACCCAGGCTTCAGTGCAGTAGCGTGATCACAGCTCACTGCAACCTCCACCTCCTGGGTTCAAGTGATTCTCCCACCTCAGCCTCCTGGGTGCAACCTCAGGTGTGCACCACCACACCCAGCTAATTTTTTGGTATTTTTTTTTTTTTAGAGATGAGGTCTCTCTACGTTGCCCAGCCAAGCCTGGTCTTGAACTCCTGGGCTCAAGCGATCCACTCGCCTCAGCCTCCCAAAGTGCTGGGATTACAGGCGTGAGCCGCGGTGCCCAGCCTGCACTACTATTATCATACAATTTACTTCTACATTTGCTATAAATTCCTTAATACATTGTTATTATTTTTGCTTTAGGTAATCAACTATCTTTTAACTTGATTCAAAAATAAGAAAAAAATTACCTTCTATTTCCTATTTCTGGTGTCATTTATTCCTTTGTGTAGATCCGTATTTCTGCCTGAAGAACTTCCTTTAACATAAAGGTCCCCAACCCCTGGGTCACAGACCGGTTAGGAACCACGCCACACAGCAGGAGGCGAGCGCTGGCGGGCGGGCAAGGGAAGTTTCATCCGTATTAATTCATCGTGGTCTGAGGCTGAAGACCGCGACATACTCTGGTTCTGACCTATGCGTTCCTTCCACGCCCCTTATCCCACCAGAGTGTGAGCTCCATGGGGTGGGAATATTCTGGAACGTCTGCTGGTTTTATTCTTTGCCTTCTCCCCAACTAGGACCTGGCACAGGAGGGTGCGCATTACCTCTCGGCAAACAGAACAACTAACTGGCCTAGTTTGCTGGGGACCGAAGGATTTCCTGGAACCGGAGCCCGCTTGCCCAGCAGGCATGGTGTATTCTGTACCTCAGGCCCGCAAAAATGTTTTAAAGAAAAAAATGAGCTTTAGGGTAGAAGAAAAGGTTTTATTTTTCTTTCTCACATTGGAAAAAATGAAAACTTTCGGACCCATGAAATTTTATTACATTTTGCCAAAAACAGAACCAATAACATAAGTATTCAAAGTTATGTAAAGATAATTATTTAATATGAACATTATGATGGTGAGAGGGACCACGGAGCAAGGGGCTGCCTTGCAGGCCTGCCTTCCAGCTTTGCTACAGGGACCAGAAGCGGGAGCTGAGCGCAGGGGAGGCAGGCGGAGGCCATGGGCAGCGAGGCGGGTGCGCCAAAGGGCGCCAGTTCCGGAGCTGCTGGGCCTGGGCTGCAGGAGGGCGGAGCTGGGGCCGCAAGGCTGGTGCCGGCCGACAAACGACGCGGCGCGGGCGAGTGGGCGGAGGCGGCTGCGGGGAAGGCTGGGCTGCCGCGGGACGCGGTGAAGATAGCCTGCGGAGTGTCCGGGCTGAACACGTGAGTCTGAGGGTCGCCAGGGAATCACTGCGTGGCTGCCTCTGTGTCGGAGATCCAGATGCCTGGACTGGCCTCGGGGTCCCAGCGCTTGCCCGGCGAGCCGGCGGTCCGGGGACGGGTCCGGGCCGAGGCCTGCGGTGAACTCGGCTCGGCGGGTGCCCAGGAGGCGGGTCCGGGGCGGGGCCTGCGGTGAACTCGGCTCGGCGGGTGCCCAGGAGGCGGGTCCGGGGCGGGGCCTGCGGTGAACTCGGCTCGGCGGGTGCCCAGGAGGCGGGTCCGGGGCGGGGCCTGCGGTGAACTCGGCTCGGCGGGTGCCCAGGAGGCGGGGCAGGGGCGGGGCCTGCAGTGAGCGCGGCTTGGTGAGTAGCCCAGGAGGCGGGTCCGGGGCGGGGCCTGCGGTGAGCTCGGCTCGGGGGGTTGCTCAGGAGGTGGGGCCGGGGCAGGCCTGGGGCGGGGCCTGCGGTGAGCTCGCGCTGGGCGGGCTGTTCCGGGGGCGGGACTGGGCTGGGCCTGCGGTGAGCATCAGGCGATGCGGCACGGGTGCTGCGGGACACACAGACACGCCTACGATTAGACTCAGGCAGGCACCTACCGGCGAGCGGCCGCGGGTGACTCCCAGGCGCGGCGGTACCTCACGGTGGTGAAGGTCACAGGTGAGGTCACCCTGATAGTCCCGCTCGCGCCGAGAGCCCTCCCCTCGACCTGGGACCGCAGTGTTTGGGGCGGGGCTCTCCGTGAGGGGGTTGGGAAGCTCGAAGCCGCAGGCCTGACTCTGGCCTTTGGCATCCTGGGGTTGGCCTGGGCAAATGTGTCGTGAGAGACGGATTTGTTGTTCTCGGGAAGGCGTAAGTTTAATTTAGTCCTCCAGGACGGAGACCGAGGGCCGAGTATCCCGGCAGGGGTAGGAGAGCCGTAATCCAACCCCCACCTCCCCACTGTAAACCTCTTTCCAGAGAGGGCATTCCCGTTCCAAACACCAGACCCAGCCGGGGAAATGCTTCTTCTTGTCTGGCCCAAGTGCCCTCCTGGGAGGGGCTCAAAATGCATTCCCCCCAAGCTGGGCACAGCTCATCCCTGCTGGGGAGCTTCTGCAGTGGCCGAGGACTCAGACAACCCTAACCAGGGCTCTGGAGGTCTTCTGGAAGAAGGAACCCCAAGTAGGGACACCCCAGGAGCAGAGAGGAGGGGAACAGCGAGAAGAGACCCAGCTTTTGGGCCCAGTCCTGCCATGGCCAGCCATCCGGCCCCCAGGGCCCTGCTTGGGATGGGGCTGCAGACCACCTCCCATGGGACCTCTGCACCAACCATCCCCTGGGTAAAATCCTTGTTTAGGCCTGGTATTTAAGGCCCCTCTGCCCATCCCTACTCCTTCTCTAGCACTGCCCCTCATCCTCCCCCCATCTCTCCTCCATCCAGCGCTACAGGCTGTTTTGAGCTTTTGCAGGTGCTGGTCTCTGATTGAAATGTCCTGATCTCTTCTCCCTTCTTGTCCCATCCCAAGTGTCTCCTCCTCCAGGAAACCTTCCCTGACACCCACTGAGTTAGGTGGCCCCTCTGCCCACCATCATCCCTGCCCAGGCCCCCATGGGTCCTTCAGGCCCAGTACTGACCACCTGTCTTTGCCACCTGCTGTGCAGGGTTGCAGCACTCCCAGTAGACCAGGAGCTCCGGGAGGCAGGGCCGGCCCCACGTCCTCTGCGCACCACCCTGAGTTGGATCCTCTGTGCGCCACCCCTGAGTTGGATCCAGGGCTAGCTGCTGTTGACCTCCCCACTCCCACGCTGCCCTCCTGCCTGCAGCCATGACGCCCCTGCTCACCCTGATCCTGGTGGTCCTCATGGGCTTACCTCTGGGTAAGATGGACAAAGGACAGAGGGATGGGCAGACCCACTTTGAGGGCAGATGGGCTGACAGTAGGGAAGGAGGCTAGAATTCCCAGCGACAACCCCTCCTTCTAGCCCCCTGCCCCGGGGAAGGTGACGGGCTGGGGGCCTGATGGGCTGGAGGAGGGGCCTCTCATGTTCTGTGACCCCCGTTCCCTTCCCGCCCATCTGCCAACCCCAGCCCAGGCCTTGGACTGCCACGTGTGTGCCTACAACGGAGACAACTGCTTCAACCCCATGCGCTGCCCGGCTATGGTTGCCTACTGCATGACCACGCGCACCTGTGAGTCTGGGGGCCCTGCGTGGCCCTGCCTGGGGAGCACGAAGGGGAGGTTCTGCCCTGCCCCTGAGCATGCGGGGGTCCTGAGGAAGGAGGCTCTCCTGTTCCCGGATCCTGTCTGGGAGCTCCAGGCTGAGGGGCCCTGCCCTGATGGCTGTGGATGCTGGGGTGGGGCCAGCTGGGTCTCCTGCCCCTCTTAGCGGAGCTGGCTCACCGCCCCGCCCCTCTGCAGACTACACCCCCACCAGGATGAAGGTCAGTAAGTCCTGCGTGCCCCGCTGCTTCGAGACTGTGTATGATGGCTACTCCAAGCACGCGTCCACCACCTCCTGCTGCCAGTACGACCTCTGCAACGGCACCGGCCTTGCCACCCCGGCCACCCTGGCCCTGGCCCCCATCCTCCTGGCCACCCTCTGGGGTCTCCTCTAAAGCCCCCGAGGCAGACCCACTCAAGAACAAAGCTCTCGAGACACACTGCTACACCCTCGCACCCAGCTCACCCTGCCTCACCCTCCACACTCCCTGCGACCTCCTCAGCCATGCCCAGGGTCAGGACTGTGGGCAAGAAGACACCCGACCTCCCCCAACCACCACACGACCTCACTTCGAGGCCTTGACCTTTCGATGCTGTGTGGGATCCCAAAAGTGTCCGGCTTTGATGGGCTGATCAGCCCCTCGCCTGTCCAGGGCTATTTATGGGGAGGGGCCCAGTCAGGCAGGGAGCACTGAGCAGATGGGAGCTGTGGCCAAGCCCACCTTCTGGGAAGCCCTAGGAGAGGCCCCTGCCTCAGTCTGCCCCTGGTGTGCTGGGGCAGGGGGAAGACAAGGAATGCCCGCAGGTGGGGTGGTGGGGAGACTCTTAGGAGGAAAGGCTCCTCCAGGCCTAGTCACGCTTCCTACTGAGGCCAGGAGCTGCCAGGACCGGTACGGGATCAGGGCTGTGGGAGGAGGGCCTTTGGCACCGGCCCCTGTGCTAGGAAGTCTGCCAGGCCCGAGTTGGAGCCACCCCCTGCAGGGGAGGGGGCGGCTCTGCCTCAGCAGGCCCCAGGGCCCCCGAAGTCACAGAAGCTTTTTCGGGTCCAGCAAGGGGTGTGTGTCCTCTCAGTCAAACCCCTTGACGTTTCCCACCCCCTCACGGGGAGGGCACCAGGCCTGAAGCTGGCAGGAGCTAGGGCCATGCTATATTTGGTGGGTCCTGGACGCTGACCCGGCCAGCGCTATTCTGGGCAGGGAGGGAAAGGGGCAGAGCAGGTGGTCCCCCGAGTCCTGGTCCCCAACCACAGCAGGACCCAGCCGAGCAAGGCAAAAGACGCAGGACTGGGGGATGCGCGCACAGGCTGGGGGTTGGGAGCAGCCTGGGGCCGGCGCGGGCCTGGGCGTGGGAAGGCGGAGCATGCCACCCTCTCGTGGCCGTGCGGGGGCGGGAGTGGGGAGGGTGGGGTGGGGAGGGCGGAGACCCAGCCCCTCCCCCGCAGCGGGATGCGCACAGTGAGTGGGTCCCTCCATCACCTTCCACCTGGGGATGCACCCACTGGGAGGGCAGGGTGGAAGCCCCAGCTGGGTGTGTGGACTCCCAGGGACCCCACCCCAGGCCTGGGAAGCAGGGGTCAGCCCAACACGCACCAATCCATCCCCGATGCAGGTAGCCCAGGGAGCACCTGCCCCTGCTGTGAATGGGGCATTCGGGGGCGTGAGACCTTTTGGTGCCAGCGGTCACGCTGCACCTGAGGCCCCCACCTGACCAGTGCTCCCAGCTCTGGTGTCCTGAGAAACCCTTCAAGCCATCCCGCATGGGCAGGATGGTGACATATCCATGTGGTAGGATTGTCCCGGCCCCAAAGTATGGCCCTGGTCAGGGGAGCCCCTGCTGGAAATTGCATCTCCAGAGCTTTGATGCAGGACCCCTGGGGGATCAGGGAATGAGGGTCTCCACCCCAGGGGTCTCCTTGCAGTGAGTCTATATGCAGGCCTGCGTTCTGCTCCTGGGGCTGGTTCTGAGTGCCCAGCTTCAGTCTCCTGAGAACATGAGGATGGGAGGGGGCAGAGTCTTGCTGAGGGCACACCCAGTTCCCGCTGGAGGAGGACAGTGCCAGTCTTCTGCAAAGGGACCTTGGGTGGGAACGGGCCCGGAGCGGGAGGAACGTGACTCCCCAGAGGGAAGATGGGCATCATACTGGGCCCAGAGCTGGGAAGGAGTTGCTGCCAGCACAGGGTGGGCCTGGACTCCCCTCGCCCCTACCCCCAGTGGTTGTGGCTGTAGCCCTAAGCCTGGAGAGCAGGACCGGCCCGGGGTGTCTGGGAGGCTGCCAGGTGCCTCCCAGAGCTCCCAAGGGCCCCCACCTGCAAGTGCCAGCCTCAGGGCAGTGCCCAAATGAGGCCCTCTCAGCTGCAGCCAGCGATGCCTTGGGATGCTTACCGGGAGGGAGGCGGCTTTGGGCTCCTAAGTCCTTGGGAGAGGCTGGGAGCAGTCACTGCGCGGCTTGCGCAAGCCCATTGTCGGGTTGGGTGGCTTCCTCAGCCAGGGCTGGGAGGGACTCCAGGATCAGGTCCTCCCTGTCTCGAGTCTCAGTGGGGTGATGGGGAGGAGACCTGGCCACCCATGGCTCAGGGGCAGCTGAGAACAAGGACCTGCTGGAGCTGGAAGTGCTGTGGTGTTGAGGGGTGGGGTGGGCAGCTTCTCACACCTGCCTCCTGCCTCCTTCTGTCCACCTTTCCACCACCCTGACCTGTCCCAGCCCCACACATGGTTCTGCCTGGCTGGCCTGCCCTTGGCACCTGGCGTAGAGCACACAGAAGGCACTCAGCTAATGCTGGGCAGGCCCACTCATGGGGAGTGCGTGGCTGTGCAGCACCAGGGAACCGGCACAGCAGCGCCGGCAGAAATCACAGCAGTAAACTTGTCCGGGTTGTATGCATCAAGGTGGCGATGGACGTGGGTCCCCCCACTGCACTGTGGCCCTGAGCACTGTATAGCAGCCCGGCAATGGGAGCCATTATCTTGCCCCTTTGACAGAGGAGGACACAGAGGCACAGGGAGGTGAAGTAGCTGCCCCACACTAGTGCCTCCTCGCTCACTCACCACCCCCTGCACCACAGTGCAGCCGCTTCTCCCACCAGCTGGGGTTCCTTGGACCCCCAAGCCTGGGAAGGGGGAGGTGAGTTTACAAAATGGAAAGCTTAAAAGGAGAAAAGTGGAACCAGAGGTTTGAGAAGCCCTGAGTGGTAGAGTAAGGCCTCCAGCGCTGCCTCTGGGTGCAGGGCAGAGTGGCAGAGGAGAGGGGGAGAGGCACTGGGCACCATGGGGGCCCAGTTCCCACTTCGGGGATCTCTCTCGCAGAACCGAGGGTCCCCTTCATGGGGGTAGATGCCCAGGGCTAGCTGTTGCCACTGTCTGTGTGGACCTGAGTCCTGGACATGCCCGAGTGACTCAGGAGTGGCTGCTTGGGCGGGCTCTGTCACCCTAGGATGTTATACATTCTGGGAACTGGACAGGAGTGGCTGCTTGGGCGGGCTCTGGCACCCTGGGATGTTATACATTCTGGGAACTGGACAGGAGTGGCTGCTTGGGTGGGCTCTGGCACCCTGGGATGTTATACATTCTGGGAACTGCAATCAGCCACTAGAGAAGTCGGAGCTACAGGAAGTGACCCTGGGGTGGGACCTGGGGACATGGCCAGGTCAGCATGGGGACACCCGGCTCCAGCAGGAGCTCTGGTCTGTCCTGGGGTCTTTGGGGGCAGGGCTGCGGCCCTGGGCAGGCTTCCTCCAGGCGGAGGTCCTGGGGAAGTGGGGGAGCCAGGCCAGCTGCCGCCTCCCCCACTATGTAGCATCTGATTCGTCATCTCTCATGAAGGCGATTTGGTTCATAACTCTGAAACTCTGAAAAAGGTCAAAAGAAGCAGAGAGGCCCTCGGTGGATATGCCAGCTTTTCTGCCGGTGCTTTCTCCCACTACTCTGGGTGGTCTGCTCTCCTCTTCAAACCTCAGCTCGCAGGGAGGGCCTGAATCTGCCAGCCCCTCAGGATCTCCTTCCCTCTGGGCCCTCCCCAGCCTTAAGGAGCCTCCCAGACAGAAGGGTGGACAGAGCCACCTGGGCAGCCCGAGAGACACACGGGGGTCCTCCCTGTGGACAGCCCTGCCAGCTTCCGCCCAGCCCTGAGCTTCATTTGCATCTTGAGGAGTAAGGGGTGGTGAAATGGGAATGCTGGTCTGGCTCAGCTGGTCGTGGGCATAAGTGCCCGCTGAATGGATGGCATCTCTCCCTCCTGTCTTATGTTCTGGGGTCCAGGTGCTTCCCAGGGCCATGCCCCTGCTGCTAATGCTTGCCCTAACCCTTACCCTAACCAGCGTCCAGCGTCGTCTCACCGAGCCGTAAATAAATCAACAGATTCGCATTGTCTGCGCTTCTCTCCAGCCCCACTGCCTCGGCCTGAGCTCGGGCCTCACCTTTCCAGCCTGGCTGGGCTGGCACTCCAGGCTGCATGCAGCCACTTTCCTGTCTACCCTACCCGGTCCAGGTCCTGGACTTTTCTGGCCTCTAGGCCTGACCTGTCCTCGGAGCCAGGCACAGGGAGGGAGACAGGCAGGGCTCCTGGGGCTTGCTGAGAGTTGCTCCCAGTTCCGTGGGAGAGAGGCCACCCCCCACCCAGCACCCCTGAGGGGCATACAAACCCCTGAGGAAGTCTGGGTGTGCGGGGTAAGGGAGGCGGGAACTCCCCCAGGACCCCATCCCACCATCTCTGACCTCTCTGCCTACCTGGTTCCTGACCCCAGCTTCTCGACTGCCCCAGGAAGGAGGGCCTGGATCTGCCAGCCCCTCTTTCAGGATCTCCCTCCTCCTGGGCCCACCTCCCAGCCATAAGGAGCCCCCGAAACGGAGGGGTAGACAGAAGCCATGTGGGCAGCCCGAGAGACACATAGGGGTCCCCGGGTTGGCATGGCTGACTGGCTACGGACAGGCCCTTTGGGGCCCCAGCCCCTGGCCAGCCTTTGGAGGAACAGCTGATGGCTCCCGCTCTCCAGGGTGTCCCTTCTGGGCTCTTACCTTATCCTTGGGGTCCCTTTTAGTACCAAGGGCCTTTCTGTCCCCCCTACTCCTCTGCACAGATCCTGGGGCGTTAGTCACAGTGTGACAATGGCCATGATTCCCTGTACGGATGACAGAGAGGTGGCTCACAACCATGCTCCCTCTGTGTTCTCCCAGCCCTGCGGGGGTCAGGATGGGAAAGCTCTGGCTTATTTGGAGGAGGTCTTGTCATGGAACTCATTCTAGGGTGGGAGTACAGATGAAGGCCTGTGGCTTCCACCCAGCCCTGAGCTTCATGTGCATTTTGAGGCGTAAGGGGTGGGCTGGTGGCTGGTGCCCAAGACCCTCCTTCCCACCAGACCTTCCTTCCCAGCCTCTGAGGGAGACCGGCCTGTGGCCGTCACCTGCCTGGTGCCAGGCCTTCCTTCCCAGCCACTGAGGGAGAGTGGCCTGTGGCCATTGCTTGCCTGGTGCCAGGCCATTTTATCAGATCCTCAATCCTGTCAGCCAGGGCTATCCCTACTTTATGGACAAGGAGAGATGGCTCATGAGATGACACCGGCCCGCTCAGAGGCCTAACCAGCGAGCTTTGGGGCCAGGTTGGCCCCTACCGCCCGGACCCCAGCCCGGCTCCTTGACTGAGCCCGGCTGCCTGGTGACTCAGACCCGCAGAGTCTGCTGAGCGGGCGAGGGCCAGGGCGGGGTGCCAGCAGGTATAAGGCAGCCGGCCAGGGCGCCGACAGCCCGACCTCACCAGGAGAACATGCAGCTCGGCACTGGGCTCCTGCTGGCCGCCGTCCTGAGCCTGCAGCTGGGTGAGTCCAGGGGCTGGGGCCACCTCCTGCTCAAGGCCCCCATCACTCTAGCCCAACCACCGTCCCTCCAGCCCTGGGCTGTGACTGCCCACCTCGGGAGAACCCATTCCTGTCCCCCCACCATCTACCAGGTGCAGCTTTCCTCCGAAAGCCTCCTGCGATCCTGCAGGTCCATCCAGCTCAGCCCCAGCCCCCGACACTGGCCCCCACACTTCTCAGGATGCACAGCCCTTGGCTCAAACCCCCCTCTTCCTCTGCCCAGCCCCCAGACCTCTCCAGTCCACCGCGACACCCCTCACACACGCACCTTCGTGCACGTGCACACACACACTCTGAATGTGCCCCCCTCCAGCCCTCTTGGGCCTGGCCTCCCAGCTGGTTTGTCTCCTGGGGCCACCCTCCCGGGACTCCCTCTTCCCTCTTGCCTGGGAAAACCAAGTCCCTCTGCTCTCCCATCCCCAGTTCCTGCTCCCGGGTCCTCTCCTCTGCTCCCCGCTTTCCTGGGTGATTTTACCCCCTCCCCATCCCCCAACCCTCGACCCCCGCAGTGCCCACGTCTGCTACGGCTGGCCCTGTCCCCCCAGCTTCAGATCCCTTGGCCCAGGGCCTTCCTGAGGGCTCCAAGGGGATGACCCCTCAAGCACAGCTGTGCACACCTGGCCTTGGCATCCCCCAGCAGAGCCTGAACGTCTTCTCTTGGCAGGGCATCTCCACCCCCACCCTGAGGCCTCAACAAAACCAGCTGGCCCCTTGATCTGCCGGTGGCCTGCACCTCCAAGCCCAAGCAGCCCAGCCCCCCAGGGGCCAAGCCTCTGCGTCCCTGGCTGTGGGTTGAACGACCTGGGCAGCCCCTGCCTCCCAGGCCCTGAATGAGCAGGGGGTGGAGCGTCGGTGAGTCCCTGGCGCTGGCTCAGGTGTCTCTTACATCCCTCCAGTCTCCATCCCCAGGGGCACCCTCCTGGCCTATGAGAGGCTGAGCCGCTGACCCTGAGGACTGCCCCAGGGTCATGAGGGCAGACCAGCTCTGTGCTGAAGGTCCGAGACACACAGGGGCCTGGGGACTCGACTTAACCTGGAGAAGGCCTTTGTAACCATCAGGACTGGACAGGCAGTCAGGTGGCCATCCAGGCCAGGGATGGCACATCACAGGAGCCTCTGCCTGGGTGCCCGGTGCCCACGGACTCCCCTCTGACCCAGAGGCCCTTCCCTGCACCAGGGCTCCTGGAGCCCTTCCTTCTGCTGAAATCCCACCTGCCCCTCGAGGAACAAGCCCCAAGCTGCCTCACTGCTCTTCCGGTTGGAGGACTGGCGAGCCTCTCTCAGGGGCACCTGCATCCCCTGTCATTGCTTGGTGTCTGCTCTCTGCCATACATGGACAGCACAATCTCCCCGAGGGGCCAGCCTGCTTCAGAGCCAGCACGGGGGTCCCCAGTGGGAGAGACCTGCCCCCAGCCATGCAGCTACACCCAGAGCCCATCCCACCATCCTGTTTGTCCCTCCATTATTCCTGCCCCCTCCCCCCCACCCCACCTCCCTCCTCCTCTCTATTCCTCCTCCCTCCTTCCCTTCCTTCCTTCCTCTCCTCCTCCCTCCCTTCCTCTCTCCTCTTCTCCCCCTGATCTCCCCTCCCTCCCGTGTGTCAGGCGCCAGTCTGAACACTGTCCCTGTGTCCTCACAGTCACCATCGAGCAGCCTTTCCGGTTTGGAGCTAACATTTTATCTGCTTCCCTCAGGATCTCATTGCTGAAAATCAAAAACCCTCTGATAAGGGACAGAATTATTATTTCTCTTGATAACCCAACCTGCAACCACCCCCGGAATTCATTCATTCATTCATTCATTCATTCATTCATTTATTCATTCATTCTGCAAGCCTCTCCTGGGCCTCATTAAGTGCAGGGGAGGGAGCACTGAGGAATGGGTAGAACGCCCTGCCCAGCCTCAGAGGCCCTCATGCTTGGGTGGGGGTGAGGAAGGAGCCCTGAGCACAATCACTTGGAGCAGGGACACTGATGCCAGCTGGGGCAGGATGCTGCAGTTCACGGTGGGTGTGTCAGAGTTGGAACCATTCACTCTGCCCTGGAAACCAAGGAGGCCTTCCTGGAGGGGGTGGCATTTGCACCAGGGCTTGTTTTGCCCAGAGGGCAGGAGGAACAGCAAGTTCAAAGCCAGGGAGGCCTTGGGAGCGTGGGCATGTGTAGTGGACAGGCTGGAGCTGGTTCTCTCCATGGCACCCTTGGGCACCCATATCCTCACCTCCTCCTTCTGGTGCCCCAGCCTCCTGCCCATCTTCCCTGCTACCCCCCACCCCAGCCAGCTGTGGCCTGTGGCTGCCAGTGTTGAGTAGAGGCGTGTCCGACTTATTGGCTGTCACTAGGTTGGATGTGACAGCCAAGGGGAGCTTCAAGCCACTTTGGTGGGAAGGCAGAGAGGGGCTTGGAGGCAGCTGTCACCACCTTTCTTTCTCGAAGGTGGGGTCTCAGCTTGCTCTCCGGGGCTGGTAGAGGGGCCAAAGCTGATGGCAGGGGCCTGCCCTGGCCGGAACTTCCCATCTGTGTCACCTTCTCCGTGGTGCCTCGATGGAGGATTCCGCCCACAGGACCCAGGGGTGACCAGAGGACTCTGGCCCGTGGCAGGGGCCTGGTGTGCACTGAGGTCTGAGGTCAGCTCAGTGCTGGTGCATACAGAGCCATGCTGTCAGGAACCCGGGTTTGGAGCTGGCACTGACTGGGGCTGACTCCAGCCCTTCTCCACCTTTGGCAACAGTGAGGCGGGGGCAGCCCAGCAGAGATGGGATAGGGCAGGCGTGGGCTCCTGTGTCCTGAGGCTGGGCTGCCTGGGGCACAGCTCAAGAGGAAGCCAGGGCCTGCGCCTGGTGCCTGTGACAGAGCAGCCCTCACATCCTTATGGCCACACCATTGGCCTTGTCACCCTGCAGGCTCCTATGCAGAGAGAGCAGGCCTGGGGCCAGCAGGTGTTAGGGACTCTGCTTACCCAGTCCTGGGTGTGTGAACCAAGGGTGAGGACAGGGAGGGAGGGAGTTGGAGGCTGAGAAATGAGAAATGGATGGAGGCGGCCAGGGAGGAGAGGACAGAGTCAGGGATGAAGAGGGGCAGAGAGCAGGCAGGGAAGCCCTTGGGGGGTGCCCAGGAGGGCTAGCAGGCCTCGGGAGTGGGGCAGACCCACAGCAGCGCCCGCGGAAGAGCAGTGTCTCCCGAGCACGGGCCGTCCTCCTGGGTAAAGTGAGGCAGAGCTCACCGCTCCCTGCAGCTGCCTGGGTGCCGCCACTGTAGCGGGATGTTTTAAGGAATCAGAGAGACCAAGGGGTTGAGGAGGATATTTATTATTTAGGTGCACCAGCCCAGTCGGGTTAACATCCAAAGGACTGAGCTCTGAACAAAGAGTTAAGTTACCTTTTAAGCATTTCGCGGGGTGGGGGGAGATCGGTGCAGGGGGAAGCATGTTACAGAAGCGAGAAACAAAGACAGTGATTCAATGAATTGAGACATTCCTTACATCATTTCTTCCTTTTGAAGGAAAAACATGTTTTACGACTTGAGTTTCTCTGTCTGTGACCTTGCAGCTGCACAACTAGAGAAACGGTGTCTCCACAGCGCCTGGGAAAGGAGGAGAGAGAAGGCTCACTAGCCACAGAGGAACAGGCAGGGAATTATTAAAGGACTCTAGTTCTTTCTCTTTCTCAGAGGGAATTGGGTTTTCTTACATACAACTGAGTTTCTGTTTACACAGCCTTTTTTTGTTTTTTGTTTTTTGTTTTTTGTTTTTTTTTTTGAGGTGGAGTCTTGCTCTGTCGCCCAGGCTCGAGTGCAGTGGCGCGATCTCGGCTCACTGCAACCTCTGCCTCCCAGGTTCAAGCAATTCTCCTGCCTCAGCCTCCTGAGTAGCTGGGATTACAGGCACACGCCACCATGCCCAGCTAATGTTTTTATATTTTTAGTAGAGATAGGGTTTCACCATATTGGCCAGGCTGTTCTTGAACTTCTGACCTCAAGTGATCCACCCACCTCGGCCTCCCAAAGTGCTGGGATTACAGGCGTGAGCCACCGCGCCCGGCCTACACATTCTTTAATTTCTTTTAATTCCTGTTCCACCACATCCTGGTCGCCCTTGCCCTGGGCTCCCTGTGGAGGCAGGAACGGCCCCATCATCGCAGCCACCAGAATCCAGTCCCGGGGGTCTAACAGGTCCCACTCAGTACCCAGAGGCAAAAATGGGCATGGCCAGAAAGCGTGTCTCAGAGCCCCTCCACCTCCTCCCCACCCCCCACCCTGGGACCCCAAATAGCCCAGGCTGCTGCACCACCACTGCCCTGGGACATCACACTGCGAGCCAGGGCTGCCCGGCCCCACCCTTGCCCAAGGCTGCTTCCTGGGCAAGGATGCAACCAGCTGGCTCCAGCTGCAGGGCTGCCAGGCACCCCAAGGTGAGGGACAGGGGCCCAGCTCCTGAGAGGGCTGGATCACAGGGTCGGGACACTGGCCGCTGAGAAGGAGCATGGGCTGCTGGGTGGAGATGAGTGCGTGCCGTCACTGCAGAAGGTGGCCCACACCTGCCTCCCATCCGTTTGTGTCCTGTCTGTCCCCATGTCCGCAGCTGCAGCCGAAGCCATATGGTGTCACCAGTGCACGGGCTTCGGAGGGTGCTCCCATGGATCCAGATGCCTGAGGGACTCCACCCACTGTGTCACCACTGCCACCCGTAAGTGGGAACAGTGGTGGGCTGGCCACGTCCTTCTTGCCCAGGTGGGAAGATGTGGGCTCAGAGGGTGACAGAGCCAGATCCAGGCACCCAGTAAGTCAGAAGCATAGTGGGGAGTGTCCGCCAGTGATGCCCAGGGAAGGGTATGAGCAAAGGGCCACGTCTGCCCCAGGAGGGCCCGTATGCTTCATGTACCTGGGGCGTCTGACCCTCAGCTCAGTGGCAGATGGGGCAGCAGGGTCTGGGCAAACCAGAGCCTCAGGGAGCTCCATGGTTTCTCTCCTGCCCACTCAGGGGTCCTCAGCAACACCGAGGATTTGCCTCTGGTCACCAAGATGTGCCACATAGGCTGCCCCGATATCCCCAGCCTGGGCCTGGGCCCCTACGTATCCATCGCTTGCTGCCAGACCAGCCTCTGCAACCATGACTGACGGCTGCCCTCCTCCAGGCCCCCGGACGCTCAGCCCCCACAGCCCCCACAGCCTGGCGCCAGGGCTCACAGCTGCCCCTCCCTCGAGACTGGCCAGCCCACCTCTCCCGGCCTCTGCAGCCACCGTCCAGCACCGCTTGTCCTAGGGAAGTCCTGCGTGGAGTCTTGCCTCAATCTGCTGCCGTCCAAGCCTGGGGCCCATCGTGCCTGCCGCCCCTTCAGGTCCCGACCTCCCCACAATAAAATGTGATTGGATCGTGTGGTACAAGCTATGCAGTGAGAGTGGAGTCCTGCCATCCTGGGCTTGGGAGTAGAGTGGAGTAGATTTGGGGGTGCCTCGCTCCCTCACCCCAGGCTAAACCCTACTACCCCACCCCCACTTGCCCTTATCACGGAACAGGCCCTCCCGCCTCCAGCCAACTGTCAGGCCTGAAGGGCACGGGGGCCCAGGCACCCCGGGCAGCTGCTTCTCCTGAAGCAGCTAGAGTGGGAGTTGGGGCTGGGGCACATGAGGAGCCCTCCACCCCAGAGCGTGAGTTGGGAAACCTCAGAAAAAGGACACCCCGGCTGAGACATGGAGGCTGTGCGGGGTGGAGGAAGGGAGGAGGTGCCATTGGCAAAGACGGCTGCAGCAGGCCTTCTGGAATAGGGAGAAGAGTGAGGCGGCATCCTCACCCTCGCCCTCATACATGCCCCTGGGCCAGTGGCCCGGCCTGCCCCTCTCTAGGAAACCCCCAGTTCTGGCAGGGAACACCACCTCCAGCTCCTCTGGGCCACTGGGTACCCAGCACACAAGGCAGGGTGCTGGGGAGAGATGCTGGGAGTGGGATGAATCAGACTGAGGTGATGGGCAGCTGTGGCCACCCATCTCAGGGTGGACATGGAAACTAGGTAAGTGATGTTTGTGGAAGTTGATCACTCCCTAGGCAACATTGCGTCATGGCCGAGCTTCGGGCTGCAAGGTTGAATGAGACCCCCACATAAGCCTGGCACTCCCCTCGGAGAGGCCGAGGTGAGTCAATACCTGCAGCACCCAGATCCCCCCGACTGAGTTAGCACCTGCCAAGAAACACACCGCCAGGCCCTTTCCTTGGCCTTTCTTGTTCTCACCTTGGCAACGTTCTCATGAAGAATCAGCACAGGAGAAAGCTGATGCAATTGTTAAGCTGCTCCACAAGGAGGGGGTGTCTCAGGCAGGGCCGCCGGACACTCAGGTGCAGGACAACTTTCAGAGTAGCCCCGGGCACAGAAGAAGACATAAACAGGGTGCGCTGGAGATACCCAGATAAGCTCAAGAATTGAGGTGACAATGGAGCACTTCTCAGATCTGCAGGAGAGGGACAGGGCTCACTGGCAGCCGCCGTGGAGCACTGTGGAGAGAACAGGATAAGGCTGGATCATCACCTCTCTCGCTACAGCCAAAGGCATGCCAACTGAATGAGAGGTTTCGATGTAAAAAGAGGAGGTTTTTTAATGCTAGATAATTCAGAATAGAAAAGCAAGACACGTTCCTGAAAGGATTGGACAGAGTTGCTGTAAACACAGCAATTCCACCCCCGCCCCCCCACCTGGTCCAAATTCCACCCCCAGGCCAAATTCCACGCCCAGGCATGGCCCAAGAAGAGTAAACACGAGTCCACACAAAAGCCTGTGCACAAACATTCACAGTGGCATTATTCATAGCAGACAAAAGGCGGGAAAAACCCAAATGCCCATCAACTGATGGAGGGATCACAGAGATGACAGACCCACACCACAGAATGTTATTCAGCCACATAAAGGAATGAAGCCCCGACCCACGCCAAAACACGGGAGAGCCTTGAAAACACGCGGGGGGTGCTTGAAAACACGATGCTAAGTGAGACAGAAGCCGCGCACAACAGGCCAAGCAGTGTACAGTTCTATTTCTCAGAAGTGGCCGGAATAGGGAGCTCTATAGGGAGGAAAAGGAGATGAGTGGTTGCTAGGTGGTGGCAGGGATTATTAAGAAATACGGAAAGGCCGGGTGTGGCGGCTCACGCCTGTATTCCCAGCACACTGGGAGGCCGAGGAGGGTGGATCACCTGAGGTCAGGAGTTTGAGACCAGCCTGAGCAACATGGTGAGACTCCGTTTCTACTAAAAATACAAAAATTAGCCAGGTGTGGTGGCGCATGCCCGTAATCCCAGCCACTTGGGAGGCTGAGGCACGAGAATCACTTGAACCAGGGAGGCGGAGGTTGCAGTGAGCTAAGATGGTGCCACTGCACTCCAGCCTGGGCAAAGGAGCGAGACTCCATCTTAAAAAGCAAACAAACAAACAAACAAAAAGAAATAGGGAAAAGCCAGAGTACTTTTCCTGCTCTCACACAATACAGTACTTCACCCCATCACCAAAGTGTGTGTATTTCTCTCCACCAGCAACCAAGCCACACTGCCGTGGACACCAACTGGATGTCCTCAATTCAATTCCGACACCATTCCTGTGGCGGTCACGTCAGATCCCGCAGGTGGAGGGCTCAGTGCCACGCAGTGAGCCCCACTTCCAATGCCAGTCGCAAGCCCCAGGTGTGGCCCGTGCTTCTGACCAACCTGCCATGAATCAGGGTTCCCACAACCCCCTCCTCGGGTTTGATGACTTGCTGGAGCGGCTCATAGAACTCAGGGACACACTGAGCCGCGTTTACCCATTTATGACACAGGCTGTGACGAAGGTGTGGACGCACAGCAGGTGGGGGAGACGCGTGGGGCAGGCACAGGGAGGGGCTCAGAGCTTCCAGGCCCTCCCAGTGCCACCCCCAGACACCTGCGCATGTTCTGCTCTCGGAGGCTCCCTGAGCCCTGTCCTTTTGGGAAATTTACAGAGGCTTCATTACGTAGGCATGATGGATTAAACTACTGGCCACTGACCAACCCAACCTGCAGCCCCTCCCCTCCCCTGAAGGCTGGGGGTGGGGCTGAAGTCCCAGCTCTCTAATCCCGTTGTCCCTCATCCTGAAGCTCCCTGGGGACCCCCAGTCACCAGTCCTCTCATTAGCATACAAAAGATGCCCTTGCCACTCCAGAGATTCCAAGGGTTTTAAGAGCTGTATGTCAGGAAACCAAAATATCCATCTCACAATCTCACAAAATAAGCAATGTCAGAAAACCAAAATATCCATCTCACAATCTCACAAAATAACCACTTCACGTTCTCACAGTGAATGGAGCAAAGATAGCGCTGAAGCGTTCAAGGTTTCTTTTCAAGATGATGAAAATGGGCTAAAACTGCGAATATGGTAAAAACCACTGAGTTACCCACTGTAAACGGGTGGATTGTATGGTGCGTGAGAAACCACTGAATTACCCACTGTAAATGGGTGGATTGTATGCTGTGTGAGAAACCACTGAATTAGCCACTGTAAACGGGTGGATTGTATGGTGCGTGAGAAACCACTGAATTAGCCACTGTAAACGGGTGGATTGTATGGTGCGTGAGAAACCACTGAATTACCCACTGTAAACGGGTGGATTGTATGGTGCGTGAGAAACCACTGAATTACCCACTGTAAACGGGTGGATTGTATGCTGCATGACAAACCACTGAATTACCCACTGTAAACGGGTGGATTGTATGGTGCGTGAGAAACCACTGAATTAGCCACTGTAAACGGGTGGATTGTATGGTGCGTGAGAAACCACTGAATTACCCACTGTAAACGGGTGGATTGTATGGTGCGTGAGAAACCACTGAATTACCCACTGTAAACGGGTGGATTGTATGCTGCATGACAAACCACTGAATTACCCACTGTAAACGGGTGGATTGTATGGTGCGTGAGAAACCACTGAATTAGCCACTGTAAACGGGTGGATTGTATGGTGCGTGAGAAACCACTGAATTACCCACTGTAAACGGGTGGATTGTATGCTGCGTGACAAACCACTGAATTACCCACTGTAAACGGGTGGATTGTATGGTGCGTGAGAAACCACTGAATTACCCACTGTAAACGGGTGGATTGGATGGTGCGTGACAAACCACTGAATTAACCACTGTAAACGGGTGGATTGGATGGTGCGTGACAAACCACTGAATTACCCACTGTAAACGGGTGGATTGGATGGTGCGTGAGAAACCACTGAATTACCCACTGTAAACGGGTGGATTGTATGCTGCGTGAGAAACCACTGAATTACCCACTGTAAACGGGTGGATTGTATGCTGCGTGAGAAACCACTGAGTTACCCACTGTAAACGGGTGGATTGTATGGTACGTGAAAAACCACTGAGTTACCCACTGTAAACGGGTGGATTGTATGGTGCGTGACAAACCACTGAGTTACCCACTGTAAACGGGTGGATTGTATGGTGCGTGACAAACCACTGAGTTACCCACTGTAAATGGGTGGATTGTATGGTGCGTGAAAAACCACTGAATTACCCACTGTAAACGGGTGGATTGTATGGTACGTGACAAACCACTGAATTACCCACTGTAAACGGGTGGATTGTATGCTGCGTGAGAAACCACTGAGTTACCCACTGTAAACGGGTGGATTGTATGGTACGTGAAAAACCACTGAGTTACCCACTGTAAACGGGTGGATTGTATGCTGCGTGAGAAACCACTGAATTAGCCACTGTAAACGGGTGGATTGTATGGTGCGTGAGAAACCACTGAATTACCCACTGTAAACGGGTGGATTGGATGGTGCGTGACAAACCACTGAATTACCCACTGTAAATGGGTGGATTGTATGGTGCGTGAGAAACCACTGAGTTACCCACTGTAAACGGGTGGATTGTATGGTGCGTGAAGTATATTCAATAAAGCTGTTAAAATTTTTTTTAAAAGAAAAGACACAAAACCGGGATTGGGATTCATAAATACTACCTAAAAATCTAAAATAAAAGAAAAGAAAAGAAAAGAAAAAAAGAATAAACAAACTGAAGGACGAGACAAACAAGGAAATATTTGCCACGCATGTAACACGCGATGATTCCCTCCACACATAACGTCCACAAAAAGAGTCAAACTCTGTAAAATATTCGAAGACATTTATTCTGAGCCAAATATAAGGGGCCATAGCCCACGACACAGCCCTCAGGAGACCCTGAGAACATGTGCCCAAGGTGGCTGGGGCACAGTCTGGTTTTAGGGATACTGAAGACATCAATCAAATACATGGAAGATATACATTTCTCCATCCGGAAAGGCAGGACAACTCCAGCGGACGAGGTGGGGGCGGGGTGGGGGGGGGGGTGGGATTCCAGGTTTTAGGTAGATTTAAAAATTTTCTGATTGGCAATTGGTTGAAAGAGTTAAGATTATCTAAAGAGCTGGAATCAATGGAAAGGAATGTGTGGATTACAAGGGGGGTGGAGACCAGGGTTTTATCGTCAGATGAAGCCTCCAGGTAGCAGGCTTCCGAGACAATAGATGGTAAATGCTTCTCCTCAGACTGAAGGTCTGTGTTGATGTTAACGGTGGTCAGCTTTTCCTGAATTCCAGGAGGGAGGAGGGATGATGAGGCTGTCCAACCCTTTCCCGGCATGATCCGAACCAGTTTTTCAGGTTCACTTTGGAATACCCTAGTCAAGAAGAGGGTCCATTCAGATGGTTGTGGAGGGCCTTAGAATTTTATTTTTGGTTTACAGTAAATAATCCTTCGAGATTCCCAAAGAGCAGCAGATATGAGCAGCAGGTTTCCAGAAAAAGCCATTCAAGTGGCCAAGCCAAGGAGAAGAAATTCACCCGTACTGGGAATCACAGAGGTGCCAAGCAGAATTGCAAACCCCCAAGCAGGAGAGCGACCAGGCCACGCGGCGAGAAAGGACACGGACCAACCTCGGTGCTGTCCCAGATGCAGCCCTCGCAGGACAAATCAGCCCTGTCCAGGAAACTTCAAAATGCCACTAGCATTTCGTTGAATGCTGGCTCCCTAAAATGTCACCAAAAACCCAAGGACAGGTCACCCCAGCTCCCTCCAGCACTCCTGGGATTTGAGTCTGATTTGAGGTAGGTCTTCCAATGAGGGGGCTCCATTAGTGTTGAGCCAGGACTCGGAAAAAGTAGTTTAGAATTTTGAGGCCATGGGTTCTGAGTCTTGAGGTGTCCCCTAACAGTTTCTATTGAAGAGTCAATAGGCCTTTCGGGAAGATCCTCAATAAATGATAGCCATTTGCTGCTTTATCTTCCTGGAAGCGTGAAGCTCAGGAATGAAGATGCAGGGTGGAAAGTCATGGTCTAGGCCAGGCACAGTGTCTCACCCCTGTAATCTCAGCACTTTGGGAGGCCAAGGTGGGCGGATCACTTGAGGTCAGGAGTTCAAGACCAGCCTGGCCAACATGGTGAAACTCCATCTCTACTAAAAATAGGAAAATTAGCCGGGCATGCTGGCATGAGCCTCTAATCCCATCTACTCAGGAGGCTGAGGCAGGAGAATCACTTGAATCCGGGAGGCAGAGGTTGCAGTGAGGCCCGTCTCTACTAAAAATATGAAAATTAGCCGGGCGTGGTGGCATGCACCTATAATCCCAGCTGCTCAGGAGGCTGAGGCAGGAGAGTCATTTGAACCCAGGAAGCAGAGGTTGCAGTGAGCTGAGATAGCACCGTTGCACTCCAGCCTTTGATAGAAGGAGACTCTGTCAAAAAAAAAAAAAAAAGGGAAGGGGAGGGGAGGGGATCGTGGTCCCATGAACAGTGAGCCCTGTGGGTGGAGTTGGCTCCAGTTCTCAGTGTGATCAAGCCCTGCTCCTACCCGCTGCTCCTAACAGGGTAGGGGGCAAAGAACATGCACAGACACATGTTCCCTGCAGTTTTCCCATCACGAAGCTGCAGGGGAGCTAACCTGCGTGGGTGCAGAGGGTGGCACTGGAGGACACATCCCTTCTGGAAGGACACGGGAGACCTCTTTCCAACGTACAACGCTTGGCGCTGTTTGTGCCTCCACTTCCTTTTCAACATAGGAACACTGGTTTAGGAGCCATTGGCCTGCCCTGCTGGATGACCGGGAGAGCCGGAGCCCAGGTGGGGCAGCCCTTGAGACTCCCGGGAGACCACCCTGAGGCAGGCTGCGCAGGAAGGCTCGCTGGGCCCTGGAGCTGCAGTGGCAGAGAGAGCTCCTCTGGGTTCTGGGTGAGGGTGGGTATTGCCAACATAAATTGGGAGGGACTGAGCAGGGGACAAGGCCACAGAGGGGAACAGTGCCAGCTCCTACAGGGCTCTGCGTGTCAGACTCAGGATTGTGTCTCCTGCCCACTCAGCACCTCTAAGCCTGACTCCTTCCAGCCAGCCCCCAGGCCTCACTGGACTCTGCCAGCCCTCCCTGAGCCTTGCTGGCATCTAGCCTGGAAGGGTGCCCCAGGCCTGAACTTTTGACACTTCCTTTTCCCCGTCCACCCAGGAAGCTGCCCGAATAGAGGAGTTCCACTTTTGGAGGCAAAAAAACAAATGAGGCCATCTCATACGAGTGTGATCAGAAACTGCCCTGCCCCGGGCTTGGCCACAGCCTCCCACATGGGGCCTGGGGACCCCTGCCCCAAAGCTGAGGTGCTCACAGCACAAAACGTGAACAGGGTGAGAGGACGGAAGAGAAGCCACCAAGAGCAGAGCAGGCGGGGCTGTTCACCTGGGTGCAGGGGAGAGGCCCCCAGTGCTGCCCCTGTGGCACCTCACTGTGGCTTGGAGCCAGCAGGGAGCCCAGCCTGTGTTGGTGGAAGGCCCAGGCCTCCACCCACAACCTTGCCAGGGCACCGCCTCGTGCTGCAGGGGCTGGAAAACCACAGCTCCCTTTCCCAGGGGCCCTGGAGCCTAGGGGCGACTTCTATTTCCTGAATATGGAAGGCAGGAATCCAGGCAAGGCACCTACTTCTCTGCTGGCTGCGTGGGGTCCTGGCTCGCGGGGCTTCTGGGCCGCAGGCCACCTTGCAAAGGTATACATGTGAAGGCAGTGGCTCCTGCATAGGCCCCGCCCACCGCCTCCCTGATAAGCAGTGGGCGTGGGGTCTCATTCCAGGAGTCTTTCCTCAAGACCCATTGAGGCCATCAGAAGGCATTACCTACAAGTGACCCTTGAGGGTCAGATTCTGGAGCTGGTCATCTGACCTCTGAGGGTCCCATCAGCCGAGAAGATGGGCGGCAACAAATCAGCTTCCAAATCCCTCCCCTGGGATGAGGTGGCCACGGAAGGTGAGGCTTTGGGGACGGCATGTGGCTGCACTTCATCATAAGGGTGGGAAGGGGGAAGGCAAGAGCAGACGCCAGAAGCCACCTCCGGTGAACCTCAGCACTTGTGGAGAGAATGACAAAGTCGGGGGTTTTACTGTTTGGTGCAAGATGCAGCCAGGGATGGAACATGTCTGCCAGTGGCAGAAAAGGAAGACAGAGACTGAAGCTGGAGGAGGATGCAGTGCGCGTGGCTGACTGGCAGGTGGAGGGGTCACCCAAGGAGGAATGGGGGCCCTGGAGCAGACAGCAGCCTCCGCAGATGCCAGCAAGGAAACAGGGATGTCAGCCCTGCAACCTCAAGGACCCGGATTCTGCCAGTGCCTGAGTGAGGCTGAAGATTCCTTCTGGAGCCTCCAGGTGGAGTCCAGCCCCACCACACCTCGACTGTGGCCTGTGGGACCCTGAGCAGAGAGCCCAGCCGAACCCACAAGGCAAGAAAGGCCGGAGCTAAAAATGGGTGTGGTTTTGAACCCCTAAGTGTAGGGTGATTTGCTACCCAGCAATAGACACTAGTGCAGCCTGAGGCTCGGTTTTAAACCCCTAAGTGTAGGGTGATTTGCTACCCAGCAATAGACACTAGTGCAGCTTGAGGCTCTGACGAAGCTGGTGGCCATGTTGAACAGGTCCACATGGCCGGGAGCTGAGGGCGGCCTCCAACAACAGACAGACAGTGAGGAACAGAATTTGGCCAACTCCACACCAGTTTAAAAGCAGGTCCTCCCCAAGCTGAGCCTTGAGATGATTATGGCTCAGCCAAAGCCTGCATTGTAGCCTGGGAGTGACCCGGCAGCAACATGAAGCCGTGCCCAGACTCCAAAACAGAAACAGTGACACAGTAAGTGTGGGCGGCCACAGGATACTGACTGACCACAGGGCCTGAGCAGACACAGAACACTGGGTGATGATGGGACACCAGATGACCACGGACAGACCCTGGTAGCAAGGGACATGGCAGACCATGGAACCTGAGCTCCCATCCCACCCTGGGTACCATCCCACCCACTGACCTGTCAGCAGAAACTGCCAGGGACCAGGGTGTGGCCTCTCTTCCCTGCTGCCCTACCCCACCAGAGTGCCTCTAGGTGACAGACTTGAATCTTCACCCTGGCCCATGGAGAGGGATCTGGGGAAGGTCCTGGAGAAGGGCTTCACAGCAGGGGTCCAGTGTGCCCAGAAAAGAGGCAGTGGTGTGGGAGCAGGTGTGAGGGCCCCATCTGATCCCTGGATCACAGTTCAGGGGTAATTTCTTGAAGTCAGTAGCTCCGGTGGCAGCCTGACAATTCCTCAGTTTAGCAGCAGCATTACTGTGGTTGGAGGTCATCCCTAGAGGCTGTCTCTGGTCTCACGCTGAGCCCTGATCCTAGTTACACACTGATCCCAATACAAGTCACAAGCTGAACTCTGACATTTGTTACATGCTGAGCCCTGCTCCTGATCACACACTGAGCCCTGATCCTGATTACAAGCTGAGCTCTGACATTTGTTACATGCTGACCCCTGCTCCTAATCACACACTGAGCCCTGATCTTAGTCACAAGCTGAGCCCTGACATTTGTTACATGCTGAGCCCTGCTCCTAATCACATACTGAGCCCTGATCCTCACAAGTTGAGCCCTGCCATTTGTTACATGCTGAGCCCTGCTCCTGATCACACACTGAGCCCTGATCCTGATTACAAGCTGAGCTCTGACATTTGTTACGTGCTGAGCCCTGCCCCTGATCACACACTGCGCCCTGATCCTGGTCACAAGGTGAGCCTTGCTCCTGATCACACATTGACTCTGATCCTGGTGATGTGCTGAACTCTGATATTTGTAATATGCTGAGCCCTGATCTTAATAATAGACTGATCCCAGATTCTGGTCACACACTGAGCCCTGACCCAGAAGTTCCTGGTGGAACTGAGGAGGGAAGGGTGTGGTCTTCCTGGAACACAGTCCTCCCAAACAAAGCCAGCCCAGACCCTGGCTAGGCCACATTTTTCCACACCCCAATCAGGCAGCTGCAACTTTGCAGAAAGGCTTAGCCTGGATCTCTCCAATGGGGGTCAGGCAGATATTCTAGGAGGAGGTGAATGCCTGGGGGCCAGGCGTGTATTCTGGGTAGAAGGCACAGGTGGGGCCCCTGGGTCTGAGGACAGGAAGGAGCTGGGCCATGCCATGGCAGAGGAATTGGGTCAGGCCTCAAGAGGAACCCAGGGTGTGTAGGGTGGGGTGTCTAATCCAGTTAGCTGCACCCAGCATCAATGGCCAGTTGCAGCGTGGCTGAGTGGCACCATGAAAAACCAGACAGGCTTGCTGCTGTTCAGCCTTCACCCAGGCCTGGCTGGGCGGCCTTGCCTAAGTCAATTACTTCTCAGAGCCACAGTTCCCTTATGCAAAATAAATTCATTAGCACTGTGCACCTCTGAAGCTGCAGTGAGGAAAAGTGAGATCTGCTAGGCTAAGTCTCTGACACAAGTGGGGCGCTAGGGAATCCTTGGTGCCCCACTCACCACCCCTGCACACTCCACCCCCACCTAGTCTCAGAGAGACACAGGCTCTCCCAGCCACTGGGGCGAAGACCAGATCCCAAACAGCTGATGCAGCAGGAAAGTGTGGGGACACCAAAAGGGCCATGGCAGGGAGGGGGTGCGGGCAGGAGAGTGCGGTCGACCAAAGACAGAATTTCAAACACTGGGACAGAAGAGGGAAGGGCATTCCTGGCAGTGGGAACAGCAGGAGCAAAGACCAGGATGAGGTGGGATTTGGGTGCTCAGGCTGAAGAGCTCCAGTGTGAGTCTGGGCTTAGCTGAGATCATGGCCTTGACCGCCAGGGCCCAGGAAGACACAGGCTGCTTGTCACACATCCCTCCCCCAACCCCCACACCCTACACACTGGCAGCTGCAGGACTGGGAGCAGGGGGTGGCAGGATCACAGACCAGACACAACCTGGGGAGGCTGGAGCAGGCAGTCTGGGGGGATGTCCTTGGGGGGAGCTGGGAGCTGAGCAGGAGATGGTCTGAGGCATCCCAACCCAAAATCACTGTCCCCTGTCTGAGCCCCGGGTAAGGAACTTTCCCTCAATTTCCTTACCTGCAAGGAGGTGGTAAGCCCTGCCTGAGGGCAGCTTTATCAGAAGGTTAGAGATGAAGGTACCCAGCTGGCAGGTGGCTGGGGGCATGGGATTAGCACCCCCAAGAGACCCCAGCTCCTCCCCACCCCACTCTCTATCCAGGACCTTCTCTGCTGACCCAGTAGTTTTTGGCATTTGTCTCCTTAAGCCTCTGAGCACACCCTGTAGCTGGCTGTCCGGGTGGCAGTTCACTCCCAGGCCCCCAACACCCAGCCTGACCACTCAAAGGAGCTCGGAGGTGGGACCAAGGTCCTCCTGGAAAGATTCCAGCCCAGAATCTTGGAAGATCCAGCACACAGATCTGCCTTGGAACACAGATGACCTGAGGCAGGAGGGATCCCTGAGGAGCCAGCAGCAGAGAGTGGCCCGTAACACTCCCCTGCCCCCTTCCAGGCAGTCTGGGGGGTCCCTGGGCTGCCTGGGGTGAGCCAGTGGGGGCTCTCCTGGATGAGGGGGGTGGGGAGAAGAGCCGAGCACAGGGTGTGTAGGAGTCAAGGAGGGTCCCCACAAAGGGAAGAAGGGGCGGCCCCAGGCCATGGTGGCGGAGGCGGGGAGCTGGAGGGGTCAGGAAAGGGCAGGGAGGGGACCGGCCTGATACTGGAGGAATGAGGAAGGGACAGGGAGGGTCCCAGTTGGGTGGGGTGGGCCTAGAGGGCCAGGCTGGGAGTGGGAGGAGCAGCCTGGAAGGCTGGGGAGCCCCTGGAGGGGCGGGGTCTTCACACCTCCACCCTGGGGAAACTCTACCCCACTAATCCGCTCAGCAGACCAGTCTGTCGCCACCTCACTTGGTGTCTGCTGTCCCCGCCAGGCAAGCCTGGGGTGAGAGCACAGAGGAGTGGGCCGGGACCATGCGGGGGACGCGGCTGGCGCTCCTGGCGCTGGTGCTGGCTGCCTGCGGAGAGCTGGGTGAGGTGTGGGACCCACAGGGGAGCTGGGACGGAGGGAGATGCCACCCACTGACATTCACACTGTTCCCGGGAGGGCGCCCCAGGAAGGGGCCTCAGAGGCAGGAGAAGCCAGAGCTGTGGGGCCGGGGGTGTGGCCCCCCCGCCATAAGGAGGGGAGGGTGGAAACGGAGAGAGGGGCTGGCGGTGAGGGGGACGCCTAATGAGGGTGAGCAGAGGGTGGCCTTCGAGGTGGGCGGGGGCCCAGCCAGCCACACCCCTGAGCACCAGCCTGGGTGTCACACTTTATGGGGGGCTATGGGCACCCAGAAGGGCCTTGAGCGGGGGAAGGAAGGCAACCCCAGGGAGGCTCTGAGGCTGGGGTGGCAGTAGAGATGGAGAGGAGTGGGGAAACCAGACACATGGGGTGGGGTGACTCCCTGATGTGGAGCCTGAAACAACCATCAGGGGCAATGTCCTGGACTCAACCAGAAGCAGCTTGGCCCAGAGGCCCCTGGCAGATGGCTTTGCCCATTTCCCAGAAACAGGTGCACCAGAGAGGGGCAGAGGCCCCGCTGCATCCCCACAGTGGGGACAGAGGAGTCGGGCCTAGCTGTGCAGCTGGCTGCCCTGGCCAGCTGGAACCAGCCAGACCCACCTGGGCTGCTGCGGTTGGGGCCGGGGTCACCGGAGCAGGAGGGAATTGGAGCCTCTCCGGTCCCCGTCCCTGCCGGTCTGCAAGTCCCTGTGGGAGAGGAGTGGGCACCCAGACACAGCCCGGATGCAGCCTGGCACACCCTGCATTCCATGGGCCTCCTGGCCTGATCCCTTGACCTCCACAGCAGCACTTCCCTGATGGGGAAACTGAGGGGGTAACCTGCCCCCAGCCACGCCCCCACCCAAGGCTTCCTGCCCGAGGTGCCTCTTGCTATGAAGATGCCAGGGCCTTGGTCCCCCTGAGTCTCCCAAACACTTCCAAAGGGGCTTGGCTTGGCTCCTCCCAGGCCTTGCAGGCTGGATCCCCACCCCCAGCAGCCGACTCTGCCTCTGGGATGCAAGGTTCCGAGGCTGAGCCCGGCCTGTCCCCAGCTGCAGGCTCCTGGCATTGCTCCTGAGTTTTGGCTGGTAGGCATCTCTACCCTGGCCAGTGTCACTGTCCTCTTCAGACCTGGGCTTCCAGGACAGACTGTCTCTGGGCTTGGGAGGGGTGGAGCCTGCCTGACCGCCCTTGTCCCTTCTCCCCAGCGCCGGCCCTGCGCTGCTACGTCTGTCCGGAGCCCACAGGAGTGTCGGACTGTGTCACCATCGCCACCTGCACCACCAACGAAACCATGTGCAAGACCACACTCTACTCCCGGGAGATAGGTCAGTGGGCACAGAAGGCGGGCAGGGCCGGGTTCCCGGTCAGAGCCACCTCCAGCCCAGTCACACTCTACTCCCAGGAGATAGGGCAGTGAGCACGGAAGGCGGGCAGGGCTGGGTTCCCGGTCAGAGCCACCTCCAGCCCAGTCACCACCAGCCAGCTTGGCCCCAGTGCACAGCCACCACCTCACCCATCTCCAGAAATGGCTTTCTGCCCGAGCTAGGCCTCCCTCTGCCCTCCCCTTCCTTCCTCTCTCCCTCATGTCCTTCGGTGGGAACATATCTGCAACCTCGTTTTGGGGGGACTGGAGAAGCTGGGCACACTTACAGGCTTTGGTTTCAACAGTCACCTCGGGGCGGGAACTGCCCCATCAGGCCGGGTGCCTGGCACATGGTAGACACCCGGACAACGTCGGTGGGAGGAGAGAGGAAGAGGAGGGCACTGGGCCAGGAGGGACGGAGACCCGGGTGGGTGACCCCAGAGTGGGGCCTGCATGAGGTGGTACTGGCAGGGACCAGGGCTTGGAGGCAGTGACCAGCCCTGACGGCTGACTCTTCCCACACCCCACAGTGTACCCCTTCCAGGGGGACTCCACGGTGACCAAGTCCTGTGCCAGCAAGTGTAAGCCCTCGGATGTGGATGGCATCGGCCAGACCCTGCCCGTGTCCTGCTGCAATACTGAGCTGTGCAATGTAGACGGGGCGCCCGCTCTGAACAGCCTCCACTGCGGGGCCCTCACGCTCCTCCCACTCTTGAGCCTCCGACTGTAGAGTCCCCGCCCACCCCCATGGCCCTATGCGGCCCAGCCCCGAATGCCTTGAAGAAGTGCCCCCTGCACCAGGACTCCTGAGTCTCCTTTCTGGGCACAGACCTGCCCTGCTGCATCTCTGACCTCGTCGATGTCCCCGTTCCTGTGTGTCTGTCTCTCTTCCTGCCTTCCTGTGATGTTAAGCTCTATCCCATCGTGAGAACAGCCACTGGGCCTGGGACCCCCACACAAACCATGCAGATCTCTGCCCTCAGGGGATGTGGGGGCCTGACCAGGGTGGGGCAGCAGCTGAGACCCTTCGGCAAGGGAGCACCACATCTACCAGGGTGAAGTCAGGGCCATCTCCTTGGAGGAGGGGGCATTAGGGCCAAGCCTTGAAGGATGGAGAGATCTGGCAGGCCTTGAGGAGGGCAAGGCATGTCAGGTGGAAGGAAGGTCAAGGCAGTGACCAGGAGCTGGGGTTGTCCTCTGGAGCACCCCACTACCCACCTCCCCAGCCTGAGCAGGGCCTTGCCCCAAGGCTGATGGCGGAGGCTGCTTTGAGGAGGAGACCATAGGCTGGATCCCAGTGTGTCCACTGCCTGCCTCTCCAGGCTCACCCCACATGTCCACCTAACATCCCTGCCCTCACTCAGCTCTGCTCCCAGGGGTCAGGTGCCCAGGGGGTCAGATGCCCAGGGCAGCCACAAGTTCTGGTGCAGAAGGGGCCTTCATTTCACCTTGGCCCTAGGCCAGTGCCCCAGTCCTCCAGGCAACTCTCCAGGGAGTCCTCTGCCCTAGAAGCCTCCAGGCTGAGACTCCCCATGATCACAGGCATGGACACGCATGCACACACATGCACGTGGTCCTAGAAACACACAAGGAACTCAAGGACATGAGGAAGGACAGGACCCAGTGGCCCTCCTACCCAGCGCCGGCTCCTCCCAAGGGCTGCCCAAGGGAGGTCGTGGCAGGAGATGGGCCCCAGCCTGGCTAGGAGAGGAGAATGTTCACCCTGGAAACTGCCACTCCTCCTGGGCCCTGCAGACCCCCACTGAGCCTACCCACCTCACCCTTCCTGCTCCAGCAGCTGTTTCTGGGCCCCTGGGTGTCACCCTCCTGGGGCTAGACCTGTAGTCCACAGTGGGCGCTATGGTCCAGGGCCTGCTCCCAGGGGCCCCACCACCCGGAGCACAGCCACCATCTGTCAGAGACGCCTTGGTGGTAAAATGAGGGCAGCCTCCTGGAGAGGAAGGGGCCCGGGAGGCTGGGAACATTCTAGTGCTGTCTTGGATGCCCCATCCGGGCTGTGACCCTGAGCTCTGATTTTGTCAAGAGGGAGACATGCTCTCAGCCATCAAACGTCACAGCTCTCAGCTGGCTTTTCTCAAGACTCCCACAAAGTGGCCTCAAAGCCTAGGCTGAGACTCTATTTACACATACACACACACCCCCTACAAACACACATGCATTTCACAACCCCTCACAGAGACTGGGAGCAAGGCCTATCTGTGACCAGAGATCAGGACTCAGCCTGGAAACAGGATCAGGGCTCAGCCTGGAATCAGGATCAGGGCTTAGTCTTTGGCCATTGATCAGGGCTCAGTCTGTAAGCAGTGCCAGGCCTTGATCTATGATTGATGTCCTGGCTCCATGTGTGAGCCTGTGGCTCAGCCACGGAGTATGACTCAGTCAAGGGCCAAGGATCAGGATTCAATCTGTAACTAGGGTCCAGGCTCAGTGTGTGATTGTGTGATCAGGAAAAGGCTTCAGTCAATGATAGGGAAAGGGGCTCAGCTCAGGCCCAAGCACAGGCTATGAGTGAGGCCCAATCCAAGCCTTAGAGCCCTATCTTTGACCTTAACCTCACCATCCATGATGCCACCTTTTGGGTACCTGTCCCTGAGATTCCCTATGACCCAAGTCCTTCATCCAGGCTTACTCCTCAGCTTGCCAGTGGGGTAGGAGAGGCTTATAGTGAGGTGCCAGGGCAGGGACCCAGGGCCCCACCAGTGCAGTGCCCTGGGCAGTTTCACAGCCTGTAGAAATGGGCAGGGCAGGACATGGCTTGATGGGAAGAGGAAGAGCCAGTGGTTCCAGATTTTGGTTAGAAGAGGAGCCAGGAGCAGGCAGGCGAGGGGAGCAGTTGAACTCAGTGTCTGGTGGTGCAGGCCACTCCCACCCCTGGCGGGCTGATGGAGTGGGCTCTGCTCCTCTCTAGGAACTGCCAGCTCTAGCACCCTCTGCCCTGGCCCCATTACATCTGGCCCTGAAATCAGAGGAATGATGAGACCACCTTGCCAGCCGTCCTCTTTTTCTCTTCTACTCCTGACTTCCCCAAGGCCATCTGCTGCGACCTTCCAGAACAGGATGAACACCTGCCACACTTCCTCAGGGAGCAGGGCCCAGCCCACCCCAGGGCAGGGATGTCTGGATCTCAAATGCAGACAATACAGTCAGGACAAGGCTGGAGCCCAGCACTAACCTTCAAGAGGACAAAGCACCCTCAGGACCTCAGCCACCACCTCCCATAACTCAGCATTAGCAATCCCCCCACCCCACTGCCAGGACATCTTCCTCGGCCTCAGCCCTGTGCCCACTGTCATCATGCCATCTAAGCCACCAGCCAATGTCCCTGGGTAGCTATCACAGCCACCTCCAGCTCCTTGCCTCCCCCTCTCTACCCTAGCCCACTGTTAAATCAGCAGCCAAACCTGAGAGCTCACTCAGTGCCTGTCTATGCAAAAAACCTCAATCCTCCAAGGAACTTGACTAGCTATCAGACTCGCCTGTGAGATGTAATTGGCTCTGCAGCCTGGATACAGGGTCAGAACCAAGGCTGCGGGTGTCAGACTGGCAAGTCTGAGCTCCCATGGAAGAAGGCCTGAAACAGGTCTGTCCCAGTGGGGCAGGTACTGCCCTGAGAAGGAGTAAGATTCCCATTCCCAGGGGTGTCCAAACCTGTGCTAAGTTTTGTCAGAGAGGCTGCAAGAGCATTTGTACCCTGGGGAGAAGTCAACCTGAATGCCCACAAATACCCATCCTGGGTCACCTTGGAAGAAACAACATTAAGCCTGTCTTTAACTACTCATCCATCCATCCATTCATCCATCCATCCATCCATCCATCCATCCATCCCTCCTCCACCCACCCACTCATCCATCCATCTCCCCTTTTAGCCATACATTATTCACCTATCCATCCTTCTACCCATATGCCCACCCACCCATCCATCACTCTCTCCATCCATCCACCCATCCCCTATCCATTTATCTATCCATCCATCCATTCACTCATCCATCCACCATCCATCCATCCACTCATCCATCCACCCATCCATCCGTCTTCTGTCCAGTCTCCATTCATTCACTCATCCATTCATCCCCCATCCATCGACCCATCCACCCACCCCTGCATCTATCCCTCTTCTGTCCCCCATCCATCCACCCACCCATCCATCCACTCACCCATCCATCCATGCATGCACCCACCCATTCATCCATCCATCCCCCATCCATCCACCCATGCACCTACCCATTCATCCATCTATCCCCCTTCCATCTCCCCATCCATCCATCCATCCATCCTCCATCCATCCCCCATCTATCTATCCACCCATCCATCCATCCATCCATCCTCCAGCAAATGCTGCTCAACAGTCAGCATGGTCAGACCCAGGCTGTGGGAGAAGGATTCTTAGAGGAATGGAAACATGTTCTACTTGAGGAGATGACAGTCCAGTAGTCCCTCAGGCCAGCCCAGACAGGGCAAGCATCAAACACCAACAGTGGTGGTGGGGCTTTTTGACTGCATGCTGAAGGCAGTGGAGAGCCAGGGAGCGTTTCTGGGAAGAGCAGTGCCATAAGCCAGTTTGCATTTTAGCTGGTCTCTCTGAGTGGAGGGTGGAGAGTGTAGCCAAGGAGAAAGGGCCAGGCCTCTGGGAAAGAGACCGGGCTGACATGGCAGATAGCTGGGGCTTGGTGTGAACTGGCTCAGTGCTGCAGGCCTATCATGGATGAGAACTCTGGGGTTTGGGGGATTGAGCTGCCTTCAAAAAACCTGGTCTCCTGGTTCCACATGTCGGGAAAAGGTGTGGATTCATGGAGAGGCAGGAGGAGGGGAGGGCAGTCACCTAACTAGGGCATAAATTCTCCCTGCTTGAGTTGTGTCTGACACAGTGCTGCTTTTCCACCTGCCAATAGGGTGCTGGGCTCAGGGATGGGCCAAGTTAGTGCCCACTCTTCCCACACAGCGGAAAGGCTGCCTGTGCCCCTCTGCTGGCTGCTACTCCCACCCAGAGCACCCTCTGAGGACTTCCCTCCCTTTCAAAGCCAATGTGAGCAGCAGCTGAGAGCAGTACCCCTGTCCTCAGCATCCGCCCACCTCTGCCCCAAGTACACCTGCACTGTGATCAGCACAGAGCTGAGTTGAAAGCTTGATGGAGGCCCATCCTTTGCCAGATACTTGCTAGTTTTCACAACCACCCTCTGGCAGATGTTCCCCTGACCAGTTTATAGATGAAAGAACGTGGGGTGAGAGTCCTTGTGAGTAGACATGGGCTTCACGGGAGGCCGGGTGGAGCTCAGGCTCCAGAACCGGACAGTCTCTGACTCCTCTCGAAACACCTGGGTGTGTCTGTGGACCAAGCCCTGGGGAGAGGCTGCTCTTGGTTGCCATCTGTGCACCAACCCATGTCAGCCCCTTTGTTTGATTTGCAGTAACTACGCCCTCCCTTGGCTTTCTTGCAACCATCCCACAGCCTCACACAACTCACCTCAGCCCACAAGGCCAGGTCACTTCAGCTTTCACAACTACAAACAGAAAACCAAAGACTGGAAGGAAAAAGGGGCCACACCAAGGCCACAAATGGAGAGAGCAGTAGGCCAAGACCAGAACCCAGGACTCCTGGTGCCAGCCCAGAGCTCCTTCCAGCATCGAATTCTGCCTCGGAAGGGCCCATTCACTACACATTTGTCTGCCGCCACTTTTATAGCCACCCATCCCTCCATCCCTGAATTCTCCCATCCATTCATTCATTTTTTCACACATCAACTCTCTCAAATGTCATTCATTTAATAATCCATCCACCCATCTTGCCCCCATTCATCCATCCATCCTCCACCCACCTATCCACCCATCCTCCATCCATCCATCCTTCTGAAATCCATCCATCCACACATCTATCCAACATCCATCCATGCATCCACCCACCCATCCTCTGCCCATCCACCCATCCGTCCCCATCCATCCACTCATCCTCCCCTCATCCCCCACGCATCCACCCATCCATCCTCCACCCATTCCCCATCCATCCCCCACCCATCCACCCATCCATCCCCCACTTATCCATCTACCCATCCATCCACCCATCCATCCATCTATCCATCCCCCACCCATCCTCCATTCATCCCCCACCCATCCATCTATCCATCCCCCACCCATCCATCTATCCATCCCCCACCCATCCACCCATATATCCTCCACCCATTCCCCATCCATCCCCCATCCATCCCATATTCATCCCTCACTCATCCATCTACCCATCCATCCACCCATCCATCCATCCACCCATCCATCCATCTATCCATCCCCCACCCATCCTCCACTCATCCCCCACCCGTCCACCCATACATCCTCCACCCATTCCCCATCCATCCCCCATCCATCCCATATTCATCCTCCACTTATCCATCTACCCATCCATCCACCCATCCATCCATCCACCCATCCATCCATCTATCCATCTACCCATCCAGCCACCTATCCATCCCACACTCATCCTCCACTCATCCCCCACCCATCCACCCATACATCCTCCACCCATTTCCCATCCATCCCCCATCTATCCACCCATCCATCCATCTATCCATCCCATATTCATCCCCCACTCATCCATCCACCCATCCATCCACCCATCCTCCACTCATCCCCCACCCATCCACCCATATATCCTTCACCCATTTCCCATTCATCCCCCATCCATCCATCCAATCCATCCCCCATCCATTCCATATTCATCCCCCACTCATCCATCTACCCATCCATCCATCTATCCATCCATCCATCTATCCATCCATCCCCCACCCATCCTCTATTCATCCCCTACCCATCCACCCATACATCCTCCACCCATTTCCTATCCATCCCCCATCCATCCACCCATCCATCCATCTATCCATCTACCCATCCAGCCATCTATCCATCCCCCACTCATCCTCCACTCATCCCCCACCCATCCACCCATACATCCTCCACCCATTCCCCATCCATCCCTCATCCATTCCATATTCATCCCCCACTCATCCATCCACCCATCCATCCACCCATCCATCCATCTATCCATCCATCCCCCACCCATCCTTCATTCATCCCTGACCCATCCACCCATACATCCTCCACCCATTTCCCATCCATCTCCCACCATCCACCCATCCATCCCATATTCATCCCCCACTCATCAGCTACCCATCCATCCACCCATCCATCCATCCACCCAACCATCCCCAACCCATCCTCCATTCATCCCCCACCCATCCACCCATCCATCCTCCACCCATTTCCCATCCATCCCCCATCCATCCAACCATCCATCCCCCATCCATCCCATATTCATCCCCCACTCATCCATCTACCCATCCATCCACCCATCCATCCATCCATCCACCTATCCATCCATCTATGCATCCATCCCCCACCCATCCTCCATTCATCCCCAACTTATCCACCCATACATCCTTCACCCATTTCCTATCCATCTCTTACCATCCATCCATCCATCCCATATTCATCCCCCACTAATCCATCTACCCATCCATCCACCCATCCACTCATGCATCCACCCATCCATCTCCCATTCATTTACCCATCCATCCCCCACCCATCTATCCATCCATCCCCTATCCATCGCCTATTCATCCCCCATTCATCCATCCCCCATCCATCCATCCATCAACTCATCCATCTATACAACCACCCATTGGGACATCACAGGACAGAGAAACCAGAGAGGCTGGTATACCTGGAAGGACTGTGGAGAGGGGCACCTTAGTGGGTCTCACAGCATGGGGAAGATGTGGGACATCAGATGGGAGACCAGGCAATGTGGTCATTGAGCGGTATGGCATAGGCAGGCATGCGTGTGGAACAGGGTGTCGTGGGGGGCACGCAGTAAAGAGCAGACAACACAGTCAGGCCAGGAGGCTGGAGGGTGAGCAGAACCTTATTGTCAGGCGCCTAAAATCAAGAAACTCAGGTTTGGTCTAAAGGCCATTAGTGGGAAGGGGCTGGCAGTGATGAGGGGCCACTCCTGGGCCCAACCTTGTCAGCCTGAGAGTGGTCTAGCTGGCCCATGCTACCCTCACCTGACACCTGCTTCCTACCTCTGGTTTCTACTTTGCAGGTGTGTATCAGGTGTACACAGACCAGGTAGAGGTCTGTGGAGAGGGCTGCAGGCCAGGCTGCAGGGAAGGGGTGCCAGGCGGGGCTAGAGCAACAAGGGCAGAGGCTACACTGAACCTGGGTCTTAAGGGTCCCCCAGGCTGGGGCTGGGTGGCCTATGTGAACCCCAGAGGCACAGCCAGGACATGGGGGCTCATCAGAGGGGCAGTCTGAGCTCAGCAGGAAAGGCCTTCTCTGTCAGAGCTGTCCCAGGACCACTGGACATGGCTGAGGAACAGTGAGTTCCCCAGTGTTGGAGGTGTGCAAGCAGAGGCCTGGCCATCGTCCTCAGACAGAGCTCCCAGATCCAGCTCCCTGCCCGTCTGCCATGTTCCTGCCAGCTGCCTCCCCACTGGGCCCTTTACCACGTTCCTGACTCACACGGCCGGTTCTGCCACCGCCCAGAAGCCGGTGCCCAAGGGCCTGGGTATAAATCCTTGATGTGAGGCTGGCTACCTCTCATCACTTCTGAGCACGGAGCAATGGCCTCTCGCTGGGCTGTGCAGCTGCTGCTCGTGGCAGCCTGGAGCATGGGCTGTGGTGAGTGGGCCGCAGGCTGGTGGGGACCCTGCCTCTGAGCTTGTCTGCCCACCTCCTAGGGGGATGGGGCTGTTGGGGGTGCTTTGTGGCTGAGAGCCTCCTTAGGCCTCCATGAGGCTCACCCTCCTCATTCTCAGTGAGCCTCCTGGGTCCCAGAGCCCAGCTTCACCCTGGGACAGGGGTCACGGCTCCACTCTGCAGGAAGGGAGACTGAGGCTTGGTGGAGGGATGCAGCATTCAAGTCTGTGGCTCAGCTCAGTTAGAGAAAGCTGCCAGAGAGGCCCCTTGAAGGGCTGCCCGGGGCCTTGAAAGATGTCAGCGAGACTCCTTCAGCCCCTGCCTCCTGGTTCCAGGATGAGGCCACCGAGGTCAGGTGATGAGGTTCTGCCCCCATCCCTCACCCAGGTGAGGCCCTCAAGTGCTACACCTGCAAGGAGCCCATGACCAGTGCTTCCTGCAGGACCATTACCCGCTGCAAGCCAGAGGACACAGCCTGCATGACCACGCTGGTGACGGTGGAGGCAGGTGAGGCCAGGCCCCACGGCAGCCCTGGGTGCACTGGAGTCAGGGCCACCTCCCCCAAGTGCCTCCCTCCTTTGCTGGTGCTCCTCCCGGCCCAAAAGGCAGCAGGTGGGATGGGCAGAACAGGCTGCCACACCTTGGCAGGGGTGCCTTCCACGAGGGTGGCACAGCCCCCTCAGAGACCCAGTCCTGGGGCACCAGGCGCTGGAGGTGGGTGGGGCTTAATGGCCGGGGTACCCTGGGGGGCTCAAACCCCAGCTCTGACACAGACCCACTGGGTGGTGTTGCCACAGCCTCTGGGCTCGGGCTCCCATCTCAGCGCAGGCACTTCAGAGGTCTGACAAGGCCTAATAATTCATGAACAGGTCACAGTCAGAGGAGGGCTGGGCCCTGGGTGGCTTCACAGATGTGGACTATTGGGAACAGGGATCACAGGGAGGGTGAGGTCAGGCGACGGCGGCTGGGAGCAGTGCAGCAGCAGGCAGGCGCTGCAGGGGAGTGAGGGTTCTGACACTGGCCCACCCTGCAGAGTACCCCTTCAACCAGAGCCCCGTGGTGACCCGCTCCTGCTCCAGCTCCTGTGTGGCCACCGACCCCGACAGCATCGGGGCCGCCCACCTGATCTTCTGCTGCTTCCGAGACCTCTGCAACTCGGAACTCTGAACCCAGGGCGGCAGGGCGGAAGGTGCTCCTCAGGCACCTCCTCTCTGACGGGGCCTGGCTCCACCTGTGATCACCTCCCCCTGCTTCCTGCTGCTGTGGCACAGCTCACTCATGGGGTCTGAGGGGAGAGAAGCACACCAGGGGCGCCCTCTGCCTTCCATACCCCACGCTTATAAAACATAACTAAGCCAAGAGTGGACATGACTTTTGTCCTTCCTGGGCACTGACACCCTACAGAACTGGCCTTCAGGAGAGCCAGGCTGAAGGACAGCACATTCTAGGCACCTGCTCCTCCCTCTCACCCAGAGCCTCTGTGACCCATTTCACAGATAGGAAAACAGAGACTTAGGGGAAGAAATGCCTCCTGGGCCCCTTTCCTGATGCAAACTAGCCTGGCATCTCAGACCAGGACCTGTACCCTAGCCCAGGGAACATCTCCCGCTAAGAATCTCCCCTGTAAACCCTGGAGACATCGCTCCCACCCTAGAGAGGGAAGGAAGCTCAGAGTTGGCATCCACTTTCCTCCAAGGGTGGATACATCTGGCTCTGCCTGCCCAGCCCAAGGGGTCTTCCTGGGTGTGTGCACCTGGGCCTGCTGGTACCACACAGCTCCACGGTTTCAGTCACCTCCTCTGACAACTGCCCACTGTCCCCTTGGGACAGCTGAGATTAGCGGAGGAGCCCCGGGTTCTCAGGACCCAGGAGACCTGACTTCCAGGCTCGCTTCCCCCTCTTCCTGGCCCTGGCTGTCCCATCACAGTCACAGTGCTCTGTGCCACTGTCACCCCTGTCGGCAGGTGGGCAGAGCCAACGGGGAGCACGGGCTGCTGTGGGCCTGAGCCACCCCTGGACACTGCCCCTCTCCAGGCCCCAGTCCCCTGGTGTCTCCTGGGCTGCACACCATCTAAGCGCTGCCCAGCTAGGTCTTGGGTTCTAAGGCCCCACACATCAGCTGGGTCACGCCCGTGGGGTCTTGTGGGCACCTGTGCCTGCTGGGGTGGGAGCGGTATGCAGCAGGCTGTGGTCAGACCAGCTGGGCATACCCGAGGAGCATGCGGGAGTAACCAGGGCAGTGGCGGGGGTCGCCTAGGACCCCTGTGAGAGCCCACCTCTGTCTATGAAGGGCCCAGATGTCAGAACCCACCCCCTACCTCTACGCCCTCCCAGAAATACCAGGAATTAAATGCTGTCCCTGGGGAGCAGCCCCGACCAGAGAAAGCTGCCAGAGAGGCCCCCTTGAAGGGCTACCCCGGGCCTCCCCGTTGGCCAGCACCGGGCCGGCGGCGTGGCTTCCGGTTAGGGCCCGTCCCCTGGGTCATGGCCGGACCTCCAAGGGCCTCACCCGGGCCTCGATTGGAGCCAAGGGGGCAGGGCCTTGGCCTCACCAGGGGGACGGAGCAAGAAGTCGCCGCATCTCTGGCAGCGTCCCCAGCGGCACAATGGGGATGAGGCCTCCAGGCTCTTTGGGAGCGCAGTGGTGAAGGCTCAGCAGGTGCCCCTATCCCTGGGAGGGCACCTGCGAGGGGCCCCCGATGCTGAGCCCGCACGGCCAGCAGAGGGCGCGCGCCCGAGTCCCGGAACCCGCGCCAGGAAGACTCGTCCCAGAGCGCGCACCGCGAGCACGCGGCGACCCTGTGCGCTCTGCCCGGAACCTGCACTGCGCGCGCAGCTGGGCCGCCTGGACCGTAGGGGTCCGCAGCACAGAGTTCAGAGAGCCCTGGCCCTCTCGGCCGGCCTGGAGGACGCCCACCTGCCCTGCCTGTCGCCGCGACCCTCCCAGGAAATGCGTGGGGAGGCCACGGCCAGGGAGGGACCTCGGGAGGGCGCGCCCACGGGGTGGGGCTCGCGGAGGCCAGGCGCTCACCACCCGGGCGCGCGGGGTCTAGGGAGGTGAGTGGGCGTCGCATCCGTGACCGTCGCAGGACGTGGGTAAAGCTGGCGGGGAAGCAGCCAGCCGCCAAGAGGTGGCGGTGGAGGGGAGGGAGAAGGGCGCCCACCCGTGCCGCTAGGCCCTACTGCGCGGAGGGGAAGCAGAGGCCCTTCTGAACCCCACTACCGCGGAGAGGTCAGACCAGCCAGCGCTAGTCTTCCGCAGCTTTAAGAAATCTCTAAAGGAGAGGGGTGTGCAGACCGCAGGGCGTCCCTCCCCGCCCTCAGGAGCAAGACCCTCCACCTCCCCAAGGGTGCCCCCAACTCGCAGGTGTCCAGAGGGGAAGTCATGCGGGGAGCGGCGGCCTGGGCCTGGGACGAATCAGCCCCTTTGGCCTGCCTCGTTGAGCCCCTGGCGGCCATACTGGGAATTCCCTGCCCTAGTCTGTTTCCCTATCCATGAGGTGGGCGATGGTCCTGCTGTCCCAGAATTCCGGACACCAGGCACAGTAGAACTCCACTCAGCAAGGCCTCAGATGTGGGGATCTGTGTCCCTGGGCCCTGAGGGGACACAACAGTGGCCAGTCAGCTGACTGAGCCCAGAGGCGGTGGCTGGATGCTGAGACTGAGCAGGCAACTGACCTAGGGTGAGCCCCGGGGACACCCACCAAAGCAGTCGTGACTCTGTCCACCTGGCCATCAGAGGGCACAGTGCCTCCTCCCCCAGGACGACGGACCCATGCACAGCCACCACCCCAGGACCTCCGGACACACTCCCATACCCTGTACCTGTCCCTTCTTCACCAGCATCCACCAAGGGCTTCCTGGGCCCGACACCTGGACACTGTGCAGACACCTCCGGGGGTGGGGGCGGCTGGGGCAGAAATTCTGCAGCTGTTGGCCTTGGGGGAAGGACGCGGGCCGAAGCAGTTGCTGCCCTCTAACTTCTCCGAGTGGCAGGCTCACAGGAGCAGAGTGGGCTCCAGTGGCTCCGCCAGGACAAGGCACTGGTTCACTTCCAATCCCAGCCACCCATTCCCTGACCCGGGCCAGTCCTGTCGTCAGCCCGTCCTCCAAAAACAAGACCAAGAGAGGGCCCTGCTGGCTCAAACCTTCCTCTGAGCCAGCCTATGACAGCCCAGGGTGTTCAGCTTCTGCATGGAGAGAGAAGCCCCAGAGGCTTGCGGGTGCTGCCCATTCAACCACCTTGAAGCTTGCCCGTTGCCTGCGTGCACGTGCGCACACACACACACACACACACAAATGCACACAGGCACGCACATCCATATGCGCACTGGATACACTCATTCCTAGTCCAGTCACTGAGCCCTACTCCCTATCCAGGCCAATGTGCCTTCCACGACCCAGAGGTAGCTGCTGAGCCAGGGACCGCAGTGGCATCATCACATGGTGCCCTCCCAAGGCCCAGGCACCCTGTCCTGTGGCCCCCGCCCTGCTCCAGGGCTCAGGCAGATGGTCAGGACCATCAGCTGGACGGCATCCCTACAGCTTCATCTGCAGCCCCACTGGGAAGCTTGTCTGGCAACACTCAGCTCACACACCTGTGGCGACCCCACGAGCCACCTCCCCCAAGGACCCCAGAGAAAGCACAGAGGCTTCTGGCCAACCAGTCTGGCTACAGACCCCAGATTTGCTGAGCAAGTTTGCTTCCCCTCCCCAGCCCTACTGCCCCATCACTAAATGCCGGTTTCATAGCTGTTTCCAACTGCCCACTCCTTCCCTGGCCCTCAGAGCCTTCTGGACCCTCCCAGGAAGGTGGTCACAGCATGGACGTGGCCACACCCCGCCTCACTCAACTTTATGTCCCGGAGGGTCCCACTTCTCCCCACCCCTTTTGAAGGGCCTGCAGAACAGCCCCCATGCTCTCTCTGCCTCCTGTCCACCCACCAGTCCATTGACCTCTGCCCCCAATGGCTACCAGCACCCTGCCCGAGGCTCTGGGAGCCTGGAGGGCCAGACCCAGAGTCTGAGGCATGACCGCCAGGGTAATCCCTGAAGGAGGGAAACCGGGAACCTGGCGCTGGCATCTGTAGATGGGGCTGCAAGCCTCGAGAGCTGGGAACCAGGAGGGCCGGAGCAGGAAGGGCTGGCTCCCCAGGGGGCTTTGGACAGCACCTTCTTGGCCTCAGTCCTATGCCCCATGGGATGAGGACAAGCCCTGCCCTGCCAGCCTGATCCCTAAGTTCACGGGAGCCCAACAAACCTGGATAGCCCCCCATGCCAGACACCCATCTTGGGAATGTGCCCCAGCTTCCCTGGTCCCACCTCCGCCCCTGCATGGATGGTGGTGGTGGTAGCTCAGAAACAAGGCCCTCCCCAGCACGCTTGCAATGAAAACCCTTTAATGTTGGGCTTTCTTTAAATAAAACAGAAAGGTTGCAGCTTTCCCATGGTGGCTGTAAGGCAAGAACAGCAGTGAGGGCGGGCGTGTTCTATCGGGCAGTGCTGCAGCCCTTGACTCTGGCTCAAGGTGGGCTTCCTGGAGGCAGCGGCAAGGAGGCAGTTCTGGATGTGCAGGCACAGATGTAGGGGAACAGGCAAGCGGGCACAGGGCCCTGAGCTGACAAGCAGTGACCCCTGCACCCAGCTAGATGGGGCACCCCCTCTCTGGGAGCTGAGGGCATCAGCTGGAGCCTCAGGCTGGGACCAGCCCCAACTTTGCCTTGGTGACTCTGGGCCATTCCAGGCCTCAGTTTCCCCAGCTGTAAGGTGAGGCATTAGGCAGGAGGGGGTGGCCCCAGCCAGTGTCCTAGTAGCCTGGTGTCTCCATTAGGGAGACCTGAGAAGCTGCCAGGAGAGGCTCTGCTAGCGCAAGGCAGGGCCGGCCCAGCAGCTGACAAGGAACATGCTGAATATAGAGGACAGAGGAGTTAAGAAGACGCCTGCCGGCCAGGCCAGAGAGGGGCAGCTCTAAGGGGGTACAGCGGCCTGTGGTGCTGTAGGCCCAGAAAGGGTGGGGATCAGCCCAAGTCACAGAGCATGGCCCTGGTGGGCGGCGAGGGGTGCGAGTGGACAAGGACACCCCTGCAGAGTCCCACCCCCACTCTATTCCCTCCAACAAGGGAACGCCCAGCAGGAAGCCTGCTGTCTTTCCAGGAGCCCCTGTGCCACCTAGTCTGACCCCTCTCAGCCACAAGGCTACCCTCCCGTCCAGCCTGACTGGAGGTAGAGGAGGAGGAGGAGGCAAGGCCGACTGCAGTGGGGAGCCCGGGTGCCCCGTCCTCTGTCAGCAAATGCCTCCCTTCCATCTGCCTCTAGCCCCGGCCTCTGACCACCCAGGCTCTGCCCCAGGCCTGCAACCACCTCAGCGGAAGCCAGAGGGGCTGCCTGGCAGATGCCGCTCTGACCCTTCAGGAGTGCCCACTGCACCTGAATCAGGCCCAGGCCCTGGAGAGCCCAGGCCTGTACCCAGGATGCTCTGGTCTGGCCCTGCCTCGGCCCTTGCAGTGGTCCGAGCCAGGATCTAGGCTCGGGAGGCACTTGTGGGTCCCTCTGCTCCAGGCACCATCCTCCCCTACCTAGGCCCACATGAGTGGCCTCATCGTAGGGCCAGGCAGGACTCTCCTTTGCCCATCCATCCCCACCTTGAGGGCAGAGCTGGGTCAGGATGCCAATGCCACTCCTCCTTCTGCCTAGCGTGGAGCCCAGCACAGAGGGGTATCAATAACTGGGGGGGCCCAGTGGGTGGAGCAGGGTGGGCCAGGCTGGTCAGGAGGCTACTCCAGCTGGAACAGAGTATGGCTGAGACTGCCCATCTGTGGGCAGCCCCCAGGCCCAGGATGGTGGCCAGGGCAGACGGTGTGAAGGTGGCGGTCACTGGTCCTTGGTGACATCACTGAGCCCACTCTCCATGCGGAGCAGCTGGCTGCTGGCCTCGTTGTAGGAGATCCAGTGCTGCAGATCAGCGGGCAGCTCAGGGGGCTCCACCTGCAGAGGACAGAAAGGGGACACCCAGCTAAGCTACGGCCTTCCCACCTCTGGGCCGCTGCCCACACTGCTCCCCAGCCCGTGACCTTCCAAGATCCCCTGCCCCGCCGCCTGCCATGCTTTGCCCATGCCTCCCCAGGCTCTGCACACTTGTGCTACCCCTGCATACCCACCTTGACACAGCCCCGCTTGTGCCTGGCCCGTCTCCCCTAGGGGCCATCCCCAGAACCCAGCCAGAAACCCGTGAAGTTGGCAGGTTGGGAAGGGCAGAGAGGAAATCCAGAGGCCTCAGGGTGACAGGGGACAGAGGGGTGGAGGGCCAGCATGGGAGCCCTCCTCCAGGAAAGTACCAGACAGGGCTCACTGAGTTCTCTTCTTTCTCCAGGGCACCCAGAGGATGGCACTTCATCCCCCAGGGCAGCCTGGGCCTGACCACTCCACTATCAACCCTCTCCACACACACAGCCACCATGTGGCAATGGGAGCCAGGCTCCAGGCCACTCCTGAGGGGTCCACAGCCTTGCAGATGGGCATTGGGAGCTCCCAGGATGAGGGGACAGGCCAGGCACAGGCCCACCCCCACTTCAGGGTGAGCAGCACACAGAGGTGCTCAGAGATAAAGCCCAGACCTTCCCTGCAGATGAGTCGTGACCCCCATGGCAAGTCCCAGCAGAGCTGGGCCTGGACTCTCCCCTGGACCACTCCCCTCCCCACCTAGTTTCAACCATGTGACCAACACTCACCCCAGCCCAGCTCTTCCTCTTTGGCCACATCACCGCAGGCCAGCCTCTCAACATGCAAGACCCAACCCTGGCTCAGCCTGCCCAAACTGCAGCCGCGGTCTTTCCACATCATCGACAGAGTCTCTGCTGTTCTGGGTCCCAGCCTTCACCTCCCACAGGGACCTCACCAACCAGCCCATGCCTGATTTTATCACTCCCTCTTTCCCAGAAAAGCAACCCTGGCTCCCCATCTCCTCGGCCTCCGTGCCCGGCTCTCAGCCTTGGTGGCCTTTGCCTCTGGACTCTAGATGCATGAAAGACATAGAGTCCAGCACCTGGGGACAGAGAGAGATCTAGGCCTTTTAGGGGGTTCCTGACTGTAAACCAAAAATAACATCGGAAGGTACCCCCAACCATCTGAATGAACTTCCTCCAATAGGCCAGGGCCCTCCACATTTAACCAGAAAGACTAGCCCAGGCCATGATAGAAGAGGGTGTGGGACAGGCCTGTTATGCCCTCCAGCATTAACAACACAGACCTTAAGTCCGACAAGAAACATTTATGATCTATTCCCTCTGAAGCCTGCAGCCTGGAGGCTTCATCTGCATAATAAAACCTAGGTCTCCACAACCAGTATCTTAACCCAGACATGCCTTTCTACTGATAATAGCTCTTTCAACCAACTGCCAATCAGAAAACTTTTACATCTACCATGACCTGAAAGCCCCCCTTCCAGATGGCATCAATGTGAATCTTACATGTACTGACAGATGTATTGTGCCTCCCTGAGATGTATAAAAGCAAGCTGTGCCCCGACCACCTTGGGCACATGTTGTCAGGACTGGTGAGTCCTTATCCTTGGCAAAGTAAACTTTCTAAATTGACTGAGACATATCTCCGATACTTTTTGGTTCACATGACTCAACAGAAACAGAAGACCAGGGAGCCGTGTAGCTTTGTGCAGTGCCATAGCTCCTCTGAGCCTCAGTTTCCCCATTCCTGACATGACCTCTCAGTGTCAGAGGCGCTGGAACCAGAGCGACTCCATTTTGAGTGAGGGCTGGGAAATGAGGCTGGGGCCTGCTGGGCTGCATCCCCAGAAAGAGGCATTCCGAGCCTCTAGATGTTTAGTTGTAAAGTAGAGGTTCCTCTTCAAAGACTTTCCTACCGATCTAATTAGGAATAAATAGTAACTTCTCTTAGAAGCAAAATTTATTCAAAGACCTGTGCTAACATTATTAAATATCTGCTAGCAGTAATAAAGAAAGCAATGTACTACTTTAGGTTCTTAGCTCCCACAATTTAGCCTAAATATTTGCCCTGGCATGCTTATACTGGTCCAAGCGGGCATTAGGTCATAGCCTGTTCCTCTTCCTTATTTGAAGGTGTTTTTACCTTTCTCAGCATTCCACAAATTACTTCCTTCCTTTGTTCTCCTCTGCCTTTGCCTCTTTTAAAAAGTTGTACGTTGCTAGCCAATCGGGACAGATACAGAATGTGAGGTCCCATCCCAGTCAATGGAAACCAGAGACGGCAATAGGGTGGACGCGTCAGGTTATAAATGACCCTGTTTCCTTTGTTGGGTGAACTCTTGTGGCAAAGCTGATGGCAAGTGTGTCCTTTCTGCAGGAAGTAAAAATGTCCTTGCTGAGTAAATTAAATTTATGTTCAACTGCTGTTTCTTTACGGCACCGGGGAACAAGCATTTCAAACAATTTGGTGGCAATCCGTACAGGGCTACATTCTCCTGCGGGGGCGGTCTCTGTTCCTCTCTCATGAGGGAGCACGCTCCTCTGCCTCACTGCAGTGGCCTCAGGGATGAGAAATTGAGACCCACCTGGTGTGACGAATAAACCCGGACTCTCAGCAATGCAGAAAAAAAAAAAAAAAAGAAACTGGCCAGCAACCTAAGGTAAAGGATGCTCACATACCAGGGCTGCAACTCTGTGCACAGACCAAGGAAGGAGAAGCCACAGAAGCTGGTAAAGTACTTCCTTGGTGGTGAAATTCTGGAGGGCTGAATGTGTGTATGTGTGAATGATCACAGACAACCCTGCTTGCAGTGTGGTTTGTGTGGACGGTGACAAGTCCTCCTGCTGGACAGTGAGTGGGTCCCCTCCATGGTTCCGGTTCTGTAGTGACCTCATATGGCTTAGGGCAGGTCCTGCTGTGGGATTTATACCAGCACGCCTACACTAAGAGGGGCCTAATTCTCCCTTGGGGGGGCGACCAGAGAGGACAACACAAGTGGGAAGTATGCAAGGGACCTTTGGGGGGAAAGGAGGAAACAGGTCAACCTCCCAGGGCAGGCAAGGCAAGACACCCCTGGTTTGAGGGGTTAAGTCTTCCATTAATTTCAGGGGGTTGAACCTCACACAAACCTCCAGTAGTTAAAATATATATATATATATATATATATATATATATATATATATATATATTCAAAACTCCCTTTTCCCCTCTTCACAGGGAAAGAAAAAGGCTAAGCTTCACTCCCGCTGGTTGGTCCCCCAGGGGAAGGGGAAGGAGAGGGGGGAAAACAGCAGCATAGGTGGCTGGCAGAGACAAAGGAAAGACCAGCAGACAGGAAAAAGAACTAGGAGAGGAAGTCAGAAAAAAAGAAAGCAAAAACAGCAAGCACAGCGGCGCCAGGAAGAGAGCAGAGGAGGTGAGAGGGCATAATTCTTGCAATTTGTGGCAGGCATCTGCCAAGCCTCTGGGCTGCCGGGGCCGGACTGCAGCCATGCAAATCCCACCCAGCCCGAGAAACTAAGTGTAGGAAGAAAGGGGAAAAAAAGTAAAAAGGGGAATGGTGGGGGTGGATAGAGAAACTGACGGCAGTGCATGCCCAGGGGCTGGTGCCATTGCCCGGCCCTGCTGCTGCAGGAGCGGGAGAACTCAGGAGGGAAGAAGGAAGCAGGGGATGAAGAGAGTGAAGAGAGAGAAGAGACAGAAAGAGATTAAAATACAGAGGGAAAGAATAAGAGAGAAACTGGAAGAGACAGAAATCAAAGGAAGACATAGAGGGTGAAACTGAGAAAAAGAAATAGCGTAAAAGGCAGGCAGAAAGTTAAGACATGTTGAAGATTGTGAAAGTTGTAAGAAAAGCTATAAAAGGGAATTTATGCAAGAAATAGTGTATAATTTAAAAGTAATTAGGCCTCCTGAATGTAAAATTATTTAAAAAAAAACAGTTTATATACAAGGTATGTCAGAAAAATAAAATAATACTTTTAATAACAGGATTATAAGGAGACATAATATGGATTTTTACCTACATTAAAAGGTTAAAAAATATATTTTGTTTTAAAGGTTTAAGCAAGTTTTAAAATGTTAATTGTAAAGGAAATTCTGTGTGTAAACATATTGGCTAAAGCTAAAGGGGTATCATGCAGTTTTTCTGTGAACTGGATGTTAAAAGCACAATAGATTTTTCTTAAAGCACTAACCCGCTCTTTAACAAAAATTATAAAAGCTTAAAAAGAGTCTATAAAAATCTTACCCTATAGTCAGACATTAAAATTGAATAAATAATGTCTACAAGATTTTATTAAGTTTGGCCGGGCACGGTGGCTCACGCCTGTAATCCCAGCACTTTGGAAGGCTGAGGCGGGCGGATCACGAGGTCAGGAGATCGAGACTATCCTGGCTAACACGGTGAAACCCCATCTCCACTAAAAAATACAAAAAATTAGCTGGGCATGGTGGCGGGCGCCTGTAGTCCCAGCTACTCAGGAGGCTGAGGCAGGAGAATGGCGTGAACCCGGGAGGCGGAGCTTGCGGTGAGCTGAGATTGCGCCACTGCACTCCAGCCTGGGCGACAGAGCAAGACTCTGTCTCAAAAAAAAAAAAAAAAGATTTTATTAAGTTTAACATTAATAGCACATTAGTATAAAGGTAAAATTTAACTTATCTGGTATAAAATCATACAAAAAGCACTGTCAAATATAAAATGGTGTTTAGCTTTCTTAAGGCCTGAAGGTGGCCAGGTAAGTCACAAGGCCCCTCATGTCCAAGGCCACAGTGCACAGGGGCAGTGAAGGCCCCAAGAAGGCCAAGAGCTTAAGAGGAGGCAGGGCCGCAGTGTCCCCTGGGCGGCGCTGAGCAGGAATGGAGCGGGAGGCATCACCATGGGGCCTCAAGCCCCAGGATATGCAGCAAAAATGATATACTTAATTTATCTTCCAGTTTCCCTTCCCTCAGAACTAAAAGACTTTTAGTTCTAGGTACCACCCCTAGAATTTCCAGTACACCAGCACCAGCCTGAAAACCACGTCCTCATCAAAAGACAGAAAGAAAAAACTTGAGCCAGCCTGGGAAGAACCCTATTTTATGCTGTTAACCACTGAGACTGCCATCCGCAGAGCCAAGAAAAAAACGACCACACTCCAGTCAAGAAAACATCTTTCTCTCAGAATCATGGATGACTGTACTAGGACCAATCCTACTAAGTTAAAGTTAAAGAAAGCTTAATTTTCCTGTACCTTCATATTGCTTCCTTTCCTTATTGTTACTAGCGCCTTTGTTATTACTGTAACTAACTCACCTCAGACCACCGCCTTGAATGCTTGTTCTGTCATACCTTGCGGAAATGTAAAAGATCAACAACAGCTAGCCTTTTCACACAAATGCTTACGTCCCAGCCCTCTGATGGACATGGTTACCCCTAGCTCTCATTATCGTAATGACCTGCAGCCAAGATGCCAATGTTCTGCTCCTATAGCCTGCCAACTTTGTAGTAAACGGGACTATACACATTCAACTGCTCAGGAGCAAAGTTAAACTTCCAAGAAAAAGGTCTGTGCAGATCTAAAACCCCTCATCTATTTCACTGAAAGGACTACCCTTTCGAACTGTCAGCCTTATCAGTGTAACCCTGTCCTTCTCTATCACCACCTCCACCTTAACTAACTCTAGACCTGCCCTCAGTCGCTTCTGTGGTATGGGGATTGACATAAATGGAAAAGACCCCCTAGGTATTTTTTAAATACGCATTATTCCCCCATCTCCCCCTTCTTCAGTAGCCTCAGTTCTAGATCTCACACCGGTTGCTTCTACATCTAATAATAAAACTAGGGTGTCTATTGTAAAAATAAGAGATCTAAAACAGACCTTAGCCATCGAGAGAGTATCAAGATGCAAATCCCTGGCTGAAATGGATTAAATATTCCGTTCGCACTTTAAATAAAAGCGATTGTTACACATCAGGTTATAAATGAGCCTGTCTCCTTTGTTCGGTGTACTCTCATGGCAAAGCTGCTGGCGAGTGTACCCTTTCTGCAGGAAGTAAAAATGGCCTTGCTGAGGAAATTAAATTTATGTTCACGTGCTATTTCTTTACGGCACCGGGGAACAAGCGTTTCAAACACAGTTAAGGGAACAAATTAATAATGTTTACTAAAGAGACCCAGACTTGGGAGTGTCCAGATATCCCGATGTCTGGAGAACAAAGGCATTCCTGATTTTGAAACCCCGTCTCTACTAAAAATACAAAAAATTAGCCGGGCGTGGTGGCTGGCGCCGTAGTCCCAGCTAGTGGGGAGGCTGAAGCAGGAGAATGGCGTGAACCCGGAAGGCGGAGGTTGCAGTGAGCCGAGATCACGCCACTGCACTCCAGCCTGGGCGACAGAGTGAGAATCCGTCTGAAAAAAAAAAAAAAAAAAAAGAAAATAGTAATATTGATTCTTGCAAAATATAGTAATTAAGAAAATTACTCCTTTATCACAAACCCTTGTAGCAGATCACATCTCCCCATATATACAAGCATTGCACCTAGGGTGGACGCGTTCCTCCTCTTACAGGAACATGCTACTGGGTCTACGGACCAGCTATTCTTTCACCGCTTTACCTTAATAAACTTGCTTTCACTGTGCGCTGCAGACTCGCCCTGAGTTCTTTCTTACACAAGATCCAAGAACCCTCCCTTGAGGTCTGGATCTGAATCCCTTTCCTGTAACATCAGGACTGAGATGAGACGTTGACCCTCGTCTGCTCGGGAGGCACCTGTCCGAGACCGGAGAGGGCAGTGCCCTAAGGGCACACCAGGGGTGCACAGGCCCTGGCTTCCTGCACGGACGCTCCAGGCAACTTTTCTGGCAACTGGTCTGGCCACATCGGCCTGGTGGCCGTCCCCAGGGCCCCAGGTGCCATGCTGCAGGGGCGGTTCTGCCCTGCTGGGAGGAGCGAGCCCTGGGAGGTGCATGGCCCTCCTCTCTCCAACTGCAGAAAGGCCAGAAGGCTTTCAGCTACTCGGCTCAATACCTCAACCCCAAACCCAGGTGACCAGAACCCAGCCCTTCAGCTCTAAGCTGTGTGAAAGGGGGGCTCAGGTCCTCGGGAACTCCTAGGAACCTCTTCTAACTGATCACCTCTCCAACCTATATTCAGGACCAAGGACCAGAGAGGTCAACACTCCAGCCACAGAACAGAGTACCAGGAGAGAGGAGAGGGGTGAACACGAAACCGTGAGGGGCCAGGTTAAGAAATGGCAGGAGGGAAGCACGCTAAGCCCGACTATGAAGAGTTGATTCGGGGACCCTAGGAACCCCCACGAACAAAGGCATCAGTGAGGAATGCCCCCGGTAGAGAGGGAGGGGCGGGAGCGGTAAGAGGCAGGACTCCAGCAGTATCCGAAAGAGGTGCAGGCAGCGGGCCTTCCCTAGGGGAGGGGGCCAGGGACTAGGAGGAGCCCCCGGAGGTCCCACAAAGGCCGTGCTCCGGGGCCAGGGGCGGGGGCCGCTCACCCTGCGCTGGCACAGGTGCTGCACGACGCGCTCGGGTGAGGTGCCCAGCAGGTGCTGCCGGAAGCGCAGCAGCGCGCACACGAAGCCGTCCCGCAGGCTGACAAAGCGCGCCTCCAGGTAGAACGCGCGGTCGTCCCAGCCCAGCAGGCGGGTGCGCACCTCGAAGGGCTCCAGCAGGCGCAGCGAGCGGCGGTGGCGCGCGCACGAGGCCGCCAGCACCGTGTGCGCCCGCAACTCCCTCAGCGCCCCGAGCACCCCGCAGCGGGTCAGGTGCGCGACGCGCGCAAAGTCGGCCTCGCGCAGGTAGCGCGCGTTGTTCATGTGCAGCAGCAGGTCCAAGTCCGAGGGCAGCACGCGGCCCGGGAAGCGCTGCTCAGCTAGCAGGTCACGGACGCGCGGCTGCAGCAGGCGCGCGCGCAGCACGGCGCACGGAAGGCGCACCAGGTACCAGACGTCCAGCAGCGCAAAGACAGCGAGCCCCAGGGCCAGCAACGCCACCAGCAGCCCCAGCATAGCGGCGGCGGCGGGCGCGGGGTCCTGCGGAGTCCGTGGCGCCGGTGCCGGTGTCCGCGGCGCTGGTTACGGTGCCCGCCAGGCCTCCTGGGAACTCACGAGCGCAGCGCGCCCGGAGCGAACCACAGCGCGAGGGCGGCCGAGGGGGAGGGGCCCGGAGCCCCGCCCACCGTGGCGCGACCTTCTCAGCGCCCTACGTGGTCCGTCCCGCCGTCCAGGCCCGCGCCACTTTCGCGTTCCCTGGGGCGGGGCGGGCGGCGCGCTGAGCGCCACAGCGGCACCTGGCGGCCGTGCGCGGCGCTGCAGGCGCGAGGGTGCACGCGCGCCCCGGCGTCTCCGCCTTCCCAGCAGCGCGAGACCCTCGCCAGGCTCTGAAGACGCGGCCTGGCCCTGGCCGTTCGGCCCTTCGTCTGAGCGCAAAGGCTCCAGCACCTCCGCGGCCGAAGCCGCGGGACTTTTCGTGGAAAATGGGACCCAGCCCGATCGCCAGCGGCGCTGCAGCGGACTCTGCGGGAACCTAGCTTCTGCTCCAGGACCTCCAGGGCCACCCCAGCTCGCAGGGCGTTCGCAGCGGCTCAGGGCGAATCACGCTCATGGTCCCCGTGCGCATTTTCAGCCCCAGCCGGTACCTCCTTACTCGCCCTCACGACATTCATTCCACCCCCTAAAGGTCCTGCCAACCCCAGGCTCTTCCCGAGCATTCCCGCCCTTCCTCCCTTTTGAAACCGGAGCAAATCACGGCCGGGCGGAAGCGGGGGAGCCCGGGTGAGAGTCAGTGACTCAGCTGCGGACTCCAAGTGTCGCCGGAGGCCCTGGGGCGCAGGCCCAGCGGGCTGTCGCACAGCTCGGCTGTCCTGTGCCCCTTCCTGACGAGGCTGGGGAGGAAAGGCGGCCCAGAGAAGGCCGGACCAGCTCTCCCCGTCAGCCCCAGGCTCTCGAATGACAGCGGATGCCAGCGACCGGGGATGGGGTCCCGGAATTGCTGGGTTAAACAAGCTCCGGATTCAGGCCTGGGCCTGGGCTGGGGTTCCAGGGTTCTGGACCGCCCTCAAAGAAGGAGCTCCCTGGGGCGGCACCTGGCTCTGCTTGATAGCCCCAGGGACAGGGAGCTCACTACCTATCAGGGCAGCTCCCCCAGTGCCGAGACCAGCTCGGTCCTGGAGACCCTAACCCAGCGGTGCTAGAGGAATTAAAGATACACACAGAAATATAGAGGTGTGGAGTGGGAAATCAGGCGTCTCACAGCCTTCAGAGCTGAGAGCCTCCAACAGAGATTTACCCACGTGTTTATTCACAGCAAGCCAGTGATAAGCACAGTTTCTACAGATTATAGATTAAAAGTACCCCTTAGGGAAACAAAGGGATGGGCCAAAATAAAGGGGTGGGTTTGGCTAGTTATCTGCAGCAGGGGCATGTCCTTAAGTCACAGATGGCTCATGCTATTGTTTGTGGTTTAAGAACGCCTTTAAGCGGTTTTCTGCCCTGGGTGGGCCAGGTGTTCCTTGCCCTTATTCCGGTAAACCCACAACCTCCCAGCGTGGGCATCATGGCCATCATGAACATGTTACAGTGCTGCAGAGATTTTGTTTATGGCCAGATTTTGGGGGCCTATTCCCAACACCCTAGCATTGCTCACACTTGTCCCTGAAGTGTCACCTTGTCGTAGCTGGGCTCTGAGCCCTCTGCCCCAGGGAGGGGTGGCCTTTTGGGCTGAAGGGACTGAGGACATAGCCGTTGAGCCTGTTGGCCATTGCTCAAAGAATGCAGCCTCCTGGTCACCCATGTTGTCCCCTTGCCAACAAAAAGAGTGAAACACTGTGCAATGTTTGAAGAGATTTATTCTGAGCCAAATCTAAGTGACTGTGGCCTGTCACACGGCCTCAGAAGATCCTGAGAACTTGTACCCAGAGTGGTCAGCCTGCAACTGGGTTTTACAAATTTTAGGGAGACATAAGACATCAATGAATACTTGCAGGATGGACATTGGTTTGGTCCAGAAAGGTGGGGACAACTGGAAGTGACAGAGGGACTTCTAGGTCATAGGCAGATTCAAAGATTTTCTGATTGGCAATTGATTGAAAGAGTTAAGTTGACCGGGCATGGTGGGCCATTTCTATAATCCTTGCCATGGGGAGGCTGAGGACCATTTGAGCCCAGGAGTTAGATACCAGCTTGGGCAACATAGAGAGACCTCACTTCTCCAAAAAAAAAAAAAAAAAAAAAGTTATTTTTTAAAGACTTAGCATTAATAGAAAGGAATGTCTGGTTAAGATAAGGGGTCGTGGAGACCAGTGTTTCATGATCAGATGAAGCCTCCAGGTAGCAGGCTTCAGAGAGAATAGATTGTAAATGTTTCTCATCAGACTTAAAGAGTCTGTTCTCTCAGTCTTTAAGGGGTGTGTTGATGTTACTGCTGGTCAGCTGGGCCTGAAATCCAAAGGGAGGAGGGTACAGTGAGGCATATCCAACACCCATTTCCTGTCGTGGTCTGAACTAGTGTTTCAGGTTAACCCTGGACTGCCCTTGGTCAAGAGCAGGGGTGCATTCAGATGGTGGGGGTGCTTAGAATTTCATTTTTGGTTTACACCACTGTGTCCTCTCCTGCCAGGGGAGGGACCCAGAGCTGGAGGCTTAGCCCTGGAGATACCGGTGAAGATGGATGAATGAGAAACCAGTTGGAGCTTCCAAGGTCTCTACCCACCCTCCAGACCTCCTCTGCTCCTGCCCCTGCCCATTCATTCCCAACTTCTGCTCTCCCAGCTCCCCTCCCACCCACATGCTGTTCCCTCCTCTTCCATCTTCCGCTTCCTGGGCCCAGAGACTGGGCAAGATCCCCAGGGCTCTCCTTGCACAGCGAACCTCTCCCAGGGTGCATAGCCTTGCTGCAATCTTACACAGGGAATACATAAGCAAGGAATACTTCTGTCCCTCTTGGACTCTGAAGCCAGAAGGCCAGGGCCTGGTTGGCCTCCTAACTGCTGTGTCCCAGGGCCAGAGCAGTGCCAGACACCCAGCAGTCTTAGCACCCACGAAAGCTGGAGGGACCCACACCTTCCCCATCACTCAGTTGCATCAGTCTAACGCAATGGATTTGGGCAGCTTGTGGTGGTTCACTGGCAGTTTATTGGGGGACTTGAAGGAGTCAAGGTCAAGTGGGGGACTTCTGGGTGCCAGACCTGGCCCTTCCTTGGCCTGGGCTTGGGGTGTCCAAGCCCACAGAGCCATGCAGGGGGAAAGAGCTAGGCAAGCAGGGTGGTTGAGGAGGTCATTAGCGTGGCCTCGAGGGAAAACAATTCCAAGAGGAGCCCAAATTCGAATGTCCCCTGGTGTCATTGAGAATGGAGAGATTTAGGTTATGAATTGTGCAGTTGGTGGGTAGCAAGCCAGGGTCCTGAAGATAGTCTGCATATCCCCTGGTGTCATTGAGAATGGAGAGGTTCAGGTTATGAATTGTGCAGTTGGGGGTATCAAGCCAGGGTCCTGAAGATAGTCTGCATATCCCCTGGTATATATCATTTATATAAGGATGTTACTTAACTATTGCTGTCTTCCAGAGGCAGCTTCTTGAACAAATACTTGAGGTCCTCTATAGGTTTACGGGAGTAGACTGTTTTCTCCAAGCAGGCCTGTCGTCCATCAGGAGAAGCAAAAGGTTTTATTCTAGAGACAAGTCCTTCCAACTGTACAGCTGATGGAGTAGCCAAGGAAACCTGGTATGGACCCTTTCATTTCTCAGTGAACTAAGCCTCTGGGCTTCCTTTTCGCCATGTCTTGAGTAGGACCTGTGCACCTGGGCTAGCAGGGAAATGATCTGAAACTCCATGACCCGGCTGAGGTCACATCTTATTATCATATTGCAAGATGGCCTGCTGAACTTGTCCCAAGTTAATGATGTATTTTACCACCTGATTTAAATCTTCGTCTAGAAGAAAGTGGCTAGGAAGCGGCTAGCAACAGGAGGAGTGGGTTGGGCAGATTCATTCTGTCCCAGCTTCCTAGGATGGAATGAGCAGTCCCTTTCCCAGTGCCCCTCCTTCCTATGGTAGGAACATGGGTTACAGGAGCCAAGGGGCCAAGCCGCTCTGTCTGGGCCACCTGTTTGGCAGCTTCACCAGCTCAGCTGTCTCCTCGGCTGGTTAAAGAACTGCCTGCTGGGGCCCTTCATGGTGCATGACAGCTATCTGGGCAGGGAGCTGAACTGCCTCAAGAAGGGACAGAATCACTTTTTTATGTTTTATGGGGGAGCTCCTAGGAGTCCACAATCTCCTCTCTTTCCAGACAGCTGCATGAACATGGAGCACTAGGAATCCATACTTAGAGGCAGGATATACATTAAGTATTTTCCTTCCCTTAGTTAAAGAGCCATGACTAGGGCTTTGAGCTCTGCTTCATGAGTGGAAGTGCTTGGGGCAAGGGCTTTTGCTTCTACAATGTGGTTCAAGCCAACAGCAGCATAGCTTGTCTTTTGGATGCCATTTTCTACAAAGCTGTTCCCAGATGTAAATAATTCTTTATCTGTATTTTCTAAGGGGGAGTCCTGCAGGTCCATTTGTCTAGAATAGGTCTGCTCTAAAGTCTCCACACAAGTGTGTTTGTGTCTCTGAAGTGGGCGAGGGAACCAGGGCAGCAGGATTCAAGGTCTAACACACCTTTAAGGTTCAGTCGAGGGTGTCTAGCAGCAGGGCCTGCTATAAAGTTAGGCTTCCCCAGCCAGTGGTGCTCTTTTATTTCTAACACATTCCAGACCTGGTGAGGAGTGTCAACCTGAAGGGGTTGGCCTCATGTGAGTTGGGAGGCCTCTCTGACCAGGAGGCTGGTGGCCACCACTGCCCTAAGTCAGCTTGGCCTTCCCTGGGCTACTGGGTCTCATTGCTTTGAAAGTAACCACTGGCCATTGGATGGACTCCAGATTCTGAATTAGGACATCCAGGGCTGGCCTGAACCTCTCCTATACATATAGGAAGAAAGGCTTCTACAATTGTGGGAGTCCTAGGTCAGGGGCCTTCCTAACTCAGATTTTAGGGTTTCATATGCTTGCTGACAGGCTTCTACCCAGTGGGATAATTGGTTTTCTCCACTCTTGAGTGGGTTTAAGTATGAGGCCAAAGTTTAGGATCTAAACCCAGCAGAAGCCAGCCATCTGCAGAAATCCGTGCAGCTCTCTTCTACTACCAGGGACTAGTAGTGAAGCAATGGCCCGCTTTCAGTCTGGGGCAAGCATCCTGGCTTCTGGGGTAAGTATGAACCCTAGTCATCGAACCTGTGTCTGGGAGATCTGGGCCTTTAAGGGGAAGACCTTATATTCCCATTCAGCCAAGAAATTTAAGGTTTTAATAGTATGTTCTTGAAAACTATGGAAGCCCTCACTAGCAATAAGCAAATCATCCACATATTGCAATAAGATTCCACTTGTAAGTTTAAGATCTCTGAGGTCTTTTGCCAGGGCCTTCCCAGAGAGGTAGGAGCTATCCTGAAACCCCTGGGGTAGCACTGTCCAGGTATATTGGGAAGTTTCCTGGGTCTCTGGATACTTCCATTCAAAGGCAAAAATGTAGGAGAATTTGGGATGCAATGGGATACAAAAGTAAGTGTCCTCTAGATCCAGCACCATGTAGAACTGAGTGCGCCTAGGGATCTGAGAGAGGAGTGTGGATAGATTGGGAACTATAGGATGACTGGGAACAACTGAGTCATTCACTGCCCTAAGCCATTCACTCCTAAAAGGAGTACCCTAAACCAGTACTCCCCTTTTGGTTTCTCCACAGGCAAGATTGGGGTATTACAAGGTGACTGGCAGGGCTGAATAGGCCTGTGCTGTAGGAATTTTTCCAGGAGGAGCTGTATTCCCTGTAGGTCTTCTGTCCTCAAAGGGTATTGGGGCTTGCATGGGTAGGGTACACTTGGCTTAAGTTTTATCTTAATAGGCTCTGCAATGATGGCTTGTCTTAGAGTACTGGCATCCCATATAAACTTTGCCACTTGACATACTATCTCTTCCAGGACAGGAGGTAGCTTCTGACCTTTGGGAGCCAGAAGGGCCAGTAAATGGATTCTCTTCTCGGAGGTACTGAGACTTATATTGCATCCCCTGGAGGGAAACTGAGGCTCCCAGGTTGGATAATAAATCATAACCTATTAAAGGAAGGGGACACTCAGGGATATATAGGAAAGAATGAGTAATACCCTTAAATCCAATTTCACAAGTCAAAGGAAAGGCAAATCATTTTACCTTCTCCTGGCCATCTATTCCCATCACCATACAGTTGGCATTGCAGAGGTCCCACAGGTTGGGTCAGGACAGAGTAGGTGGTCCCAGTATCCAATAGTTATTCAGGTTTCCTGCCTGCTACATTGAGAGTGACCTGAGGCTTTGCGGTGGTGATGCCAACAGAACGCTTCAAGACTGCAGCTGGGAGAGCACTTGGGCTACATCCAGCAGAGAGGGTGGCCTTTTCATACAAGAGACTAGCATCAAGAGGAGTGGGTTGGGGAGATTCATGCTGTCATGACTTCACAGGATGGAATGAACAGTCCCTTTTCCAGTGCCCCTCTTTCTTATAATAAGAACATTGGTTGTCCCTCAGTCCTATTGCTGCTGGTTGAGGTCTGGTCACCCCTTGTCTGGAGTGTTTCTCCTGCCTAGGGTCACCTTGAGGCAGACCTGTAATTATGGCAGCCAAAATTTTTGCCCGATTTTTCATTCTCTCATCCTTTTTTTCCTCCCCTGCCTGGTCCTTATTGTTAAAAACCTTAAAGGCCTCCGCTATCCACGTCACCTGAGGTGTCTTGGGGTAAGCTTCCAGTTTCTGAACCTTTCTCCAAATGTCGGGTGGAACTTGAGTTATGAAATGCATGGTAGTTGTATGTTCATTTTTATAAGAAACTGTCAAACTGTTTTCCATAGTGGCTGTACCATTTTAAATTTTCACCAGCTGTGTATGAGTGATCCAGTTACTCTGCATCCTTTTCAGGATTTGGTGTTGTCACTATTTTTTATTCTAGCCATTCTCATAGGTATGTGGTGATATCTCATTGTGGCTTAAATTTGCATTTTATAAAGGATAAGGATGGCCTGGGCGCAGTGGCTCACGTCTGTAATCCCAGCACTTTGGGAGGCTGAGGCGGGTGGATCACGAGGTCAGGAGATTGATACCATGGTGAAACCCCATCTCTACTAAAAATACAAAAAAAATTAGCCAGGCGCAGTGGCGGGCGCCTGTAGTCCCAGCTACACAGGAGGCTGAGGCAGGAGAATGGCGTGAACCCAGGAGGCGGAGCTTGTAGTGAGCTGAGATCGCGCCACTGCACTCCAGCCTGGGCGACAGAGTGAGACTCTGTCTCAAAAAAAAAAAAAAAAGGATAAGGATGTTGATTATTTTTTAATGTGCTTATTTGCCACTCACATCTGCTTGCTGACAAAATGTCTGTTTATATGCCTTGTCCATGTTCTCATTGATTTTTTTTTTTTACTGTTGAGTTTTAAGAGTTCTTTGTATATTTTAGATAAAACTCTTTGTCAGATTGTGGCTTGTAAATATTTTCTCTTAGTCTGTAGCTTGTCTTTTCATCCTAATAACAGAGTCAATAGCAAAGCAAAAGTCTTAATGTTGGTGAGGTCCAGTTTATCAATTGTTCCTTCTATGGATTCAGCTTTTGGTGTCAATTTTAAGAACTTTTTACCTAGCCCTAGATGGTATCTTTTTATGTTTTTTAGTCTAGAGATGTCATCTTTTTATTCCTGATATTGATAATTTGTGCCTTCTTACTCATGATCAATCTTTCTAAGGATTTATAAGTTTTATTAGTTTTTTCAAATAAGCAACCTTTTATTTTTATTTTTTGATGAATTTTCTATTAGTTTGAATTTCTTCTTTCTGTGGATATATTTGCTATTCTTTTTCTAATTTCTTGAAGTAGATACTCAGTTCTCTGTCTTTAAGAATTTTTCCCATGAATGGATTATTTTAGACCACAAGTTTCTCTTAAGCATATCTTTGTCACTATACCGCAAGTAATAATAGGTCATGTAAACAGTATAATTCTTTTTTGGAGAAACAGTGTAATTATTTTTGGACACTATGTCATGCAGGTTGGAGTGCAGTGGCATGACCATGGCTCACTGCAGCCTTAACCTTCTGGGCTCAGGTGATCCTCCCACCTCCACCTCCATAGCAGCTGGGACTACAGGTGGGCACTACCACACCTTGCCAGTTGTTAAAATTTTCTGTAGAGACGGGTTCTCACTATGTTGCCCAGGCTGCTAACTCATGGGCTCAAGCAACCTTCCCACCTCACCCTCCCAAAGTGCTGGAATTACTGGCATGAGTCACTGTACCTTGCCTCAGTATAATTTAATACAAATATTTTCCAACTTCCTTTGTGACTGTCTTCTGAGACTTAGAATATGCATAAATTTATTTCTTATCTTCCAAACCTTTGGGGATATTTTATTTTTTGATATCGGTGTTTTATTTAATTGCATTATGGTCAAAAACTTGCCACACGATTTCAAGTCATTGACATTGTGGAGATTTGCTTTATCCCCAGCATATGGACAAAAATTTGATGAACATTCCATGTACACTTGAAAAAATTGTGACTTTTTAGTTGTTCGGTGCAGTGCCCTGTATATGTTAGTGGGCCAAGGTTGTTAATGATGTTCAAATATTGCATATTTTTATTAATTTGCTGGATTGTTCTGTCACACACTGAAAGAAGTATGTTGAAATTTACCATTTCATCTTTTATTTCTGTTAATGTTTGCTTTATATATTTTGAGGTTATGTTAACAGATGCATACACATTTAGAATTATTGTATCCACCTGTTGGATTTACCCTTTTGCAATTATGAAAAGCCCTCCATTATAGTAATGTTTCCTGTATCAACATCACTTTTGTCTGACAGTAGAAACTCTGCCAGATTCTTTCACTTAGTGTTTGCCTGGTGTTGACTCAGCTCCACACCAACCATCCCCACTCCACCTCTGTGGCTGGCCCTAGCTCCGCAAACTCATTTCTGCTGGGCCAGCTGGTGCTGTGCTAAATTCTCCCACTAGGGGCACCAGAGAAAGCACGCAAGGCTGGGGAAGATGGGGAATGTGCTCCTTTCAGTTTGCTTCCGGTTTCTTTCCCAGGCTTCCGGTCTACCTGCCACTGGGGCCACGTGTCCTCTGGATGCTGCTGGTTCACCTGGCAGTGGCACTTCCCCACCTAGCTGCTAAAACTGGGTTGCTGGTTCCCGACTCTGCAGAATCAGCTTGATCTCCCCGCTAGAGACCTCAAACCACTGCTAGGGACACCTCATCTCGGGGGTCTGGGTTTCAGGCCGTAGGCCCTTCCAGCTCAGACCCTGGCAGCAGCTGCCATCCCTCTTCAGAGGCCAGATCCCAGTGTGGCAGCCGCCCTGGGGCACCTGGGGAGTGACTCATTTTCATGAATTCCAGCTTATTAGTTTTATTAATTCTCCCCTTTGTACCCCAGACTGAGTGGTGGTGGCTGCCTTGTGTGGTTGCTATTTTCCTGATACGTGGGCTGGCAAACCAAAACCTGAGACCACAGCCAGCTGCAGTCCTGTGTTCCTACAACCTGTGAGCTAAGAATGTTATTTATTAAGTAGAATATTAATAAATAAATAATAAACTATACTATAGTATCTAAATGTGAATTTTTTTTTTTTTACTTAAAGCATCTTCCATAGATATATATGAAATTCAAATACATTTTATTGGGACACACTGTTTTAATTCATTTTCATATTTATTGCCTCTTAGCACAATGCTTGAGCCTTGGAATACTTTTAACTCCTTTCATTCCTCTGTCACCTTCTGTGTTACTGTGGTCACATACAATTATTCACACTACTTATATTCATTATATTAAATCTGCTGTATGATTTTTTACTTCTATATATTATATCCCTAAAGTCCTTGTTATTATTGTCTTATACAATAGATTTTTATTTATATTAACTAATATTCTTTCCATTGCTTATGTTTGATATAACTTTTCATCCACCTTTAGGATTTCCTTTAGTGTGGTCTGATGGTGATACATTCTATGAGAGTGTGTTTCTTTCACTTTGTCTTTACTTTTGCATTTTGAAGGGTATTTTGTTTTGTAGAACGCTCTAGAATTAGCAGTGATTTTCTTCCAGCAGTTTCACAATGTTCTTCCATTGTCTTTTCTCATTGCTTACTTTCTCTTTTTGGAACCCGGGTATTATTCTTATTGTTGCTCCTTTAAGTATTGTGGCTGTTTGCTCTGACTGCTTTTAAGACTTTCTCTTTATTCTTGGGTTTCAGAAGTTTTGCAATGATGTATCCAGGTATGATTTTTCCTTGTATCAATTCTGCTTCAGTTTCTCAGAGTTTCTCAAATCTGTGGTTATTTTCTATCAGTTTTCAAAAATGATCTCCTGTATCTTCAAATATTGTGTCTGTCCCTTTCTCTTAGTGGATCCATGGTCTATCAGTTAGCTACTGCTGCATAATTAGCCGCCCCAAAGCCCACTGATGTGAAACATCCATTTTTGTATTATCACTCATGGATCTGTGGGTAGGCCCAGCTCAGCTGGGTAGCTCCGCTTCTCACTACAGATCTTGAGTCTACTGGGATGGTTCTACAACCCACGTCTCTCTTCCTCCTGGTACAAGTGGTCTAGCTGAAGCATTTTCTTCTCAGGATGATGGTGGGGGCACGAGAGAAATCCCAATCACACAAGCTCATCTCATGTCTTTGCTTGTGTCACTTCTGCTAATGTCATTGCCTGAAGCAAGTCATGTGACAGTATCCAACGTGAATATCAGGGAACTAAACCAAGTCTTTGGCTGGAGGAACTGCAAAGTTACATGGCAGAGGGTATTGTATAGCAGGGGTCCCCAACTCCACAGTCCATGGCCTATGAGGAGCCAGGCCACATAGCAGGAAGTGAGTGGCAGGCGAGCAAGGATTCCAGCCTGAGGTCTGCCTCCTGTCAGATGAGCAGTGGCATCAGATTCTTGTAGGAGCACAAACCGTATTGTAAACTGTGCATGTGAGGGATTTGGGTTGCATGCTCCTTATGAGAATCTGATGATCTGAGGTGGAACAGTTTCATCCCGAAACCATCCTTCTGCCTCATCCATGGAAAAATTGTCTTCCATGAAACTGGCCCCTGGTACCAAAAAGGTTGGGGACTGCTGATGTATAGCAAAGGCTGAAGAAACAGAGTCAATAATTACATCGACTTATATACAACTATGCCAGACCTTGTCTCCATGTCCCAGGTACCAAGGCTTTTTCTGTATTTTCCATTCTCTTTTTAAATTTTGTGATCTTCAGTCTGATGGTTCCTACCTACCATTCTTCTTGTTTACTCTTCCTTTCTCTGATTGTCTAATATGCCATTAAATTCACCTCTTGGGCCTTTCTGTCATACCCTTGATTTCTATTTCATTAACTTCTACCACTTTGTTATTTTCTTCATACCTACTTTCTGACTTTTAAAGCGGAATTTTGTTGTTGTTTGCTTTTGAAGTAGGGTCTCGCTTTGTCGCCCGGCTGGAGTGCAGTGGTACGATCACGGCTTGCTGCAGCCTTGACCTCCTGGGCTCACGGCATCCTCCCATTTCAGCCTCCTGAATAGCTGGGACTACAGGTGTGCGCCATCATGCCCATCTACGTTTTGCATTTTTTGTAGAGATGGGGTCTCATTTCGTTGCCCAGACTGGTCTCAAACTCCTGGGCTCAAGCGATTCGCCAGACTTGGCCTCCCAAAGTGCTAGGATTACAGGCGTGAGCTCACACGCTTGGCAAAATCGAATGTTTAATGTATTAATTTTCCAATTTTCTTCTCTCCTATTATAAACATTTAAATTTCTAACTGCTTATAAATTTCTCCTTGAGTACTGCTTTAGCTTTACCCTGAAGGTTTTTTTTTTTTTCATTTTGGTATAGATTTTTAACTGTTCAATTTAAAGTATTTTAAAATTTTCAGTTTGGTTCCCTCCTCCAATTGTTTTAGAGACAGGGTTTTGCTCTGTCACCCAGGCTGGAGTGCAGTGGCCCAATCATACCTCACTGTAACTCGAACTCCTGGGCTCAATCAACCCTCCTGCCTCAGCCTCCCAAATAGCTAGTACCATAGGCATGCAACACCACACTCAGGTATCTTAAAATTTTTTGTAGGGATGGGGTATTGTCATCTTGCCCTTGCTGGTCTCAAACTCCTTGGCTCAAGCAATACTCCTACCTCAGCCCCTCAAAGCTCTGGGTAGTTTTCCATCTTTGAGAAGAAGGCCTGATCTGTAATTGTTGGGTGCAAGGTCCCACATATGTATATTCAGTCAGTCTTGTCAGTTATCTTGTTCAGTGTTTTCACTATACTTTGCATTCTAGATCTATCAATTATTGAGCAATGTGTGTTAAAATATTTCATTACATTGTCAGTTTTGTCAATTTTTCCCCGTATTTACAACATCTTTTACTTCCTTATATTGAAACACCTCTGGAAGACATAATTCTAAATTGTTAACATATTTTTATAGTGACTTGAATATTTTGTCATTTATGTCTATTAATACTTTTTGCCTTGAGGTCTATTTATCTCATATTAATAGTATAAGTCCACTATATCTTCTGCCATTTTTTGTATGATTAACTTTTCTGTGGTCTTATGCTTTGTGTGTATCTTTTTATGGATTAAAACAAAAAATCAGTATAATAATTAGCTTCAAACTGGTGATTTTTTGTTTTCTTTTTTGAGATGAGGTCTGACTGTTGCCCAGACTTGAATGTAGTAGTGTGATTGTGGCTCCCTGCAGCCTAAAACTCCCAGGCTCAACCCATCCTCCCACCTCAGCCTCCCAAGTAGCTGGGACTACAGGAACACACCACCATGCCTGGTTAACTTTTGTATTTTTTTTTTTTTGTAGGGAGGAGGCTTTGCCATGTTGCCCAGGCTAGAACTGGTGATTTTATTTGTTGTCACTGCTAAGGAATAAGGATATATTTCTATCATCTTGTTTAGTTCTTTTTATTTCTTTTATGCTTTTCACCATTCAATATTGATCTCTTATTTTTCTACACATACATAGAAGTTTAAAACTGGATTTCTATCATTTTGCATTTTGGAATTTGCTCTTTATGTCTAATTTTTTCTTTCTTTCTTTTTTTTTCTTTTGAGATGGATACTTGCTCTGTTGCCCAGGCTGGAGTGCAGTGGCACGATCTTGGCTCACTGCAACCTCTGCCTCCCGGGCTCAAGTGATTCTCCTGCCTCAGCTTCCTGAGTAGCTGGCACTACAGGCGTGTGTCACCACGCCTGGCTAGTTTTTTTGTATTTTTCCTATTTTTGTATTTTTGTAGAGATGGGGTTTCATCGTGTTAACCAGAATGGTCTTGATCTCCTGACCTCGTGATCTTCCCGCCTCGGCCTCCCAAAGTGCTGGGATTACAGGCATGAGCCACCGCGCCCGGCCACATTTTTTCAGTATATCTGAACCTCCTTGTGAACTCTGCAAAAACTACAGAACAACTCTATCACCTCCCTCTTTCCTTTTATGCCACATGTGTCTAGTATTATCACTCTTATTTTCTTTAAGCCTCCATAAATTGGAAATTCTTATTGTGCTATCTATTCAGTGATAGTTTTGATTTTTCCGTATGTCTTAGTCTTCTTTAGCTGCCATAATAAATTACCGCAAACTGGGGGGCTTAAACAACAGACATTTATTTCTCACAGTTCTGGAGGCTGGGAAGTCCAAGATCTAGGTGCAGGCAGATTCAGTATCTGGTGAGGGCTCACTCTCTGGTTCATAGATGGCAACTTGTCATGATGTCCTCACATGGTGGAGAGAGAAGGAGCTCTCTGGTGGCTCTTCATATTAGGAGACTAATTTTACCAGATCGGAGGCTAACACCTATGACCTCATTCAACCTTAATTACTTACTCCAAATGCGGCCATTTTGGAGGTTAGGGCTTCAATATGTGAATTTGTGGGGTGGGTAGGAAAAACCACACAACTCAATCCATAACACCACATATTAATATATCTTTTTCTATGATTCCTTCTTTCATTCCATCTGCCTGTCTGATATTATTTTCACTCCTTTTAAAGAATATTTTGGGAGTTCTTTTAGTAATGGCTGAGCAGTGGTAAACAATTTCAGTTTTGTATTTATCAGAAAATGCCTTTATTCAAATATTCAATTCTACCTTAATTTCTTGTCATTTTCTTTCAACACTTTGGAGACACTAGTACACCATCTTCTAACTTCCATAATCAAATTGAGAAGTCAGTGCAAGTGTAATTGTTTTATTTTTTAGATGTATGTCTTTTCTCTCTGGCAGGTTTTAAATTTTCCTCTTGGCTTTGGAGTCCTGAAGTGATACTCTGAATGTGCCTCAATATGATTACTTTATCTGAGTATTCATGTCTTTAATCAATTTTGGAAAAACCACTCATTGTTATTTCTTCAAATATTGTCTGTACTCTCTTCTTCTGAAATTCTGCTTATTTCTATATCAGACTGTCTAATTCTATTCTCCCTGTCTTCTAGTTTATTCTTTGTATTTTCCAACTCTTATTATCTCTGGGTCACATTTGAGTAGTTTCTTCAGCTCATGTTCCAGTTTCTTATTCTCTCTTCATCTGTGTCTAATCTGTTATTTAATTTATCCCTTGAGTTTTAACATATGATGGTTATATATTTTTTTACTTCTGGATGTTCTCTTTAGACTTTTTTTTAATTTTGGGGGGGTCAAGTCTGCCCAATATTTTTCTGATGGTATTGTATTCTTTCCTGATGCTTTCTATGATGTTTTTTCTTTCTTTAAAGTTATTTTATTTTTATAAAACAAAGTTGGGGTCTTCCTGTGTTGCCCAGGCTTGTCTCTAACTCCTGGGCTCAAGCGATCTTCCCGACTCGGCCTCCCAAAGTGCTGGGATTACAGGTATGAGCCACCATGCCCAGCTGATCTTTTATTTCTTTAAGGAAACTTATTTTGTATTTGGTATCTATTTTTTCCAATGTTTAAAACCTTTTATGCTCTAATTCTACTCACTCATTGCTTCTTGTTTTTATTTTTCTTTTGTAAATTTTGATTTATAGCAGATTTATGGAGATAGTATCTGTGAGAATTCTATGATTTCTGGACTCAGAGTCTATCCCTTCAGAGAGAATTTTCCTTTGATTTCCAGGCATCTATAGAGTGAAACCAATCCATTATTACCTTACATTTGTTTCTTGGTTTAGAGTTTAGTATATTTAACTAGTAATATAAATACAAACCCTGTACTCTGGAAGTTTCTGGATTCTGAGGTGAAACTTCTCTTCCTATTTGTACCTCATGCAGAGCCAATAGTGAGGCAGACAGGGTTGTGCAGAGTGTGTCTTTCTTCCTAGTTCAGTATTTAAGATATATCCCTTCCTAAGCTCCTAATTTATGTGTTTTTTTTATTTTAACTTCCTATCTTATGGACATCCGTTGCCTTGTCTCTTATCCCCTACATGTGGCACAAGATAATTAGACAAAAGCAAGCATTCTCAAGGAAGCTTTCAGCCTCCTGACTTAACTACCATGTTGAATCATGATCCAGTTCCCATTTTATTTTTGGCCTCTGAAATGTTCGTGTTAACTTGGCATAGAGTGGGAAAGGATTTAAGATATTTTTTCATTCAGGATTTAAAAGTGTTTTTTTAATTTTAATTTTTTTAAAACCTGAACAGCCAGAGAATCAGATGAAGTGTTTTATAATAGAAGAGTTTTAAGCTATTACTATAGTCTGAATGTCATGTCCCTCCAAAATGTTGCAGTCTAATCTCCATTGCGTTGGTATTAAGAGGTGGGGCCCTTTGGGAAGTAATTAGATCATGAAAGTTCCATCCTCATAAATGGGATTAATGCTGTTATAAAAGAGATTGAAAGGAGCATTCTAGCTCCTTCTGCCACATGAGTACACATAGAAGGTGTCATCTGTGAGGAACAGGCTCTAATCAAACATTGGCTAATCTGGTGAGGGCTCAGAAGAAGAGGAGAGCTATAGAGAAAATCCTCAGTCTTCTTGGAGATTATCCAAGTGGTCATGATCAAAATCTGGGTATAAACATGGACAGTAAAGGCCATTCTTATGAAGTACCAGACAGAAATGAGGGACAGATTATCAGAAACTGAAGGAAAGGCAATCCTTGTTACTAAGTGGCAAATTGTGGCTGAATTGTGTTCATGTTCTAGCCTTTCGTAGAAGGAATAAGTTATCAGCAACAAGGTAGAATATTTGGCAGAAGAAATCTCTTAGCAAAGTGTTCAGGGTGTGGCACAGCTTCTCTTGACTGCTTTTAGTGAAATGCAAGAAGAGAGTCATGAATTAAAGACAGAATTTATCATCAAAAGGGAAGCAAAACTTGAATATTTGGAAAATTCTGAGCCTGACAATATTGTAAAGAATGTGAAAGTGTGTCCAGGAGAGACACCAAAGGTGTGGTCAAGCAAATGTTTGATAACGAGATTAGTATGGACAGAAGGAAACTGTGTGTTATTTATTAAGACAATGGAGGAATGATCTTGAGGGCATTTCTGAGACTTTCATGTTTGGGCAGCAAGCCACCCAAGTGCCAAGGCAAGAGACCGAGGGCACGAGCTGTTCCAGTATAATACAATATATGAGAATAGTTATACTATATATAGATCATAGATATGATTATATATGAATATCATTAATCATTAGTTTGTGGTAATTACTCTTTTTTCCAATATTATAATAATCCTTGCTCTACAATCATAACCTAGGAAAAACCAGGCCGTACAGAGATAGGAGCTGAGGGGGCATAGTGAGAAGTGACCAGAAGACAAGAGTGCGAGCCTTCTGTTATGCCCGGACAGGGCCACCAGAGGGCTCCTTGGTCTAGCAGTAACGCCAGCGTCTGGGAAGACGCCTGCTGCCAAGTGGACCTTGGTCTAGCGGTAGCATCAGTGTCAAGGAAAAATACCCGCCACTTAGCAGACCGGGAAAGGGAGTCTCCCTTTCCCCAGGGGAGTTTAGAGAAGACTCTACTCCTCCACCTCTTGTGGAGGGCCTGACATCAGTCAGGCTCGCCCGCAGTTATCTGGAGGCCTAACCATCTCCCTGTGATGCTGTGCTTCAGTGGTCATGCTCCTAGTCCGCCTTCATGTTCCATCCTGTATCCCTGGCTCTGCCTTTTAGATAGCAGTAGCAAATTAGTGAAAGTACTAAAAGTCTCTGATAAGCAGAAATAATGGCGTAAGCTGTCTCTCTCTCTCTCTCTCCTCTCTTTCTCTGCCTCGGCTGCCAGGCAGGAAAGGGCCCCCTGTCCAGTGGACACGTGACCCACGTGACCTTACCTATCATTGGAGATGGTTCACACTCCTTATCCTGCTGCTTTGTCTTGTATCCAATAAATATCAGTGCAGCCTGGCATTCGGGGCCACTACTGGTTTCCACGTCTTGGTGGTAGTGGTCCCCCAGGCCCAGCTGTCTTTTATCCCTTTGTCTTGTGTCTTTATTTCCACACTCTCTCATCTCCACACATGAGAGAAAACCCACCGACCCTGTGGGGCTGGACCCTACATTCATGGATGTCTCATCCACCACAGGTCCAGAACACCAGGGTCTTGGGAGCAGAATGATTTCAAGGCTTTGCTCTCAGGATTCCAGTTTTGGGCCTGCATTGGCTGTTACAGCTCTGGCTCAAGCAGGCCCAGGACCAGTTCAGAGTGCCCCTCTGGAAGGCATATGCGGTAAACCTCGGCAGCATCTGTACGGTATCATTTCCACACGGGCTTTGGAGGGATGTGGTTGCCTCCACCTAGATTTCAAAGGATGCCTCAGACAGACGTAGGACAGAGGCAGAAAACAGCCACAGGTGTGGCAGGGGTCACTGGAGAGAGCATTACTCAGTGGCATCATAAAAGCAGGGCTGCCCTGAAGACCCCAGACCAGTAGAGCCACCAGCAGGCAACTCCAGCCTGTGAGAGGTGCATATAGCAAAGCCAGGAGGGAGGGCTGCAGGGCTGCCAAAAACCTTGGGGGTTCAAGCCCCACCCCAGTGTGTCCAGAATGTGGGGCATGGATTAAAAAATATTTTGGAGACTTAAGATTTAATGTTTGCCCTGTTGGGTTTTGGACTTGATCAGGGCCTGTCATTCCTTCCTTCCTATTTCTCTATGTTGAAATAAGCATGTTTATCTTACGCCTGTCCCACCATTGTATTTTGGAAGCATGTCACTTGTTTGATTTTGCACGTTCATGGCTGGAGACAAATTTGCCTCAGAATAAATCTTACCTTGAGTTTCATCCATATCTGTTTTACGTGATATTTAGATAAGACTTTGGATTTTAGACTTTTGATGCTGGAACTACGTTAAGACTTAACTGAAGTTAAGAGTTTTGAGATGGAATGAATTTATTTTAAATGTCAGAAAGACATGAGTTTGGGGACGGGCAGGGGCAGAATGGTGTGGTACAATGTTTGTGTCCCTCCAAAATTCATATTGAAACCTAATCACCATTGTGTTGGTATTAAGAGGTGCAACCCAGCCAGACGTGGTGGCTCACACCTGTAATCCCAGCACTTTGGAAGGCCGAGGCAGGCGGATCACCTTAGGTCAGGAGTTTGAGACCAGCCTCGCCAATATGGCAAAACCCTGTCTCTACTAAAAGTACAAAAATTAGGTGGGTGTGGTGGCAGGTGCCTGTAATTCTGTCTACTCAGGAGGCTGAGGCAGGAGAATAGCTTGAACCCAGGAGGAGGAGGAGGCTGCAGTGGGCCAAGATCTCGCCACTGCACTCCAGCCTGGGTGACAAGAGCGAGACTTCATGTCAAAAAAAAAAAAAAAAAAAAGAGATGCATCCCTTTGGGAGGCACCCCTCATGAATGTGATTCATGCCTTTATGAAAGAGACTGAAGGGAATGTCTTTGCCTCTTTAGGTCTTTCCAGAGACACATAGAAGGTGCCATCTATGAGGAACAGGCCTTCACCAGACATCAAATCTGTTGGCATCTTGATCTTTGACTTCTCCACCGCCAGAACTGTGAGCAATAAATTTCTGTTCTTTACAAATTAATTAGTCTAAGGTCTTCTGTTATAGGTGGCTATCTAATGGGGCAGATTGTTGGGAACAAGTTTCTATACTCTTTATTTTTCTTATACTACATGACTAAATTCTCCACTTTAATGTTTTATTGCAGTGGTAACAATGTATAGGCTTATCATGTTTTTGCACTTAGATAGAACACTTCTAATGCTTCACCACTAAGTATGGTGTTTGCTTGAGGTTTCTGGTAAGTAACTTTTTTCAAAATATTGAAATTGCCTTCTATTCTTAGGTATCCAGGATTTTTAAAATGTTATAACTGAACGTTGATTATCATTTGGTTATTATTGCGTATTCTCTTGCTATGGTGAGTGGTATCTTTTCCTAAGATTTTTATTGTTCTCGCATTTCTGGGATAAATTGTACTTATCATAATGTATTAGTATTTTCATACACTTGGATTTGATTAGCCAATATTTTATTTATCTTTTGTTCACAATTATGATGGCTTCTAATTTCCTTTCTTGTGCTGTTTCTGTTTTATAGTATCAGTTTTGTGTTTGACCATAAAAGAATTTAGTCAGTAATAGTTTTTTAGTGCTTGAGATAGAAAGGCATTTCAGAGACCTGGACATGTTTGTTTGACCAAGCAGAGCTTTCAGAAAGTCTAGCTGTTTGGAAATTTATGAATTACTTCATGTGTATTACAGGAGGGTCGTTTTCTGTTTTCAGAGATCAAGACATGAAACCCATGTTCAAGATACTTTCCAGTGTGTCTTCATGTGATCCTCTGAGTCCAGCCATCAGGCTACCAGCAGCTCTTGGAAACCCTGACATACTTATTCTTAGAAGACTGCTTTCCGGACTCAAAGTGGAACCTCAAATTTTCAATTTTCTTTGTTTTTAAAGCCTACACATAGGTGATGATATATACATGCATATATATTTTGGAGAATTTATAATTCTGAAAACAATGCTGGTCTTATGGAACCCATCCATTCCCCTTTCCCCGTGTGTGCTCCGAGCTGTGGTGGCACGTGAAAAGGGGTCCTTCCAGCAGTGGCCCACAGCCCTGGGCTGCTTACTTGCTCACTTCATTTACAAGAGCAAGAAATACACATTCTTGTGTTGTTTAAGTCATTATGATGTGGGGATTTCCATTACTCACACACCTGATCTAGTAGTAACACAGTAGCCTATTTTAGCAATATCATTTATTCAATAATCCATTCTTTCCCCATTAGTTTTGAGCCTTCATTTATTGTGTACTAAGTTCTGGTTATTTTTAGTGGTTGTAATCTCCTTCTTTCCTACTCTCTTAATCATGGGATTGCCAATATCTGCTCTGTGTTTCTGTGCCATCTATAGCCTCTGGCCTTGGTACTGCTTCAAAACTGATATTTCTAACCTTACTTTGACTTCTCCATTCAGTGAAGTTCCCATAGTTCATCACTCAACTGCTCTCTTTCCATCGTGACCTTCTGAACTAGCTCACACCCAGATGTACTTTTGTTATCTGCCTTTCCCCCTCATAAACATGGGCTGCTGCTGGGGAAAATCCACTACCGAACTCTTGCAGGTCTCTGCAAATGTTTAATGCCCTGTCTTAGCCATGACCTCCACAATGCTGGGCTATCCTATGTTATGTCCCCTAAGATATCCCTTCTCTCTTACCTTTGGGGATAGTCCTAAGCTTCCATCATGGCACTCAAAGTCCAACCTTATTTGTACCCTCATTCTCTGAGCAGACACCACCGTATTCTGTTTCACAGAGAAAATGTGACTGCTGGGGATAATTCTTTCAACTTCCTGGCCTCTTCCTATACATGATCTTTCTCTGTATTCTTGCCTATTGCTCTTCCATGTTGATAGAAGTGTCTGTTCTCCTTGTCAGTGTCTCGGCCTTGGATCTGTCCCCTAGACTATTCTGCCTGTGTAAGGACCTTCCCTGACCAGCTGGGCCACCATCTCCTGCTTCTCCAATCCCTCACTCTAGACTGACTCTTAACCTTTGGTCAACAATACTTGAGCTTTTACATTCATAATGGAGCATCTGTGTTGAACCTTGTTCTTTTCTAGACACTACCCTCCGTTCTGTCTTCCATCCATGGTGACTTTTCTAGAAAGAGCATCTATCACACTGGAGACAGCAAACTCCTTGATCCATTCTAATTCCTAACCCTGCAATAATTTTCTATCTCCCTTACTCAAGTAATTGGGAGTGCTCCTAGTGTTACCAGAGACCCAGCAGTTCCCAATTTCGAATTTTTCCGTATTCACATTTCTTGACTTGCTATGATTTTACATCACAGATTACATCCTTCATTTGAAGAGACTCTAATGGAAGGCTGCCATGGAAACTCTCTCATGTGGCTGACCTCCTACCTCACTTGCTCTTTCTGAATGAAGTTCCCACTTTTGCCTGCCTTAATGAAAGTAATGCTCCCCAAACTCAAGCCCAGGGCTGCGAATTGGAAGCAGCTGGGGCTACTGTTTCTGGGTGCTGGTGTGAATGGCAGGATGTGAACACCAGCCTGTGACGGGCAAAAAGATGGACACACAGGCAGAGCCTGACAGGTGCTGGTGGTCCTATCTGGTCCTGAGTTGCTGGGACCCTCCTTGCCCACTGCCCCTAGAATGGACTTTGGCCTCAGGTTCGAAGTGTTCAGATGTGACTGAGATGAGCCTTTTCCCCATGCCTCAGGAATAGCGAAGAAACTCTATCTGGAAGGTTCCCCAGGCTTCCCCACCCAGCAGCCTCTGGTATTAGACCAGGCAGTGGCTGGCCAGGATGGTGGGGACAGAAGGGAGACAAAGGTGAGCAGTGGGTGGGGTCACATCCTCCCTGACATTGAATAGACAACATGGGGAGGAAGGATGAGTGATCTTTAGAATGTTCATGGAAAATGCATATTGGGAAAAAGAATGCATGAATTTCAAATTGTTTTGCAACAAAATAAACTTGTACTAACTTGTGAAAACACGTCCGAACAGGATCTAGTTTGAGGCCCTAAGAAGTATAAGACAACAGTTTGAACAGAGCTCCTATCAGACACATGAATTCTGCTAAAATTGAAACCAGAACAAACATGCAATTGATGGTGAAGCTTGGCTGGAAACATGGTGAAATCATTGATGATTTATTGAAAGTTTATAGGGACAATGCCTCAAAGAAATCAGCAATTTAAGTAAGTGGATAACTCATTGGAAGAAGAGAAGAGATGATGTTGGAGAGGAAGTCCACAGCAGCAGGCCAGCCACATCAGTCTGTGAGGAAACAATTCATCTTGTTTGTGCCCTAATTTAAGAGGACTGATTAATAGCAGCAGAAACAATAGCCAACGCTGTAGGTATCCCAAGGTGTTCAGCTTACACAATTCTGACTGAAATTAAAGTTGAGTAAACTGTCCACTCGGTGGGTGCCAAAACTTTCTCCCAGCTCAGCTGCAGATAAGAGAAAAGCGTTCTATGGCCATTTTAAACAAGTGGAATCAAGATCCTGAAGCATTTCTTCATATAATTATAGCCGGAGATGAAATGTGGCTTAACCAGTACACTCCTGAAGGCAAAGCACAAGCAAAGCAATGACTACCTAGAGGTGGGCGTGGTCCCATCAGAGTAAAAGCAGACATGTCAAGGGCAAAGGTCGTGGCAACCGTTTTGTGAATGCTCAAGGCATCTTGCTTATTGACTTTCTGGAGGGCCAAAGAACAGTAACATCTTATTATGAGAGTGTATAGAGAAAGTCAGCCAACGATTTAGCAGGAAAACACCCAGGAAATCGTCACCCCGGAAAGCTTCACCAGAGAGCCCTTCTCCACCATGACAATGCTCCTGCTCATTCCTCTCATCAAACAAGGCCAGTTTTGTGAGAGTTTCAATGGGAAATCACTAGGCATACACCTTCCAGGCCTGATTTGGTTACTTCTGTTTTATAATTTTAAAAAATCTTTAAAGGGCACCCACTTTTCTTCAGTTAATAACGTCACAAAGACTGAAGTGGCATGGTTAAATTCCCAGGGTGCCCAATTCTTTAGGGATGAACTGAATGGCTGGTACCATTACTTGCAGAAGCGTCTCGACCTTGATGGAGCTCATGCTGAGAAATAAAACATTTTTTAATTTTTATCTTTTAATTCAATTTTTTCGTGAACTTTTGAAGTCCCCTTGTATTTGTTTTTGGTGGAACTTTGAGTCTGATTTCTCAGCTCCCCATGGATGGCTGCATCTTAACAGAGAAATGAACGCCATTTACCCTGATGCTCTCTACTTGGCCTAAGTTTCAGATGTTGAACACACACGTGTGGGAATTTATGAATCTGTGCACCTGTGCCAGCTGGTGGGTGAAGTCTAAGTTTCTTCAACACAATTAGTTATCTTCTGCCTCCTGGAATCTGGTAGGAAAGGTTGAGGAAAAGCAGCCATCCACAGCGCCTCCACCACTGGAATGGGGGCAGCCCTAACGTGTGCCCCACTGCCCCCCATGCTGAGGAGTCCTTCACTCCAGGGATGTCTTCACCCCAATCATTCAGACTCCCCCAGTGTTCCTGCGTCACCTGAAAGGTCGGAAGCATCTCAGCACATACTCTCCATGAGTGGTACTTAGGCCTCCCTCCCCATCAATACTGAAGCCCTCAGAGGCAGAGGGGAGTCAAGGAAAAGAGTGGCCATCAGCAATAAATGAGTTACAAGGTTTGATTTCAAAGAGAAAAACTTGTCACCAAAATCACTACTCAGGAGATCTGGACTTCCTCTGAATGTGAGTTAAAGAACCCTTGAGGGTTAAGAGCCAACTGCACCTGATCCCCACTCTCCCATCCCAAGACCCTGGGAAGTCAAACCAAGAGGTAATCAACAGAAAACAAGTTTAATGCAACAGGTGACAACGGTCTGGAGCGAGTCCATGCTCCGGAAGGCTCAGTCTGTGGCAGTCCCGTGGCTCAAGACAGGCTGAGGCCGGCTGCAATGGAGGCCAGCAGCAGGAGGATGGCCAGCCACAGCCCACCACAGCTCTCACCCATGCTCCCAGCATATTCTTTGAACACTGATGAGTTGATAGGTGGCCCCTCTAAATTGCAGTAGCGAATTTTACAACACTTGAGGTAAAAGAAGGGCATGGGCTCTTCCAGGAGAAACCGCTTCTCCTCTGGCTTGGGTCTCTCCATCGCTGCACAACCAGCGGAGCACTGCTTCGCAACCATGAAAAAACGTGGAAATATTTCTAATAGGAAATAAAGACCGAGAGAAGGCAATCACGCAATTCCAATGCCTGACACCGAGGCCCTTCTGTCTGGGTCAAAGCCTCACCCCTGGCGGCCCTGCTCAAAGGTGCACAGTCAACTGGGGCACCAAGGGGGAGTCGGGAGGACGAGGGCCAGGCCTGTGTGTTGAATGCTGCTTCAGGGAAGGGCTGGCTTCTGCGTGGTATGGCCTGTCCATATGCACTGGGAATGCGGGTCTAGGGGTTGCTGTTTGGGAACAAACAGGTCTCAACTTCTCAAACACAGGGTTGGCTCAGGCCTTTGTGACCACAGACAGACACATGACTCCCAGCCATTCTGGCCATCACCCAGGGTGTGGAGCTGGCCTCTTGGTGGGCCTGGCTCGACTCTGAGCTGGGGGTCTTGTCTCATGACCACACTTCATCTTATACATCACTGTACAAATCATTTTGCCATATTAAGTTATAAAGTCGATGTGGGCCACACTGAGTCTGAAGCATCACCTCAGCACCCCACCAACTTCGTGGATACCGAAGGGCTGGAGAGTGACTGCTGGGCGGAATCAGAATTCACGAGCCCTGAAGATCTCCCTGTGGGCAGAATGTGCTGGGTGTCCAGATTCCCCTTGGGGAGGGCTTCATGTACCCAGAGGTTTTCAGGGGAATCACAGATGACAGAGCAGTGGTCTCCACAATTTTTAAGGCATGCACCCTCCTTTGAGAACACACTTGAAGGCTGTACACCTTGGTTTTGTGCATCTCTTGTAAGAGTGACATAGACACTGTTCTCTGTGGCGCATTTAACACTATTAAAGCTTAATTTTTCATTTAAAAATGGATGATATGAAATCCAGATTTTCTTCCTACCTCCCAGTATTTCATCTGGACCCACTGTAGCAGGCACTGCCTTACACTAGCACAGTTCCTACACCTCTCTCTGGCCTCTGAGGACTTTGCTCTTCACATTTTAAAGGGAAAAAAAGGCAGGGCGCGGTGGCTTACGCTTGTAATCCCAGCACTTTGGGGGGCCGAGGGCGGGTGGGTCACCTGAGGTCAGGAGTTCGAGACCAGCCTGACCAACATGGTGAAACCCCACCTCTACTAAAAATAAAAAATTAGCCAGTGTGGTGGCGCGCATCCATAATACCAGCTACTCTGGAGGCTGAGGCAGGAGAATCGCTTGAACCCGGAAGGCGAGGTTGCAGTGAGCCGAGATCACACCACTGCACTCCAGCCTGACTCCGTCTCAGAAAATAAAAAAAAAAAAAGGCTACTTTCTATTAGTTATTCCCCATTGAGGAAAACTAGACAGCCCTGATTCCTGAAAGCCCTCTGTTCACCTGCCTTTGGGTCCCCAACAAGAGCGAAGATACTCACTCACGGCCGCTATAACGCAGTATGGCTCTGTCCATTTGCACCTCCTTGGGTTCTGGCACTCGAAAGTGTTTTCTCTCTCACAAACATGACACCACACTCTATTGTCACCCTCGTCTGAAAGGAGGAATAAAAAAGAAAGCAGAATGTTCCAGTTCTCCGTGCCTATCTGATGAACACAGCCGGCATCCGACCAGCACAAACTCGGCGGGTCCCCATCCTTCTCCCCCTGAGCAGTGGCTGGGGCCACATGACTCGAGTGAGCCGCATGGGGAGAAAGCAGGAGGGGTCTCCGGCCACGTAAGAGCTGCCCGCTTCCCCTTCGCCTTCCCCCATGATTGTAAGTGCCCTGAGGCCTCCCCAGAAGCCAGCACCACGCTTCCTGGACAGCCTGTGGAACTGTGAGCCAATTCCACCTCTCTTCTTTATAAATTGCCCAGCCCCCGGACTTCTTTACATTCTGAGTGATTTTTCTTCTCTCCTGGGGGCTCCCCCGTCCTCCCACATCCAAGCACACAACATGAGCGCACAGCGCACCCCCACTCGGCCGCAGCACCCTGACCCCAGGTCGGCCACGCGGCACCCACGGGCCCTGGCATCTCCCGGCCGACGGCTGTGGAAGTGACCCTGGGGCTTGGGTCTGCTCCCACGTGCCCTCCCGCCCACCTCCCAGGTCCACCCACCTCCCAGGTCCTGCCCCCCGACTCCCTCAAAGGAGTTCTCCCTTGGGTCTGGGTTGGGCCTGGCCTAGCTCTGCAGGAGGAGCCGGCCCTCCTCCCGCAGCTTGAACGGTTCTCAGCCCGTGAAGCCCCCGGAGGCCAGGCCGGCGGGAGCCTGCAGCCTGAGGGCTCCCGGGGAAGCGCGGCCGGAGCGGGGCAAGGGCTGGGGAAGGGCCGGGCTCAGGCTGCCCCGCCGCCCTGGTGGAAGCCGCACGAGGCGAGGCTCCCCAGAGGCTTCCAGGCGCCACGGGCCGCCTGAACGCTCCGTTCTCACGGCCTGGTCGGGGCGGTGGCCACGCGGTGCCAGGCAGACGCCGCCCGGCCCTGTCCTCTCGGCCCGTGGCTGTGGAGGGCGAGCCAGGCTCACCCGTTCGCTGGGAGTCCTCTGGATCTCGTTGTCTCGCAGTCAGGTTGGCGTCTGTCCACACCCGCGGTAGGGCCACGACCAGCAGCAAGGCGAGCAGCGCCATCGTCCCCAGCGGTGCCCAGGGAGGGTCAGCGCGCGGCGCCCCCTCCCCGCCCTTCTGGAACCTTCGCAGCCTCCGCGCGCCTCTCCCCGGGTCTGGCCGGTAGGGGGAGCCCCGCCCGCCCCGGGGCGCGCGCCTCCCACCCGCCGGGGCCTGTCGGGGTCTTTGGAGCCTCATCTCAGGGCCTCGCGGCCGCTGGCGGCCCTGAACGCCGGTTCTGAGTCCCGCCTTGTGCTGCTGTTGGAGCGGCCGGCGGCCAGGCAGGAACGGGCGCGGGAGCCCTGGGAAAGGCGCGTGTGGAAACGCAGCCCCTGAGCCCAAGGGCCGTCTCCTTGAGGACCCCACGGCCCACAGAAAGTGGCCGGCGGCCAGGTAGGGGATCTTCTCCGCTGAAGAGCACGGGCTCACCTCTGATAACTCGCCCCTGAATAGCTTTTAGCTCATTATAATACCAAAAAAAAAAAAAAAAACAAAAACCACATCCCTGGGGAGAGATTCCAGATGCTAATGACACACTCCAGCGCACTAGTGTGTGAGGTCACGGTGCCTGCGTGCCCTGAGGACTTCCCAAAACGTGCTTACTAGTAAGGCCCCTGCCTGGGCCGTTCGTGAGTAATCCTGTAAAACTCTCATCAAGAGGGTCTCCCCAGCGTGAGTAGCGACTGACTCATTCTTTTGAGCAGTTCCTCTTTCAAGCTGTACTGTTTTCCTTAACTAAAAGCTCAAATAAGAATTCCTCCTGGCGCCTGTAGTCCCAGCTACTCGGGAGGCTGAGGCAGGAGAATGGCGTGAACCCGGGAGGTGGAGCTTGCAGTGAGCCGAGATCGCGCCACTGCACTCCAGCCTGGGCCACAGAGCGAGACTCTGTCTCAAAAAAATAAAAAAAAAAAGAGAAAGAAAAGAATTCCTCCTAAGTCACTAGCTTTTGGCTCTATCTCCTGAGTGGCAGGTTCTGTCTTGTCTCTCTGAGATCCTGACTCTTTAAATAAAGGTTACTTAACCCTATACCTCTTGCTAGGCATCTCTTGTCTGAATTCCTTCCTCCAAGAAGACTAAGAACTGGAGGATTTCCATGCCTCTCACAGTGACAGTGCTACCCAAACATCAGGGTTGTCATCTAGGCCCCCTGCCCTGCACAGAAAGCCAATCACCAACAGCAGTGCCAGGGAAGAAGGCCTCATTCAAGTGCTACAGCCCAGAGATGGGCGCTCAGTCACAAATCCCTCTCCTCAGCCCACTAAAATTAGAAGTTTCCAGAGCAGGGAAGAAATGTCACCCTGTGTGGGAAAACAGGAATTAGGGAGAGTGAGGAGGCAGCTAGGCAGTCATGACTGGTGAGGGGTCTGGCCTCAAGGACCTACTGAGTTTCAGCGCCTTGATACTGTCTGGGAGGCCCGATGGTTGGTTTCCTGAGAAAGGAGCTCAGATAAGACAAATGTAACTTTCCCAAGTTTTAAGACAGGGTGGGCCAATTTCTATGTTTATTCAAAAGAAACCCTAAATACTAGTTTTACGAGAAATTGGGCCCATGTGAGTAGGCCCCAAAGGGCAATCCACAGGTGGTGTTCTCCACCCTGCTTTCTCCTCTCAACCCTCTGTATAGAGGCCCTCTGTTAACACAGGCAGGAGCAGGAATTTCACACTCTTTTCCTTTCTTTGCTTTCTTCTTTGTCTTTTTTTTTTTTTTACAGTTGTGATATAGTTTGGATCTGTGTCCCCACCCAAATCTCATGTTGAATTGTAATCCCCAGTGTTGGGGGTGGGGCCTGGTGGGAGGTGATTGGATCATAGGGGTGGTCCTTCATGAATGGTTTAGCACTATCCCTTTGGTGCTGTTCTTGTGATGGAGTTCTCACGAGATCTGTTTTTTTTAAAAGTGTGTAGGCAACTCCCTTTCTTCCTCCTGCTCAGGCCACGTAAGAGGTGCCCGCTTCCCCTTTGCCTTCCATCATGATTGTAAGTTTCCTGAGGCCTCCCCAGAAGCCAGCACCATGCTTCCTGCACAGCCTGTGGAACTGTGAGACAATTAAACCTCTTCTCTTTATAAATTGCCCAGCCTCAGGTATTTCTTTATAGCAATGGGAGAAAGGACTAATACAAGTTGCATCATATTCCATGGCCTGGATGTACCATAGTTAATTTAAATAGCCTCCTTGAATGAACATTTGTGTTGTTCACAGTGTTTTTATATCTCACATGTCAAAGTCAAATACATTATAGGATGAATCTCTAAACGTTTTATTCAGGAATCACAGAATTGTAATTCTGGGCGTACACAGACCAGAAATGTGTTTGGTGTGTCTGACGAACAAAGAGAAGGTTGAAAGTTTTATTTAAGAAATGTTACCTATTGTTTAGAAAGAAAACTTGTGGGCCCTGGTAGAGGTTTGGGGAGCTGGCAGGCTCTGATGGGTGAGTGACACAGTAGGTAGACCTTGTCTTTGAGTCACGGCAGGTCGTTCCAGCAGCTGTTAGGTGCACCTGATTGTAAAGTTGCAGCAGGCGTTTCAGCACTTGGGCTTGCAGATGGTTCTTGGAGCAGGTGCTGTCTGCCTGAGTGGTTTTCCTCTGGCCCTCTGCCTTGACTTAGTCGGGTATGACCAGAATAACTCAATTTATGAAGTCAACTTTCATATACATGACGCTGCAATTGTCCCTAATGTCATTCCTTACATATACCATTATACCACAGCTTTCCAGAAATGAGATCAAGGGACAAAAGTTAAATATATTTGCAGTTTATATGAGTATTGCCCAGTTGCTCTATCTGGTCTTTGGACAATTTTGTCATTGAGGAGTGAGTGCTTGTTTTCATGGTGGTGTCAGAAAGAATGTCCTCTTATTTACTCTTTGGATTTTCACCAATGTGACAGATGAAAATGAAAATAGTATCCGGGTGTATTTTTAATTTGCATTTTTAAATTATAAGTGAGCTTGAGCACTTGATATGGTTTGATATGTTTGATATGGCTAGTGGATATTTGCATTTTCCTGTGATCTCTCTATTTATGTCTCTCGTCCATTTTCCCGTTTAACAGACATTGCTTAACAGAAGACAATATTTGAGTTGCTGACCAATCCCGAAATAGTTGTGAGGTATGATATCAGCAGGACTTGTTTTCCGAGCCTTGATCATGACCCTGTGATCAAAACAGGATATAACAAAGAAACTGGCCCAAACCAGCTAGGACCAAGATGGTGACATAAGTGACTTCTAGTTGCCCTCATTGCTCATTATATGCTAATTATAATACATTCTCATAAGACACCACATCAGCACCATGACAATTTACAAATGCCATGGCAATGACCCAGAAGTTATATGGTTCATATATGATGCCAAAAAGGCTCATTACAATGGATCTTGGGAGTAATTTTTCAAGGAATATGAACAAAGTCTTCCCTCTGTGGTTAATTCATGAATGCTGTGTTGGAATATTCTGGATGGTCCAGACTTTCCTCTGTAATCGACGTTGAGCCCTGCACAACTTCAGGAGGGCGCCAGACCTCACTACTCTCAAGGAAAAGGCTGAAGTGGAGGAATTGATTCCCACTGATTTTTTTTTTTAATTTTTTTGAGACAGAGTCTTGTTCTTTCACCAAAGCTGGAGTGCAGTGGCATGATCTCGGCTCACTGCAACCTCTGCCTCCCAGGTCCAAGTGGTTCTCCTGCCTCAGCTTCCCGAGTAGCTGGGATTACAGGCATGAGCCACCATGCCTGGCTAATTTTAGTATTTTTAGTAGAGACAGGGTTTACCATGTTGACCAGTCTGGTCTCGAACTCCTGACCTCAAATGATCCGTCTGCCTCAGCCTCCCAAAGTATAGGGATTACAGGCGTGAGCCACTCCACCTGACCTTGATTTTATTTTTAACCATCCTGTCTGAGAGATTATTTGTGGAGGCTGACAGCAGATGTGCAGGGTTCAACAGTGCAGTATGCTGCATTTCTTCAGCTATACCTCATATTGTAAAGACTGTCCAGGTAACTCAACAAGCGGGAGGTAAGGGTTGCAGGTGGGATACTGTAGTACACCCCATTGGTCTAAAGGCACATTTCCTTCTTTTCCACCCACTGTTGCAGTCCAGCCAGGCATAACTTTAGGAGAATGTGGTTAGGTAAACATGTGCCATTTGGCACAGGGATATTTGAATTTCCTGGCATGAGGAGTGGCGGGACTTGGACTAGCTAACCATGAGAGTGAGTTAGTAGAGATGTGGATGCCGTCATGCTGATGGCCTGCTCAGAGTAGCACTGGGCTGTATTCGCCCAAACACCCAACAGAGCCTGGCCAAATGCAAGGCCCAGTCCGGTCTGGGGACTTCTCTGGAATGCCTGTGCCAGTATAACCGGGAATGTCCCTCAAACAGAGAGAAGCAAATTATTATCTCTTACTGAGCCCTTTGCTAAACAAGAAGCAGAGCCATGTGGACCTATGAGAGATCTGGAGACACAACATTCCCCATTGAGGAATACACCGCCCTTGCTATTCTGAATTCAAATGGGTCCCTGAACCAATAAAAGCATGAATGTATTTTCAAGAGGTGGTGCATGCAGCTTCATGCAGGCCTCCTGAGCCAGTCGTCCAGATGTGGTTAGGAATGTCTGCTATCAGGACACTTGCTGCCTGGGAACCCTTGGCAGAGGCCAGCACTGCCACCCAGCAGGGACCTCTGGTGTGTTGCAGCTGCTCCTCAAATGCCTCTGGAAGACAATAGCAACTTACGACTTCCTTACCAGGAAACAGCATCAGATAGCCTTCAAACCAGAAATGCCTCTCATGTCTTGATGTCAGAGAACCATTCTACCAAGAGGAGGAGCAGCCCAGCAAAGTCCATCAAACGGTGAGAGTATATTCCAGAGCAGGGGGCAGGAGGACGTTAGGGGAGCCTGTGGCTTCTGCAGCAGAGGCAATAGCAGAAGGAGAGGAGAGGGAGGAGCAGAAGGAGAGCAGAGGGAGAGCAGAGGGAGGAGCCTTCAAGGGCTGCTGTGTGTTCGGAGCCCAGCTAAAGCCAAGCAGGCCTCTGAGCTCCCTGCTAGGAGTTCATGTCTGCAGGGCATGTGGCTGCTTGGAAATTAGCCATGTAGACCTCACAGTCTGTCTTTGCCAGAGAAAGGCAGGGCAAACCATATTATACACCTTTATAACATTGTTTCAAATCCAGAAGTGTGATGCCTCCACCGTTGTTTTTCTTTTTCAAAATTGCCTTGGCTATTTTTTTTTTTTTTTTTTGTGGTTCCATGCCGATTTTGGATTTTTTTTCTTTTCTCTCTTTTTTGATGGGGAGGGATGGAGTCTCACTTTGTTGCCCAGGCTGCAGTGCAGTGGCACAATCTTGGCTTACTGCAACCTCTGCTTCCCGGGTTCAAGGGATTCTACCACCTCAGCCTCCTGAGTAGCTTGAGACTACAGGCGTGTGCTACCATGCCCGGCTAACTTTTGTGTATTTAGTAGAGTTGGGATTTTGCCATGTTGGCCAGGCTGGTCTTGAACTCTTCACCTCAGGTGATCCACCCACCTCGGCATCCCAAATTGTTGGGATTACAGGCGTAAGCAAACGTGTCCAGCCAGATCTTTCTTCTATTTCTGTGAGAAATACCACTGAAATTTTGATAGGGATCCCATTGAATTTGTACATTGCTTTTGATGGGATTACTAGAGAAACAGGAGTGTAGGAGAGCCAGAGTGACGCCATTTTAAAGCCAATTCCATTTTAAAACAAGCAAGGCAATTCCTTGCCAGTCACAGCCCATGGTCACAGGTGTTGACAGCTAAGGAGGGAGTTTAGTAATGCCTGCAAGGACTAACTCCTACAGCAACAAAATGTCCAAATGCGCCAATATCTAATAACAATATGTGCTTTTAAAATAATTAGAATCATGCTTTGATGTACTTACTCACTAAAATCCCAAGGATAGTTTACTTTAAATCAACAAAGTAATAAGTTTTGTCACGCTGTCAACCCACCCACACATAGACTTAACTTAGCTTTTACATAGATAAGACCCCTACATGAGAGGAGTTTAAAACAAAGACAATGCGTTCCTCCTCTTGTTTTCTGAGGATGCCCTACTCTGCATCTGAGTAGCTTTCAATAAATGATCTCTTCTCACTGCACTCTGTGACTCACCTGAATTCCTTCCTGTGCAAGACTGAAAAACCCTCTTCCAGCAACATCTTTCTGGCGATGCACTAAGGGACCATAAGATGAGACTATGTGCTGGGGAAGTTTTGTCTGCAGCACCAGTTGGCCACCTCTGGTAAATGGGGTCCTTCTTGGCATCCTATGTCATGCTTAGACAAGGATGCTCGCCTAGAAACTCAGGTTAGAGGCTCAGCCCACAAGGTTAGATGCCCTGGGGTATATCTGGAACAATGGAAGTCTCTTTGCAAGATGTTTGTCAGTACATGATCTGAACTAATCCACCTTGTGCCCTCTGCTGGGGATGGGAAAGCTCTACTTCTCATCATTTCCCAGCTCATTGCTTTGCTGTACTGCAGCCTTGGGGCAGCCCCAAATGGCTGGTCCAGAGGTTTCCACCTTCCAGTGGCGGATTCTAATGTTCTTTATGTGTTTCTCTCTGTTCTTTTCTGCCTGCTTTGGATCTGCTGTTACTAATCTGCTGCCGAGTGGCAACTCTGCTTATCTCACGGTGTTGAGGTGAGACTCACTGTTTTTGGTATTACTAATTCAAGGCTACCTGGAGATTGTCTTTTCTTGTACAGTTCAGCCAGTTCTGGCTAAAATGTATACATTAAAAACTCATTTAAAACTGAAGAAAAAAATGATGAAAAGGTTTTTTTTTTTTTTAAACCAAACTTCCTTAAAGACTACTTTACCAAAACTTTGGTCCACAGCTTTCCTTGGATTGCGTGTTGGATGTCTGGGTCATTTCCAATTAAGAAAAGTTTATGCTATGGGAAACATGTTTCTAGAATTGTGGAAGGGTCTTATCTATAAAGTGCTAACATCTGGCAAACAGTGCAGGATCTCTTGCTTCCTCAGTTTTCCCACTCACGGATGAGCGAGTGCGCTTAGCTGTCCCTTCCCTTCCCTTCCCGCTCTGGTTTCCTGTATGCAATGTGCTCAGCCTTCCAAGCCTTGGGACACACAGGGATGCTCATGCTCCTTTATGTTCCCCTAGGGACTAGGGGTTAGTGGACCTCACCCAGAGGTGTGGGATCCTTTGGGTTCTGTCTGCTGGGGAGCCTGGAGCCGGGGATCCTCCAGGTCAGCCACCATCCTGTTACATGGGGCTCTTCAGCCTTTCGGGTCCCAGGGCTGCAGTGCCACCCCAGTGGAAAGCCCATTTGAGACTCAGAGGGATATTTGCCAGCATGTCCTGCTGGGTCTCCCTCGTCCCCTTCATTGGCTGCATATTTGCTGTCTGTGCCTCACTAGTGATGCCCGTCATCCTGAGCTTGCATGCTCTGAAGTTTATGCCTGCCATTTTCCTTCTCCTGGTGATTTTCTTTCTTTGGGTTATTTAATTCAGCATGTCTCTGGGCAGCATTGGAGGCCAAAAGCCTCCCAGGAACTAGTCTTATTGAGAAGAAAAATAATTTTGTCTAATTCAGAAGTTATCTAAAGGTCAATTCAAATGATGAACTTGAAAATAGTTACTTATGAAGCAAGGTAGAAAGGAGCCAGTAAGTAGGGGAGCGAGAGATGTGAATAAAAGTTATGGATATGAAGATGTATTTTTGGTAAGGAAGGTTATAAAGAATAGCAAATAATGTATGAAAAAGGATCTCGTGTGGTAAATTTTTGTCCTAAAGTAAAATGACTAATGATTATTAGTCATTAGCCATTAATATGACTATTATTATTAGTTATTAGTCATTAATGACTAAATGATTATTTAGGAAAGAGAGAAGGTTAGGGCAAGGCAGAAAGTCCAAGCACATCTAAGATGGTCTGTGTACACTGGGATAAAGTTCGTGAAGGGGAATTTATGAAAGGAATTTTGTATATGATTAAGTTGGTTATAATTGAAAGGAAGCCATTTATAACAGTCTTTCTAAAAATTGGTCGCCTACGTTAAAACAAAGTTTTCTTGAGGTACTGATTTGCTGTGAATGAAGTTACAAGAAATTTTACTTTCAATTTTATACCCCGTTTCTCTTCTAAACTTCTCAGATCCATATTTCCGACATTCCATTTTTTCTGTCTCACTGCTTTCAGCTTTTTCCCCCTTGAGCAGGCCTGAGATGATGACCTTCTCCTTCAGCATTTTTTGTCAGCTCCTGCACCCCTTTTTTCCTCCAGTTTTAACTGTTGGAATGACCTGATGCTAAAGTTTTATCTTGAAGGTCTAGAAAAGCAATGTTTTCTTCTAGTATAACTTGATTTTATATTCTTGGCTTTTCTTGCTGTGTCTAAATTTTCAGTGTAATCAGAAAACTTCTCATGCTGTTCCTAAGGGTCACATATGCTCATAACCTTAAACACTGTTCCTGTGTCTGATTGCATTCAAGCACTTCTTTCCTCAAGTTTGTCTTCCAGGTTATCTAAATGGGCTTCCTGTAAGAAGAAGCGGTCTCACTGCAGAAGGTTTTCCCTGCCTTTTTATTAGCTGGCTTAAAAAAAAACAAGATTTTATGTTTTTTTCACGATAATTCCTATACTGTCTTTATTAGCTTTATGATTGCAAAAAAACTGAAAGTTAAAAGGGTTAAGGTTTTTACCTCCATGTGACTTTCTCTATTGCTTGTTAAAGTCTTTATGATTATTACTCTTGGTTAAGTGTATAACTATTACAATGACCTGTGATTTTATGTTAATAAAATGTTTTGAGCCTTTTAACATCTTAGAGAAATATCCTCAAAATCAAAATCTTAAATTTAGTCTCTGATTTAGTCTTATTGCTGGGGCTTATTAAGCCTATAGAAATTAATCTCTGCAAGGTCATAGACTCTTTCTAGAACTTTCTGGCAGACCATGAAGTCCAGTATCACCACCTCCAGCCTGAAAATTATATATTGGAAGAAAAATCAGTTAAAGGATTCCCTCAGCCCCCTTGAAGCTGTCCTTATCAAGAGTTATTAACCAATGCTTGTGCTTAGTTAATAACCTGTTGTAGGGCTTTGACTCCTGGACACACATATCTAAAGATGGCACTGACTTCTACCAGTATCTGACAAAAACTCAAGTTAACTGAAGGCTCGTCTTTAGACCTGGGCAAAGGGGACAACGTAAACTGCTTTCATGAGACACAAGGACAGGTCTGTATTCCAAAACATTATGATTCATTTCATAATTTTGCCTTTATCTGAAATAATATAATTTGTTCTATGTCTATGTGGAAGGAAAATATCTTGGGCCCCCAGAATCACTAAGGTAGAGGGAAAATTCAAGCTGGGAACTGCTCAGGGCAAACCTGCCTCATAGTCATCCCTCTGCTTGTATTCATAGTCATCCCTCTGCTCACTGAGATAAATGCATATCTGATTACCTGCTTTGGAAAGGCTAATCAGAAACTCAAAAGAATGCACTGTTTGTCTCTCACCTGCCTGTGACCCGGAAACCCCCTCCCTGCTTTGAGTTGTCCCACCTTTCCAGACGGAACCAGCATGACTCCCTAAAATGCAGAAAACCAAACTGTGCTCTGACCACCTTGGGCATATGTCATCAGGACCTCCTAAGTCTGTGTCATGGGCGTGTGTCCTCAACCTTGACAAATTAAACTTTCTAAATTAACTGGGACCTGTCTCAAATTTTCTGGGTTCATATTTGGTAACCATGGGGGGATTCTGAGTGGAGGTGCCCCTGAGCTTTGACAAATCTTGTATTGATGCTTGGTACATCATGAACTAATTTATTGCTCAAATCAATAGGACAATTTGCTGAGGTCTGCGAGCTGCCCCTCCAGAGAATCCCTGCTCTCCCAAAATTTGGTCAAGATCTCAAGTTTATTTTGGTGTACAACTCCTTTATTTTGGAGTTTTACTTTCTTCCAACAAGGAAGGGAAGTTTTCCTGCTTCCGTGATAATGGAAGGCAGGTAACTCCTTTATGGAGTTTGAGCTCACTTCCAACAGCGAAGATGAGATTTTTCCTGCTTCTAGGATGGTGGAGAGCAGTCTTCAGCCTGAGACCCATCCCTGGGTAAGTAACTGAATTGGGGTTTGTCTTGGCTAAAGTTAAAGTTAACAACCAGCTGGTCTTAATTTCTTTTTACCATTAGAGTGTTCAGTGATCATGTAAGTTGTGCCATTGTTTGTTTTGCTTAAGGGTTTTTTTTTTTTTTTTGGTGTTTGTTTGTTTCTGTTTTTCCTACTGTTTCTCTTGTTGTTTCAGTCTTTTGCCCATTGGGTTTAATCAACTCTATCCAACTTGATCAACTCTGAAGGGAAGTTCCAAATTATGGGGAACAAGGCCTCTGAAGTGACTAAATTCCACCCCCCGCCTCCCCTCCACACACACACACAAAAGGTGGTATGGTTGGGGGAGAAAAACAGCCAGCAAAAGGAGAAAAAAAGGAAAGATTTTTGATTTTGACTACTAAAGGGGTTTTATTTACAGAACAAGGCCACTTTTTTGCTAGCAGGCCAAACTGAAACAATGGCAGTTGCCCCACGCTGTAGTTCCATACCTAAGGCTCTGCTTTCTTTTCACCATGAGAGCCTGGGTTTGGTGGGTTTGGTTCCTAAATCAAGCCCTTTCTGGTTTGATACTTGGTACCTCTGAAATAGCAGCAATTTTTTCTGACTAAAATACGGTAATGAAATTTAAATGGATTATTTTAAAAAGAGCTCAATGGTTAAAAGTCAGTTTAATTAAAAGGCTAACATCCAAGATGTACGTGTGTGTGTGTGTGTGTGTGTGCGTGCACGCATATGTGTATGTTTGTCTTTGAAAGGTCTTCATGTGTTTGTTTTTTGGTTGTTTTTCTCCTCTAGGACCTTGCCTTTTTTTTTTAGCAAAAGTTTTTTTCTTCTCAGTTGACTGAATTCTGTTATTACCTGATTGTTTGACTAAAATAGATACTGCACAGAGGCTACTCTGGGGTTTTTAAGGAAGAGTGTAGTTTAGACACTTAAAAATGTCTTTGTTTAAAACTATTTTTTAAGTGCACTGTAAAAGCATCACGTTGTCTAGCCTCATAATAATTCACCCTTTTTGGAGACCCAGGATTCAGTGTGGGCTCTACCCAGAGCTCAGATATCTGGTTAAAAAAAGAAAAACAGGTAGTCTCTATCTAAATAAAATCAGTCTTCCTATGTAATCCAACAATAAATTTCTGTAATTTTATTACTGAGTTGGCATCCATCTTTAATCTTTCTCTAGCACCACCAGACATTTTCTCTGTGTACCTGATAATGTAAATTTTGCTATTTGACTTTCACCTGATATGCAGATTTAAGGCTATTTAGCTGACAACTGTCTAGGGTTCTGAAACAGGTTATCAAGAATCTGAAAGTCTAAGATATGAAAAAAGAGGTTTTTATGAATCTATAAGATGTACTTTTATCAGCATGCCTAATATGTCTGTATTTATGTGTTGTGTACACAATGTTTCACTATGAAAAATATATAAAAGAGCTCTAATTAATTGGCTCAAAGTGAAATAATTCAAAAAGCAGCTATATTCATTAAATCAATATCAATGATTTATACTTAATACGTAAATACTTTATCAGGAAAAAAGGAAAGATTAGTCAAATGCTTTTTCAAGTTTGCATAACTTAAGTAAAATTATTAATAAATGAGCTCGCTTTAAAATTATTGGTAAAGTAATATTAGAAATGTCAGCATACATTTTTGTTTGCAATTATTAATCAAGCAATTTCATACTTACCCCTGCCAAATAGTATAAGTTGTCAAAATTTGGCAGAGGGTTTACAAAACTATAAACCCGGCCCAAAACATAATGATATTTGCTTGTGTAATCTTTAATAAATAAGTCATTGATATTGATTTAATGAATATAGTTGCATTTTGAATTTAGTAAGATTATCATAACTTCTAATTCTGTGGCTTTAGGCAGTCTAGTGCACAGGCAGTAAGGAAGTTTGTTTTGAGAAAGGACTGTTATAGTGTTTGTTTCAAAGCTAAACTATAAACTAAGTTCCTCCCAAAGTCCAGGAATGAACAAGGACAGCCTGGAGGTTAGAAGCAAGTTGGAGTTAGTTAGTCAAATCTTTTTTCCCTATCTCAGTTATAATTTTGCAGTGATGGTTTCATAACTTTAAATCATGACTATCACAGTTTTCATAAACAATCTAGGTAAACAAGGTAATTAGGTAAATGTAATGTGATACATACTTGTAGACAAATTTGTCATAATTTAGAATAGAAAGTTATATTAAATAATAGATATTTCACTATTTAGGTATTTTCCAATGAAAGTATATTGTAGGAAAACATTCTTGCTAAAAAAAAAAAGGTGTGTCCTTTTTAAAAAAAGGTGAACAAGTTTTATCTAATTTAAAGCTTATTTAAAGGTTATATATAAAACGAGGTAAAAGAACCAGAAAATAAGAGAGATGTAAAGAAAGTTATAAAAATAAAGAGGTATTTTTTGTGTTAAGAAAGCTTAAAGAGAAATAATTTTATATGAGAAAGAATCTTGTATGTTAAGTTTAGTCCTAAAATAAAATGACTGATTAAGAAAGAGCATGTTCAGGACAAAAGACAAAGTCCAGGCATGTGATGAATGCTCTGTATAAGTCATAGTAAGAGGATTTTTTTTTTAAAAAAAAACAAAAATTTGTATATGATCAAGTTGTTTATAAGTAATGGGAAATTATATTGCTCTTCCTAGAGATTGGGCTTGATGTAAAAAAAAACACTTACGCACTAAATTATTGGTTAGAACAATGAAATTTTCTTAAGGGGTTGATTTACTCTTAACAAATTATAATAGATTTTAATTTTTTTTACTGAAAATTCAGCTTTTATTGCATCTCACCATTTGTTGGCTTTTTCTCCCGTTTTAAAAGGCACGTTTTCCTAAAGGTCTAAGGAAACGTTTTCTTCCAACATAATGTTCTGTGCACTGCAGAAGGTCTTTTCTTTTGCCTTTTGGTAAATGACCTAACAGATTTAACATTTTATTGAAATAATTCCTATGCCATTATTGTTAAATTTGGTTTGCTTAGGAAAAGGATAATTTTTTTTTTTTGAGACAGAGTCTCACTCTGTTGCCCAGGCTAGAGTGCAGTGGCGCAATCTCGGCTCACTTCAACCTCCACCTCCTGGGTTCAAGTGATTCTTCTGCCTCAGCCTCCTGAGTAGCTGGGACTACAGGTGCACGCCATCATGCCTAGCTAATTTTTGTATTATTAGTAGAGATGGGGTTTCACCATATTGGCCAGGCTGGCCTTGAACTCCTGACCTCATGATCCGTCCCCCCTTGGCTTCCCAAAGTACTGGGATTACAGGCATGAGCCACCACACCCCGCTGATATTTAATTTTTTAAATTAAAGTTATTACATTTGTGTATCTTCCTGTATGTGCTTTTAAAGTTCTTGTGACATTGAGTTACAGGGCTTTGACTGCTGGGTCTGAAAAGGACACCAAGTCCTGCTCAATTTTTAAACATTGACAGCAATTAAAGCCCCATCTTTGGGCCCAGTAGAAGATGCCAATCAAAATCAACTGCATTCCTGAAACACAGGGACAGAAATTAAAGCTATTCAACTCCTCAAGGCCCATGGACTGTCTCGGTAGAGGAGGGTGCGTGAGATTGTAAGGGCTGATTTTAAAGATAAAATAAGTTCAATTTCTCTATAAATTAATCATTAATGTTGAAGGCACACTGAAGCAAGACCAGCATATGGGCCCCTGAGTCAAATTAACAAGGTTTTCTTGAAGTATTAACTGTCTCCTATATAAAGATTGTAAAGGTTATGAAAGGCTTATGGAAGTTGTATCTTATGATCAAGATTAAAATTTTATAATTTTTAAATAAAATTTTGAAAAACAAATTTACTTGGCTTCTTGTGCACCTGTCCAAGATTAAGCCCGTTTCTTATGAGTCCCCACAGGCACCTGAGAAGGACACCATGGCCTACACTTGTGAACCCTTATAATACCTAAAGCTGTTGTTTTAGAAATAAACAGATAATGGGGCCAGGCGCAGACTCACGCCTGTAATCCCAGCACTTTGGGAGGCCGAGGTGGGCGGATCACGAGTTCAGGAGATTGAGACCACGGTGAAACCCCGTCTCTACTAAAAATACAAAAAATTAGCTGGGCGCAGTGGCGGGCGCCTGTAGTCCCAGCTACTTGGGAAGCTGAGGCAGGAGAATGGCATGAACCCAGGAGGCGGAGCTTGCAGTGAGCCAAGATAGCACCACTGCACTCCAGCCTGGGTGACAGAGCGAGACTCCGTCTCAAAAAAAAAAAAGAAAAAGAAATAAACAGATAACTAACATCCTTAGTGCCTCCTACTCAGCCTCCTTAATAACTCCCATCCCATACAGGTTTGCACCCCCAGTAGATACCTATGGCCATGTGGTCACCTATTCAATCAGGTATAAATAACTTGTCTCTCATTTGGGATCATGAACCCAATGGTTACCAGTGTATCAATAACATCTGGTTCGGGGTCAATGTACAATAAGACAGGCAAAGCCCTGTAATATACAATTATATAACATCACTTACCTGAGAGCTAAGCGGGCAATTCGCCTTATATTGGCTGGGGTTGAGGCTGCCATTGGCTTACTGACCCCATAGGGAAAATTTGCCTATCATGAGGCAACTCTTCAAAACTTTACTTCTTCATTCTATGCACTGTCTCATAAAACAGGAGACACTTTAGATACATTAAAACTCTCCCTTGATTCCTTTGCAGATACAATAATGGATGATAGATTAGCATGAGATTAATTATTGCTTGAACAAAGGAAAATGTGCGCTATAATCAATAAAACCTGTCGCATTTATGTAAACACCTCAGGTCAAATAGAAGAAAATGCGCGTAAAATGTATGAGCAAGCTGCCCGGTTGCATAAATATAGCCAAGGCTCTGATCTCCACTGTATCTGGTCAACCATTGGAAGCAGCCTCCTGAGCTGCCCGGTTGCATAAATATAGCCAAGGCTCTGATCTCCACTGTATCTGGTCAACCATTGGAAGCAGCCTCCTGAGCTGCCCGGTTGCATAAATATAGCCAAGGCTCTGATCTCCACTGTATCTGCTCAACCATTGGAAGCAGCCTCCTGAGCTGCCCGGTTGCATAAATATAGCCAAGGCTCTGATCTCCACTGTATCTGGTCAACCATTGGAAGCAGCCTCCTGAGCTGCCCGGTTGCATAAATATAGCCAAGGCTCTGATCTCCACTGTATCTGCTCAACCATTGGAAGCAGCCTCCTGAGCTGCCCGGTTGCATAAATATAGCCAAGGCTCTGATCTCCACTGTATCTGGTCAACCATTGGAAGCAGCCTCCTGAGCCTCACTTGCTTCTGCCCTTCCTAGGACCTTTTGTTAGCTATCTTGTTATTACTAATTGTCAGTCCTTGCTTGTTTATCTTCTTGGTAAACTTTGTGTCTTCTAGATTACAATAGGAAACGTCCCAACGGCTATGAAATGCTGGCAGGTATTATGCTAGGGTTTAGGGATTTGAGTTCTGCACTTTTTTCTTTTTTGTTTTTCTATCATTTCTAAAGATGAGGCGAAGTGGGAAGACAGGGAGGTGCAGGTTCTAGTCCAGATGGAGCCGTGGGGCCCTGAGTGAATAGGCAACCTCTGGAGCCTGAGTGCACCAGGGCTGCGACCTGCACTGTTGGTGCAGGTGGCCCTCCCTGGCTGGTCCTTGCCCTTGGAGAGGTCAGCCGTCTGTCCTTTGAGGAGGCAGCAGGACAGGGAGGACCTCTGTCCCCCATGTGCCACGTGGCCAGAGCAGGTTCCTGCCCCATCCTCATGGTGTGAGGGAGGGGCAGGGCGGGGCATCCTCACAGGCCCTTAGCTCAGAGGCCCCGTGACCTGAGGGACAGCTCAGGAGGTCAAAGGGGGCCACAGGTTTCAGGCTGGCCCTGGCATCGAGAGTCCAGAGAGGCCTCCCGCATCCTTGCCCTTCTTCTCCTCACCTGGTCCAAGGTATTCCAATGCGAGGAATTCTGGGGAACAGGGTGTGAGGGTCCTGTCTTGCTCTGTTCTGGACACCCCCAGCCCGATGTGGATGGGCCCTAGCCCTGGAGCACGCTGCCTTGTGTCTCTGAACCTAAGCCCCAGGGAGAAGGACCCCCTTCCACCAGGGGGTAGGGGCTGCTGTGTGGGCACTGGAGTGGGCTGAGTCCTGTTCAGTGAGGACAGCCGCTCTTATCACTGAGGCACCTGCCTCTGCACTGCAGGCCTCCAGACCACCTCCCTGGCCATCTCAGCATTCTGGATCCTTTTTCCTTGCTTTCCTTTTTTTCTCCCAGTTTTTATCACCAGGGTGACCAGGAGCAACTGAAACAGCAGTGGAACATACCATACCAAGGGTTAGATAACTGTGTGCTAAGTGGATGGAGCCAGGCAGGGCACCAGCCTCCCTCACTCAGCGTCCTTGATGCTCCCCAGAGCAGGTCAGCAAGCCCGGGCCGGCAGCTTCAGGAGACACAGTGTGGCCAGAAGCACCTGCCTGAGCCTCAGGCCCCAGTTCCTGCACCTGAGCCCTGAGGGGTGGAGAGTTCTGTGCGGGCTCCCAGGTCTGCAGGGCCCTCCCAGAAAACAATGGCCTAGCCCTCAACTCTGGACTCAGGCCCTGGGCCAAGGCAGGTCTGAGTGTGCCTTGGGCCTGGGAGGGTGGGTAGGTGTTGGGCAGAGCTCACCATGGAAGCCCAGAGCTCACCATGGAAGCCGGGCAGGCTGGGCTGGGTGTAGGCGAGGCGGGGAGGGTGTGACCAGTGCCCAGGGTCACTCAGATGCTGGCCTGGGGAGCTGCACCCTGCTGACAATGCCACCCTGGGCCCCCAGTGTTCAGGAGGGAGGTCTCCCCGTGAAGTCACATGTCAGACGGGAGGCCTGGCTCTTTCCAGCACAGCTCTGCCCACTGTCTGCTCCATGACCCACCCTCAGAGCTCCAGGCCAGGGTTCCAATCCTGGCTCGGTATGGGATGTGGGCAACAGACCCGTTCCCTTTCCTGAGCCTCTGTCTCCTCTTCTCTGAAACCGCCCCCCGAGCCCCACCCCTAACACCCTTGGAGGCCTCACCCTGAGCAGGTCCCCACCCAGGTCACAGGCTGCACCCCTAGCCCTAGGGCGGGAAGCAGGCTGTGTGCAAAAGGCTTCCCCTGAGCGCAGAAGGCAAGTGTGGATGGTGTCCTCCCACTCAGGGGCCTGGGGATGCTCACGGGGCACAGATTCTCCCAGAAAGAAGCCTCTGGAGGTGTAATGGGCACCCCAGAGAGGGAAGGCGCTGGGGTTCAGGGTTGGGGGAGGCCACCTGTCACCGGGGACCCTGCTGTAGTGTTTGAATGCTGTATGGTGGGTGTGCAGCTCTAAAACAAATTTTGAAAAATGGGGGTGCTCAAATCAGGCCAAGGGGATGGGTAGGAGCTTGAATGGTAGCAGTCCCTCCCCCCGGAACGCTCTCCTTCCTGTGAACTTTCTGGGTCCATCCTCCCAGCAAGGAGGGGTCATAGATGAGTCGCAAGGCTCAGAGAGGTCTGGCCACATGCTCCAGGCAGCACAGCAAGTGCAAGTCCTGGGAACTGCCCTCCCACCCTCTGCAGGGACGTCCTCCTTTCAGGGGCCAAGCTTTGCTCCTGTTAGGGCGGAGGCTGCAGCCCATGTGACCAGGGCCCTGGTCCAGACACAGCCCTGGATCCGGTGCCCGCCTGGGGTGTGCAAGGACAGAGGGTCTCTCTGGCTTATCCAACAGGTGTTTATTAAGGGCCTACGCTGTGCTGAGGCTGCCATTCAGGGAGCCCCACGAATGTGAGGCCTGGCCCCTTCCTCCAGGCCTCCAGGCCCCATCTCTGGAGACTCCCAGGAACTCACGTCGACTCCTGTCCTCCAGTTCTACTCAGTCCACTTCATCTCAGCCTTTACCGGGCCCTCCTGAGTGCCTGTCCCCTGCTGGGTGCGGGGGACACCACGGACCAGACCTGGCTCAAGTCATAGATGGGGTGGGCAGGGAAGGCTTCCTGGGGGAAGAGGTGCCTGAGCACAGGGTTAAGGGTGGAGAATGCTGGGCCATGGAAACAGCAGCAGAGAGGGTTGGAGGGGCCATCTGCAGGCGGATCTGTGTCAATAGAGCCGATCTGCCGGGTGGGAGTCCTGGAGAGGGCCATGGGAGGGTCAGGGTGGGGGACAGGGGCGCAGACATACATGGTCAGACTTGCGTTAGGATGTGCCTCAGGAACCAGGACAGGCTCCCACTGGGCCGGGTGTGTGAGGAGTGGCACAGAGGCCTGGGGCACCACACCCAGTGTGGGCTGCAGCGGGGCCCCCCAGAGCCTAGAGCTGGCCGGGTCCCCAGAGCAGCAGGCCGAGTGCAGGGAGCAGCGCAAGGATGGCAGCAGCCGGCTGCAGGGCATGGGCCCCGCTGGCGTTGCACAAGTCGGTGTCACAGCACGTGATGTTCTTCTTGCCCACGTAGTAGTCCTGTGAGTCATCCACGCAGTTCAAGCTGCAGCCTTTGCTGATGACGGTCAGGAGGCCAACTGCGCCTGGGGAGCAGCGGGATCCGGGGATGGGGCTGCCCTGTGTGCTCACCTGCCTGACCTGCCCCAGGCCTCCTCCTGTCCCACCCTGCCTAATGCTCTAGAGTCCCCCTGGGCTGGCCTCAGGATTGCAAGCAGTGCGAGGGCCTGGTCTCGGCCCTGGTCTCAGCCCTATCCAGATGTCCGAGGCAGATGGACCACCCGCTGAGCGTCAGAAATGGGGTGAGTGAGTAAGTGAGCTCAGGGATGGGGAGGGACAGATGGGTGGAGGAGTGGAAGATGGAGGATGGGGAGGGACAGATGAGTGGAGGAGTGGCAGATGGAGGAGGATGGCTGGAGGGACAGATGCTGGGTGATTGTTGGGGGTGCAGGTGCGGGACGGGTCGGGGACAGGTGGAAGGAAAACAGCACACAGATGCGGACAGATGGCCAGAAAGATTAATAGTTCAGTGGCAGAGACCTAGGCCTGGCGGCTGTCGTCCCCCCACTCACGGATGCGCGCGGTCCAGCACTGCTCCCCCAGCTGGGTGCAGTTCTCCACCTGCAGGCAGTCCTCGTTGCTCACCTGGGCTTTGCAGGAGTAGCACAGCAGGGCAGTGCCTGTGGGGTGGAGTGGGAGGGGCCTCAGAGGCTGCCCCATAGCACTCCCCAGGAATGGGGGCTCCCAGGCAGGTGGGCCTCCATGGCGGTGGCCTGAGGAAGTCCTCGGCGCCCTCTTGTCACCCTCAATGTCTCCTCCCCATCTTCACGGCCCCCTGCTCAGTGCCTCCGAAATGTTGCCCTGTTTAGTCCCTCGGTGGCTGCTTTTGTGACCGTGTGTTTCAGAAGAGGAAGCTGCGGCTGTGGGGGTGACTGAACCCGGGACCCTGGGTCGGGAGGGTCCCACCTCAAGCAGAGCAGCTCCCTGGGACCCTTGGAAGCTGCAGTGCTGGGACTGGGCCGGATGTAGACCCCCGGGTCCTCGCAGGACACCCCCAGCACCTCCCCCTTGTGCCCCAAAAACCACTTCTTAGCCTGAGGCTTCCTGTCCCATGTCTCCCAGCTCCTCATCAGCATCTCTGCCCATCCATCCGTCAGTCTGTCTACCTGCCCCCTAGGAGCCAGGCCCTGCCCCACGGTGGTGAAGGAGAGTGACTCCGTGCTGCCCCTGCAAGCCCCGGTCACAGGGGACGGCAGGGAACAGGTCGCTGCCTGGTCGTGCCAAGAGCTTCCCTGGAGGAGCGGAGGCTAGGGCAAGAGCCTCACCCCCTTCCTCTCCCTTCCTCCTTCCTTCCCCTCCTCTCCGTGTGCCCTGCAGGTATCCCTCTGGCCTCCCCGGCTCACCCCTGCTCCCTTCCCTGCTGGGGGCCAGCCAAGGCCTCACCTGGCTGCAGGGCCAAGCCTGCCATCAACAGGGCAAGCAGCACAGCCTTCGTGGTCACTGGTGGGCTGTGGTGGAGAGGGCCTCAGGTGACTTTATATGGCCTCAAATGGGGAGAGGCTGGACTGCCCACAGTCAACACCAGCGGGTTTCCTGGAGCCAGTGAGGGCCCCGGGGCTGGGCAGGTCCGAGTCTCCTCCCTGAGCGACCTGCACCTCCCTCTCCCTTTGTCCTTCTTTCCACCTCTGGAGGACAGAGCCTACCCAGGGCCATATCTCAGCCACCCCGGGCTGAGGGCTGAAACGTCCTCAAGACCCAGATTATGCCTCTCCCACCTCCCCCACCTCACAGTGCAAGGCCAGACAAGGGAGACCCTTTCTCCAGACTCCTCCAGGCCTCGGCCTTCCAGCCAAGGATGAGGGCACCTCCCTGGGCCCTGTGCTCCTATAGAAGCTGTGCCGCCCTCTGGGGCCCACGGCCCGCAGGGTGATGAGCCTTGGTCACAGCGTCACTGACAGATCATTAGCAGGTGCTGCAAAGGACAGGGGCAGGGGCTGTTCCGGTATAAACCAAAAGTAACATTCTAAGGCCCCCCAGCCATCTGAGTGGAACCCTCCTCTTGGCAAGGGCTTTCCGAAGTTAACCTGAAAAACTGGTTCAGGCCATGACAGCAAAGGGTTGGATAGCCTCATTATCCCTCCTCCCTTCAGAACTCTGGAACAGCCAGCGTTAACATCAACACAGGCCTTCAGTCTGATGAGAAACATTTACCATCTATTGTCTCGGAAGCCTGCTACCTGGAGGCTTCATCTGATGATAAAGCCTTGGTCTCCACAACCCCGTATAACCCAGACATTCCTTTCTATTGATAACTCTTGCAAGCGATTGCCAACCAGAAGATGTTTAAATCCACCTATAACCTGGAAGCCCCCAGTTCCAGCTGCCCACCTTTCTGGACTAAACCAATGTATATCTTCAATATATTTGATTGATGTCTCATGTCTCCCTAAAATGGGTACCATCAAGCTGTGCACTGACCACCTTGGGCACATGTTCTCAGGGTCTCCTGGGGGCTGTGTCACAGGCCATGGTCCCTCATATTTGGCTCAGAATAAATGTCTTCAAATATTTTACAGAGTTTGGCTCTTGTTGACACAGGGGACAGCCTCCCTGGGGAGGAGACCCTGTTGGACGGGCCTTCATTTATGGGGCATTCAGTGTGGGCTGAGCCCTGGGCTAGGTGCTTTACCCTCAGGACCTTGAGTGACCCCCTCAGCTTGGAACTTTAGCTGCAAACGAGTCGGGGAAGTGCAGCTTTTAGCAGCCTCTGCAGTAGCAGGAGGCAGCGGCTAGGCCCAGGGCTGTATGGCCTCTGTTTGCCCCAGATCCCCTCTCCGTCCTGCTCCATGTCCTGGGAGGCTGGTCCAGCTCCCACAGGCAGGAGATGAGAGAGTGGAAGAGGCAAGTTCAGGCCAGCTCTCCTGCCAGTCAGCTGGGAGGTGGTGGCAGTGGCTATGGCCCTCTAGAGCAGGCCCAGCCCGCTGGGCGGTGGTGGCAGTGGCTATGGCCCTCTAGAGCAGGCCCAAGCTCTCATGCCAGTCAGCTGGGCGGTGGGTGGTGGCAGCGGCTATGGCCCTCTAGAGCAGGCCCAGGCTCTCATGCCAGCTGGCTAAGTGTTGGTGGCAGTAGCTATGGTCCTCTAGTACAGGCCTAGGCTCTCCTGCCAGCCGGCTGAGTGTTGGTGGCAGTAGCTATGGTCCTCTAGAGCAGGCCCAGGCTCTCCTGCCAGCCAGCTGGGTGGTGGTAGCAGTGGCTAGGACCCTCTAGAGCAGGCCCAAGCTCTGCTGCCAGTGGCTGGGTGGTGGTGGCAGTGGCTATGGCCCTCTAGAGCAGGCCCAGGCTCTCCTGCCAGTGGCTGGGTGGTGGTGGCAGTGGCTATGGCCCTCTAGAGAAGGCCCAGGTCCCGTCAGCCAGGCTTCTCCTGTCCCCCGGGTTCTGGCCAGCCTCTGGTCACTGTGCTCTCCCCCTCATCCCTGCAAGCCCGAGGGGCTGGTGGCTTCCTGCTGCTGGCTGGCTTTGAGGGGGACTTGTGGCCGCTGCTGTCTCCTTCAACCTGACCCCTGCCTTTGTACATGGACCCTGAGTTAGATAACTCTGCCTGGCAACCCTCTTGGGTATGCTGTTGTTCCTGCCGGAAGCTGGTAGGTCCACTGTGGTCCGTGGCCCTGCCTGCTGCCGAGTGTGTGTCTGGAGGGAGACCGGCCCCTTCTCCCCTGACGCTCTCTCGTCCCCGCTGATGGTTGTCCGGCCTTCATTGTTACCTCCTCTCCTCGATTTTGCCCCTGAAAAGGCTCTGGCACATTTTAGGGGGTGGTGAGGATGTTGCAGTCAGGAAAAGTCTCGGGGAATCGGACCCTCTCCCAGCAGGTCTGCACCGTCCAGGAAGGCCTGCACCGTCCAGGAAGGCTGGTAGATGTTTCTGGGGTGTTCAGGGGACATCAGCTTCCCACTGTCTCACCTTGAGTCTGGGATCAAGGTGACACTACTGATGGGGGCAGGGACGATGCAAGACCCGACCTCCCTGGGACTCAGTGGCACCAGGAATCTGCCTTTGGGCTTCCCCCGGGGCTCCAGGTCAGCCCCTGTCCTTCTGAGGTCTCTCCTGCCTGCCTCCCTGGAACCCACTGGGTTGGGCTCTTTTCCATGGAAATTGTCTCTTCTCTGGCAAGTGAGGAGCCTGAGCCCAAGAGGGACAGGAACTTACTGGAGGCCATGCAGGGTGACTGCAGCCTCCCCCAGACTCCTTGCTTGCCCACTCTGCCCACCCAGAACTTTCCCTCTGGACACGCCCTCCAGCCCATGTCCTGTAAGCTCAGGACAAGGGGCCTCATACAGTCATGAACTGCTTCCGTGTGTGGCTGACAGCCCCTGTCCCATCCTCCCTCCGCCCCCCGCCCCAGCTCGCCCGGACTCTGGCCACTCCCGCACAAGACGTTTTCTTATCTGTCTCTGTGTTCAAGGTGCCAGCCTGGAACTTTCCGTCCTCAAATATTTATAGGTGTGTAAGTGTTTGTTGATCTGATTTGATACACAGTGATTGCTGTAAGGCAGTGGTTCTCACGTGGGTGACTCTGCACCGCCAGGGAATGTTTGGTGATGTCTGGAGGCATCTCTGCTTATTCCAGCTCAGGGGTGCTGCTGGCCTCTAGTGGGTGCAGGCCAAGGAGGGGGCAACACACAGGATCCCCACCACAGAATCCGCAGCCCCAGCATCCGCCGCACTGAGGGTGTGGCTGGTCTGAGGATGGCCCCGTGGTCATGGCTCCTATACGGAAGACCATGGCTGTGACATTCCTAGAGCCCCACCCCTGACCACAGGTTGGGTTCTGACCTCACCCCAAAACTGAGCCCTCACTGTGGTCAGTCTGAACTCTAATCCTGGTTACCTAACGAGCCCTGGTTACGGCCCCACCCTGAGCCCTGGCCCTGGCCACTGGCTGAGCCCTGATCCTGGTCACAGAATGAACCCTGACTGTGGTCACCCTCTGATTTTTGACCCTGGTCACAGGCGAATCCCTGTCCCCTGTCATTCACACTTTGGCCATACACTGAATGCAGCCCCTGAGCCTAAACTGAGCCTGGATCTTCTGGCAGTTCTCCTTTCTGGGAAGTTCTGCCACAAGGGGCATGGCTTCCTGCAGATCCTCATCCGGTGGACAGGGGCTGAGAGGCTGATGTGAGTGATAATAAAACTCCAGTCTCCCGGTCAGCTGGCTCTGTGTGAATTAAACTCTTTCTCTATTGTGATTCCCCTGTCTTGATAAATCGGCTGTATCTTGCCAGGGGTCAAAATGAACCCCCTGGGTGATCACACACTAGTGTATTTTCTTCCTTCTCTTCCTCTCTTTCTGATCCCTCCCCAGTGCCAGAATGGACTTGGTCTTTGAGAAGAGATCCAAGGTTCCCTGAGTAATGGTAGGAGCACCTGGGGGAGCCCCATGCATCTTGGGGATCAGGCCCCAGTTCCGACCCCAGTTCCATGCCAATCTCCACTCCCCACCAGCAGCACCCAAGTCCTGGGAGACCAAGTGATCCCGTCCCTGAGGTGGTAAGCAGTCACACCAGGGATGGAACCAGCCTTCCTGTCCCAGGAGACCCTGCCTTGGGAACCCCCATCCAGCGGCCCTGGGTTCTAGTCCCACCATGTGCCTGGTATGCCCCATGACTAAGCGTCCTCCACTGTGAAACATCTGACTCTAGCATGCTCAAATTCCTGACCCACAGAATCATGTACAATAACAACAGTTAGTGTGGCTTCAGTGTGACTCACCCTTGGCCTCCTTCCTCTTCTCTGCCAGTTGCCTCCAGGGACTCCAGATTTTCCTGTTTGCTCTTGGCCTTCTGCCCACCCACCCCACTGCCATGGGCCCAAAGCAGCCGGGTTCCCTGGAGATCCTGTCTTCCACCTAGTGCAGGGCATGAGGCCGGGGCCAGGACAGCCGGACCAGGCCCTGGGGCTTCTGGGAGCTGACTCACCTTGCAGGGAGTCCCACCACCACCTTCTGGGGCCCCACACGGTCCCATGCTGGAACACACATCCCTGTGTGTAATTTTTTTTATTTCATGCAGCATTAATTAAAAAAATAAAGATAGCATGTCACTTGCAAAGCCACGCTGGTGTCAGTTTTTAGCATCTTTGCTTTGGAAAAACGCCCTTGCAGATCAGGAGGAAAACCCACTGATGCACATGGGTTGGCTGGGGGCACTCAGTGCCAAGCCCCCATTTGGGTTCTGGAAATTAAGGCCATGACTTGCAAGCTGTGTGTGTGTGATATGTGACTGTGAGGGTTTGTATGTGCCAACTATGTGGGCATGGGAGTGTGCCACATAGTGTGTGTGAGAGTGTGAGAGAGGATGCTTGTCTGTGCATGTGGATCAAATGTGCAAATGTGTGGCATGTGTGTAAATGCAAGTGAGTGTGGGTGTGTGCACCGGTTGTGTGTTGTGTAAGCAAAAGCATGTGTGTAAATGTGGGTGTGTTGGGGCCACCAAGTCCTGAGGGCTGTGCAGCTTGGAGCCCCTCAGAGGCGTTCTTCCCCAAGCCCACCCAGCTGGGGCCCACAGGCCCTCCCCATCTCTAACTCCCCCAGGGCCCTGTGTTCCCAGAGGAGGTGCCTTTTCCTGGCTCTCACAAAGGCGTCATCAGGGCCCTGCCCCAAACCAGCTCCCCTCCTGCCTGGGCACTAAGGTGGAGATGGGCACTGCCCCAGCCCCTGCCCCACCAGCCAGGCCCCTTGGCCTCCAATGACCCTCAGAACCACCCCCACCACTCTGCACCCTCTGCTCCTGCCACTCCCCCTTCCTGGAGTGAACTCAGACTGGGGAGGAGACCCAAGGCACACCCTTCCCTTCCAGCTGGGCACAGCCTCACCAGCACCCCCAGCCACCCCTGCTATGAGAGGCCTGTCATCCAGAGACCTCCAGAAGGAGGGCTGGCTGGGACTGCCCCAACCTGAGGCCTCCGGCACCTGAGCAAAGGACACTGCCGGATACAAGCCCACCTCCAGGCAGAGGGAATAGCAGGCACGGGGGATGACCCATGGGCTTCGGAGAGGACAGTGAGGGGTTAGCTCCGGCGTGGCCTTGTGGCCCAGCGAGGACCTGAGCTGTATTCAGAGTGCACAGGCTTATTTGGGCAGGGGGAGTGACTGGCCCTGTCAAATGCCACTCTGACTGTGGGTGGAGATGGGGAAGCCAGTGCAGAAGCAGGCTGCTGTAGTGGCCCAGGCATGGTCTGGAGGCTCCGCTCAGTAGGGAAGCAGGCTGGTGCAGTGGCCCAGGCATAGTCTGGGGGCTCTGCTCTGCGAACTTGGGGCATGGCTGGGGGAAGGGAGTCCTCAGAGCCAGCCCCCAGGAGACACTGGAAACTGCCTTTGTAAAAGTTTTAACAGTGAGAAAATGGTGATGGTGAAGGAGATCTGATCTAACCCACAGCCAGTTAATCTCCAAACTGCCCTTAGTCATTTCTGGGCATAACAGCCCTTTTCCAAAACTCAGCCATCTTTGTAAAGCTAACGAAAGGCCACCACTGCATGAGGAAGATGAGGGGATCTGCGCTCTGCTGAGGTTAGACTGAAATGATTCCCAGCCGTTATTCATTAGGAAGATGGGGGATCTGAGCTCTGCTGAGGTTAGACTGAAACGATTCCCAGCCGTTATTCATTAGGAAGATGAGGGGAGTCTGAGCTCTGCTGAGGTTAGACTGAAACGATTCCCAGCCGTTATTCATTAGGAAGATGGGGGATCTGAGCTCTGCTGAGGTTAGACTGAAACGATTCCCAGCCGTTATTCATTAGGAAGATGGGGGATCTGAGCTCTGCAGAGGTTAGACTGAAACGATTCCCAGCCGTTATTCATTAGGAAGATGGGGGATCTGAGCTCTGCTGAGGTTAGACTGAAACGATTCCCAGCCGTTATTCATTAGGAAGATGAGGGGATCTGAGCTCTGCTGAGGTTAGACTGAAACGATTCCCAGCCGTTATTCATTAGGAAGATGGGTGATCTGCGCTCTGCTGAGGTTAGACTGAAACGATTCCCAGCCGTTATTCATTAGGAAGATGAGGGGATCTGAGCTCTGCTGAGGTTAGACTGAAACGACTCCCAGCCGTTATTCCAGGGACCACAAGATTTGCAACTCCCCCAATTACTCCTGCAAGTAACATCACTATTGTGATCCTAAGATTGGCCTTGTGAGATGTCGTTTCAGGTTTTTGCACGTCTAATGACTGATGGATGGCTCTAGCGAGGCCCACCAACCCCGCAGCCGGTCCTGTGGCCCCACCTGGACGCAAACTCAGTGCACAGGAGGACCATTTTCCACATCCCCAGCCAACCAGCAGCACCCATTCCCTGGCCCACCAGACTCTCCTTGAAAAACCCTAGCGTCCGAATTTTCTGAGAGGCTGATTTGAGTGATGATAAAACTCTGGTCTCCCGTTCAGCTGGCTCTGCATGAATTAAACTCTTTCTCTATGGCAATTCCCCTGTCTTGCTAAATCAGCTCTATCTTGCCAGGGGTCAAAATGAACCCACTGGGTGATTACACGCTAGTGTATTTTCTTCCTCTCTTTCTGACCCCTCCCAGTGTCAGAATGGACTTGGTCCTCGAGAAGAGGCCCAAGGTTCCGTGAGTAATGGTAGGAGCACCTGGAGGAGCCCCATGCATCTTGGGATGAGGCCCCAGTTTCATGCCAATCCCCACTGCCCACCAGCACTGTCCAAGTCCTGGGAGACCACGTGATCCCATGTCCCTGAGGTGGCAGTTAAAAATAGGAGTTAAAAATAAATTATTTAGGCAGATAGTGAGGGTAAGGAAGTCCTCAGTAAGGTTTTCCTTTTAATGAAAAGCAGGCTCCAAATCATTTTCTTTTCTAACAAAGAGCAGCCTGTAAAATCGAGCCGCAAACATAAGACAAGCAAGCTGGAAGCTTGCACGCGTGAATGCCAGCAGTTGTGCCAATGGGAAAAAGCTACCTGAGACTAGGCATGATCAAAATGGCAGCTCCATCTTCCCTTCTCTTTGCCAGCCATGTGTACAGCAAGGAGCAGACAAGATGGTGCTGGCCAAGTAGAAGCCCATTTGCATAATAAGATTAGGGTGGGGCGACCAGCCTTCCCCACGCCATATGTAAACATCACCCTTGGTCATACCAATCTGTGGGCCCTTTGTAAATCAGACACTGCCTCCTCAAGCCTGCCTATAAAATCTGCTGGGGTCTGCTGCAGGCTGGCTTTTCTCTTTTGGACGCCTCTTTCGAAAGAGAGGGCTGCTCTCTTCTCTCCTTTCTTCTGTCTATTAAACTTTCTGCTCCTTAACCCATCTACATGAGTCCATGTCCTTAATCTTCTTGGTGTGAGACAATGAACCCCAGGTATTTACCCCAATGATGCTGCTTCAGCAGCAGAGTCGCACCAGGGATGGAGCCAGCCTTCCGGGGGAGGGAGGACTTTGCTGTCCCAGGAGACCCTGCCATGGGAGCCCCAGTCCAGGGACCTTGGGTTCCAGTCCTGCCATGTGCCTGGTATGCTCCGTGACTCAGCCTCCTCTGTGAAACACATCTGACTCTAGCATGGCCAAATTCCTGCCCCACAGAATCATCTGCAATAAAAACAGTTGGTTTCAAGCTGCTAAGTTTTGGGCGGTTTTTGATGCAGCAGTTGATAGCTGTATGGGGGTAAGGGCAGAAACAGAGACTGGGGAGGAGGCAAGACCACAGAGGTGTGGATTGGGGAGGGCAGTTGGAGGGAGTGAGAAGAGGCCAAACACTGGCTGGATTTTGAGGGTAGAGGATCTGGATATGAGGGATGGAGACTGTTGAGGCTGAGCCTGAGTGAATAGCAAGGTGAGCTGCCGTTCATGAAGGTGGGGGCAATGCAGATGGAGCAAGGCTGGGCTGGAGGATCAAAGCTAAGCAGAGACATTGGCTAGCACATAGGAGTCTGGATTTCTGGGGAGGGGCCCTGGCAGGAGACATGAATTTGGTCGTTGCCAGTGTTGGATGGTATTTAACGGCATGACACTGGAGGAGATCACCCAGGGAGTGGGGACTGGTTGAACAAAAAGAGCCAAAGAATGGCCTGGTCAGTAAGGAACCAGCAAGGGAGGGTGAGGAAGAGAAGAACCAGAGGGTGGGAGGGTGCTGGGAGCCCAGGTAACAACGGACCTAAGGATGAGTGAGCTGGCACATGGGCTCGTGCCTGGAATCCCAGCATTTTGGGATCGCTTGAGTCCACGAGCTCGAGACCAGCCTAGGCAACACAGCTAGACCTCGTTTCCACAAAAAATTAAAAAGATAGGTGAGACAGTGCATGCTTGTAGTCCCAGCTACTCTGGGGGTTGAGGCAGGAGGATCCCTTGAGCCCAGGAGGTTGAAGCTGCGGTGAGGAGAATGTACCACTGCACTCCAGCCTGGGCAACAGAGTGAGACCCTACCTCAAAAAAGGAAAAAGGAGGAGTGAGCTACCCAAATCTGTATTTGTTTATTATTGCTGTCCTAACAAATTACCATAAACGTGGTGATCCAAAACAATACAAATTTATATCTTACAGCTCTGGGTTCAGAAGTCTAATGGCACAATGAGTGTCATGGGCTAAGATCAAGGGGTCAGCAGGCTGCATTCCTTCTGCTGGCTCCAGGAGAGGCCCTGTTTCCTTGTCTCTCCCAGCCACTAGAAGCCGCTCATAGTCCTTGGCTTGTGGCCCCTTCCTCCATCTTCAAAGCACATCACTCCAACCCCTGTGTCTGTTGTCACATTTCCTTTTCTCTCCTCTTTCATCCCATTGTCCTCTCACTTGGCTTCCTAACTCCCACAAGAACCCCTGATATGGCACCTGCCCTCCTATCTGAACCCGTGGGCTCTGCATCCAGATGGAACCAACCGAGGATACAAACAATTCGGAAAAAAACCTGTGTCTGTACTGAACATGTACAAATTTTTCTCTTGTCACTATTCCCTAAACAATACTGTATAACAACTATCTACATAGCGCTTACATTGTATTAGGTATTATAAGTAATCTAGAAGTGACTTAACGTATACGGGAAGATGTGTGTAGGTTATATGCAAATACGAAGCCATTTTATGTAAGGGATTTGAGCATCAAGGATTTTAGCATCCTTGAGAAGTGCTGGAACCAATCCTCTATGGATACCCAGGGACGACTGCACATTGGGCTCACCCTGATAAACATAAGAATCTCTCCACCTAAAGAATCTTAACTTCATTGCATTTGCAGTCCCTTTTGCCATGTAAGTAATGTATTCACAAGACCTGGAAGTTAGGATGTGGACATCCTTGGAGGGCCATTATTCTGCCCACCACAGTCCACCCTCCAGTTTCCAAAATTTGCATAGGTCCCATGGGCAAAATCCACGCACCCATCTCAAGGTCCTCCACAGCCTCAACTCATTACAGCACCAACTCAGGTCCATACTCACTTAAGTCGCACCCAGTTCAAAAGTTTCAAATCCCATCGTCTGAATCATCTAAATTGGGTATGGATTGGACCCCAGCTAAGTAAGGGGGTCAAGCAGGCGGGCTGAGCACTGGTCCTGGTGACCGGAAGGCAGCACTGCCCTCCCCGCATCAGAAACTGCACCGGGAAGACCGTCCTGGGCTGATCGGCACGAAACCCTGGGCGCCTGTGGCTGCCCCAGAACTGCAGGAGCCCCAACGCCTTCAGCGCAGGGTTCACTGTCATGAAAGGAATGTGACGCCCTGCGCCCATTCTACAGATGGAGAGAGCAGGGCGGAGCCCGGGGCCCAGGCCGCGCGCCCCGCCTTCGCCCCGTTTCCCCTCTCCCCTCCCTGCCCGCGCCTTCTCCCCTCCCACGCCTCCCCCCACCCTGGGACCCCCCCACTCCTCTCCTCCAGGCCTCCTCTCCTCCCACGCCCTCCGCGGCCACCCAGCTCTTTGAAAGCCTGCGTCTGGCTCCCAGACACCACCGAGTGCTGAGTCCTCCAGCCTGTCTAGAGCGTCCCGGAAGTAGCTGGGGGAAGGCGACGAGGCGCGGACTGGAGGAGAACCGAGTGGCCGGCACTTCCGGCCGGCGGCGGCTGCTCCGGGTGAGCAGGGTGAGTAGGGTCCTGGCCTGAGGCGCTGGGCGGCCGGGCCGGGCCGGATGGGTGCGGGCGCTCTCCGGTCCCTGGTGGGCGCGGGCGGCGCGGGCGGGAGCCGCAGTCTGGGCAGGCGGGCGCGCGGGGCGGGGCGGGGTTGGTCGCGAGGCTGCGGGGCCGGACCCAGCCGCGGGCGGCAGCGCCCCCTCCCGGGAGCCGCGCTCGGAACCCGAAGCCCTGTGCTTCCCGCGCGACCCCCGCGGCCTGAGCGCGCGGCCCCCGAGCCGCACCCACCCCTTGCCGCCAGGCCTGGCCTTGACGCCCCAGCCCGGACCCTTCCTGCGCTTCCACTCTCAGAGAGGCTTGGTCACGAGGTCCGCTTGCCCTTAAAAAACCAGACCGAGACTTTTTTTTCTCCATTTCTGTTTTTGTTCTTGTTCTTGTCCCAGACTGAATTTCTACCCACAAACGGGGACCCTGGGGTACGGACGCTTTTTAAGCGAGCCTCGCCAGTAGCCCAGCGCTGTCTCTGCGCCAGGATCCCCCAGCGTGGAGGGCTCCTAGCGGAACTCGGCGCCGGCTCTCGGGCGCTCTCTGCGGGGCGCACGGCCCCAGGCTTTCTGTCCCCTCCTTCTCTGTCCCATACTCTCCTTCTGACCCCCAGCTCACCTCTTCCCCCAGCTCCAGAATGCGACTTGTTTTTTGAGTATTTCTCCTTCATATCCTCCATACCCCCCAACACACACACGCACACACACACACACACACACACACACACACACACACTATGCCCCTGCGAAGGTTGTTTCCCGCTTTCCCCCCGCGTTTCTCAGGGCCTCTTAGCCTCACACAGGACGGAGTCAGCCCCAGCGCTGGCCCCTCAGGCCTCCCGTTTCTTGTCTGTGCCTTGGGCACAGGAGAATTGCACGTTTCATCCCGTGTTCACGTGGCCTTGGGGATCAGTGCTTCCTCTCCAGTCGCAAGGCAAGAAACCACCCTAATTTCGGGGAGACAGGGAATCCCACAGTAGCTTGTGAGGGGCTGACTGGGGACTGGGATGCCGGGAAAAGCGTCCTGGAGGAGACTCAGCACCAGACACGGGCTCCTTGTGGACACGTCTCCATGCCTGACGTGCAGGTGTGGCAGGATGACACAAACTGGCAGAACACACTGTTGTCCCACTTGCAAGACCAAAAACTTCCTTTAAAAATAAAATTCAGATATTCCTTATGAAACAAGTTCAGCCACTTTGTGTCATCCTGCTACACCTGCATGTCAGGCATGGAGACGTGTCCGCGAGGAGCTGTGTCTGGTGTTGAGTCTCCTCCAGGAAGCTTTTCTCTGCATCCCAGTCCCCAGTTAGTCCCTCATAAGCTACTGTGGGATTCCGTGTCTCCCCCAGTTTTTCTACAGCGGGTTCATATTAAAAATCTGGAGGGTGGTTTGTGGCCTTGCCTTCCCTCCTGTTCCCCATGGTGAGATGCACATAGCTCACTGTGCTGTGCCAGACCGCACACACGTCACACCGTCACCCTCAGCGAACAATGCAGGATCCTTAAGGGACCAGCCCACATTTTGCAGACCAGGAAACTGACTCCGGAAGAGGACAGTACTCACCCAGAGGTGGCAGCCAACAAGCCTATAATTTTTCTTTGGAGCTTTTGCTGCATTTGATTGCACTCCTCCTTTCCCTTGAGCTCTGGCCTCAAAGGGCTGCGTTTCTGCGCTCCACATGTAAGTAGGCCTTTGGCCACACGCTCTGCATGGAGTTGGCAGAAGCAGCTATGGTAAGGACGCGGGAGGGAGGTGGGAACTCCAGGAGTCCATCCTCAAGTACTGCTGGCCTGCGGAGGAGTGAGGGCAGGGAGACCCCTGCCCATAGCACGCACGCCACACTGAGGCGGCCAGCTGAGCTGCCCGGTGTTTGGGCAAACAGCTTTTCAGCCCTCACCACCCTCAGCAGTGTCTTAACTGGGTGAAGTGCATTGCAGGCCCTGACTCCATAGGCTGCCCTGGCCTCACAGGGGTGCGCCCTCTGTGCCCTGCCAGTCGGCTCGGGTGTAGGGAGGGTTGTGGGGTGTTTCGCAGAGTTGTTATGAGAGGGTGAAATTGTCCACCTAGAAGGGATGAGAATGACCCGCATTGTCTTTATATAGGAGAAGGGTGAGAAGTTAGTTCAAAACTCCAACAGAAAGATGTGTTTGGTTAGAGCTGTGACATTTCTATGTCATTTTTCTTCCTATTGGTCAAAGGTGTGTGTGAAACTTAAAAGCAAGCTTTTCGTAGGGTGCACAGCTGGCCCAGGAAGAACCCTTGCTCCCAGGGGGCTATCAGGTTTCCTGGCATTTGCTTCTGGCGTAAATTAGTCATTTGTTCATAGAGCCTCCCAAATTAGCAAATGCTAAAGAAGTTCCTGCTCTGGGCTAGCTTGTTCCTGTGTCCTCTGAGCGTGTATGTGTGAGTGAGGTTGGGTGGCTGTGTGTGTGTGTGTGTGTGTGTGTGTGTGTGTGTGTGTGTCTCCGTGTCCGTCCATGTCTGGCAGGCTCTGCGGCCCTGCCGTGGTTGTGGAGCCAGGTGGGCGGGCAGCACTAGAGCCTGGGGTTTCAGAGACCAGCGGCTCAGTGTGGCTGCCTGGGGCAGGGTACCCTGAGCTGAGCTTGAGGGGTCCCCTCTGGAAGAGGCCTGGAATGGTCACAGCTGTCTGTCTGCTGCGGCTCCTTGTAGACGCATCTGAGTGTGTGGCAGTCAGGGAGGTCAGAGGGTGATTGAGAAACTGGCAGCACCTCCTAGCCCTTGGAGGAGCTTGAGGCCTGCTGTTCTAGAGAAACTTCTAATGCCTTGTTTTCTAGAGGCAGTTTGGCGCTCTGTGTCGGAGAGAGGAGTTTAGAGACCTGCTCCAGATGGGGTTTGTAAGATCTTTGGCGGGGAGGGTAGTGAGGAGTTCCTCCTCCCTGCATCCCTCCACCCCTGCCTCTGCTCCTCAGGGAGGAATAAGGGATTTGAGAAGCTCAGGTAGCCCAGCGAGCAGTTACAGCAAGAAGCTTAGGCTGGGCGGGTGGGAGGTTTGTTCTTGGGTCCGCCCAGCATCGGACTTCCTGGCTTCCTCTGATGGCTTCTGCCTGAGCGCTTCCCCAGGAAAGGCCGGGCTGCTCCTATGAGAGCCACGTCTCGTTTCCAGCCCTAGCGAATGGCTTCAGTTTGCTTGGTGGGAGTTGGGCAGAGTCCACCTGAGCAGCACGTGCAGGGGCTGGGCAGGCTGGGCTGCTCCCGGGGCCACCCTCTCCCCACAGTGCATGCCAGCACTTGCATGGGTCCTCTCAACAGCCCTTGAGTTTCAGCTGGAGTGTCCCGGTGAGGAGAGTCGTGAGGACGCCATGTGTGTCCTGGGCGCGCCCCATCACTTTCCTCTCTGTTCCCTCTGCTTTCCAGCCCCTGAAGTGCTGTGCCTGGAGATACCATTGTGGACCCTGGAGAGGCACCTGCTGCTTATGCGGTAAAACCTCTACCACCCCAAACCTGGTCAGTTTGAGGGGAGCCGCTGCCATAGTATCCACAGAGAAGGCCGGAGTTCCAGCCGTGTGGAGCAGCAGAGGGGAGTCTGACAGGGTCACCTCCTCCACAGAGAGAATTGGCAGCTGACTGCACTGCCAGGAGCCAAGGCCTAGGTGTGTGGAGCCTGGAAGACCAGGGATACCTGAGGCAGGAGGTGCAGCGTGTGGAGTGAGAAACCCGAGAGGGACTGGGGCCTGTGCTCAGGATCAGCAGAGCAGGCAGGCAGAGTGGAGAGGGAGAGACGGAGCCCCAGAAGGGGAGCAGGAGGAGAGGGAAGTAGTGGCAGCAGCCCAGGCCAGGCGTGTGTCCTGCAAGTGCTAGGACCAGCCACCCCTCCCCATGGCCTCCAAGCCGGCTGCCGGGAAGAGCAGAGGGGAGAAGCGGAAGAGGGTGGTGCTGACACTGAAGGAGAAGATTGACATCTGCACGCGCCTGGAGAAGGGCGAGAGCCGGAAGGCACTGATGCAGGAGTACAATGTGGGCATGTCCACCCTCTACGACATCAGGGCCCACAAGGCGCAGCTGCTCCGGTTCTTCGCCAGCTCCGACTCCAACAAGGCGCTGGAGCAGCGGCGCACGCTGCACACGCCCAAGCTGGAGCACCTGGACCGCGTCCTGTACGAGTGGTTCCTGGGGAAGCGCTCCGAGGGCGTCCCCGTGTCAGGCCCCATGCTCATCGAGAAGGCCAAGGACTTCTACGAGCAGATGCAGCTCACTGAGCCCTGCGTGTTCTCCGGAGGGTGGCTTTGGCGCTTTAAGGCCAGACACGGCATTAAAAAGCTAGATGCATCCAGTGAAAAGCAGTCAGCCGACCACCAGGCCGCGGAGCAGTTCTGTGCGTTTTTCAGGAGCTTGGCTGCTGAGCACGGGCTGTCCGCCGAGCAGGTTTACAACGCTGATGAGACCGGCCTTTTCTGGCGGTGCCTGCCAAATCCCACTCCGGAAGGCGGGGCTGTGCCTGGCCCCAAGCAGGGCAAGGACCGGCTGACCGTGCTGATGTGTGCCAACGCCACGGGCTCCCACAGGCTCAAGCCCTTGGCCATCGGGAAGTGCAGCGGTCCCAGGGCTTTCAAAGGCATCCAGCACCTGCCCGTCGCCTATAAGGCCCAGGGGAACGCCTGGGTGGACAAGGAGATTTTTTCCGATTGGTTCCATCATATCTTTGTGCCCTCGGTGAGAGAGCACTTCAGAACCATAGGTTTGCCGGAAGACAGCAAAGCCGTTCTCTTGCTGGACAGCTCCCGGGCTCACCCGCAGGAGGCCGAGCTGGTGTCCAGTAACGTTTTCACCATCTTCCTGCCTGCCAGCGTGGCCTCATTGGTGCAGCCCATGGAGCAGGGCATTCGGAGAGATTTCATGAGGAACTTCATTAACCCTCCGGTCCCCCTGCAGGGCCCCCACGCCCGCTACAACATGAACGATGCCATATTCAGCGTGGCCTGTGCCTGGAACGCAGTCCCTAGCCACGTCTTCAGGCGGGCCTGGAGGAAGCTGTGGCCGTCGGTTGCGTTTGCCGAAGGCTCCTCCTCTGAGGAGGAGTTGGAGGCAGAGTGCTTCCCAGTGAAGCCCCACAACAAGTCCTTTGCACACATCCTGGAGCTTGTGAAGGAAGGCTCCTCCTGCCCGGGCCAGCTTCGCCAGCGCCAGGCCGCCAGCTGGGGGGTAGCGGGAAGGGAGGCAGAAGGGGGACGGCCCCCTGCTGCCACGTCGCCAGCAGAGGTTGTGTGGAGTTCAGAAAAGACTCCGAAAGCTGACCAGGACGGCAGAGGAGATCCTGGTGAGGGCGAGGAGGTGGCCTGGGAGCAGGCGGCCGTGGCCTTTGACGCAGTCCTGCGCTTTGCGGAGCGGCAGCCATGCTTCAGTGCGCAGGAAGTGGGGCAGCTGCGGGCGCTGCGTGCCGTGTTCCGGAGCCAGCAGCAGGTGAGGAGGCGGCGTGGTGCCCTCGGGGCTGTGGTCAAGGTTGAAGCCCTCCAGGAGGGCCCTGGTGGCTGTGGGGCCACAGCTCAGTCTCCCTTGCCCTGCTCATCCACAGCAGGTGACAACTGATGGCTTCTCTGCCCTGCCCTGGCCACTGGCCCTGTTTCTCCCCACACCCTGGAGTGGCATGGTCCTGTGCCCCGACCCCACCTGAGGCAGGAGGGCATGTGCAGACACTCAAGAGCCCTTCCAGGAGTGGGTCGCCCACGGGTGTGGCTCGGGTGCCCAGGACGGTCTGTGCCCGAGGTTCCTGTCAATACAGGTTTTATTTTATCACTTGCCGTGTCATCCGAAAGTGAGGAAATGTTTTGGAAGGGTCCACCCTAGCCTAGAACAAGCCAGAGCCGCACCCTGGCTGGAATGGGGGCCAGGCTGAGCCGATCTGGTCTCGTGTTCGCTGGCTGATCATTGCAGTATCAGAGGGTGGAGATGTCAGTCTGTCCACGTGGAGAGAAGTTGCCCTCCAGGCCGACAGGAGGCCATGCCCACCGCCCCTGGACAGGCTTCGTCTCAGAAGGCTCTATCTGCTGGGCTGGCGGCCATCCCCGTGTTGGGTGGACCCCGAGCACGGTTGCCTGAGGTCCGATGGCCCGAGAGCTGGGACTCAGTTCTTGGCCTGCTAGCGGCTGAACAGGCCGCACATCTCACTTCAGTTGTGGCCTCATTCAGCAGAATGACTCTGGAACCATCCTCTGTTACCCGCAGATCCTGTCCCATGGGCTCTGGCCCCAAGATGTTGGGGGGCCCCACGGAGAGTTGACTTGGTAGAGTTCCTTTCTGGGAAGAAAGTAGGAGTGGCTGACCAGGCCCTGCTCATCACCCGGATAGAGGACACGGACCCTGTGTGGTATTTTGGCATTTTGGCTCAGAGTCCAATGTACCATGTTGCCCAGAATTTCATACTTATGGCCTTTACATGAATACGTCTTGATCAGACATTCAGAGATTAGTCTTAGGTTTGCACGTAAGTCACTGAAAACAGTAAAACAGGCTGCTTAGATTTCTAGCAGTATGTGTGCTCTTATCCCCAGCTGTTAGCACGTTAGTAATACTTTTGGGGAGGAGTTGTCTGTCCTGGTCAGTTTTCACAGAGGCGGTTGTAAGAGGATGTGGTTATTTTCTCCATGTCTGTAGTTGCTTTGCGGCATCTCCATTTCACGGGCAACACTCACTGCCTGCAGCTGAGATTCCAGAACGCCCTGTGTCCACAGTGATTAGCCTCGTCTTTCAGCGAGCATAAAATAGGTGCATTGTCCTTTTCTTTTCTTGAGGCAGGGTCTCACTCTGTTGACCAGGCTGGAGTGAAGTGGTGTGATCCCAGCTCACTGCAGCCTCGACCTCCCTGGCTTGAGTGATCCTCCCGCCCCAGCCTCCTGAGTAGCTGGGACTAGAGGCACGCACCACCGCGCCTTTTTATTTTTTTTGTAGAGACAGGGTCTCACTGTGTTGCCCAGGCTGGTCTTGAACTCTTGGCCTCAAGCGATCCTCCTTCCTCATCCTTCTAAAGTGCTGGGATTACAGGTGTGAGCCACAGCACTCGGCCTAAATAGGTTTTTCTTGCTATGTTATTTTCAGTGCTTTGCCCTTGAATTCTTTTCCTCTCTTAAATTCATATCATTTGGCCGAGTCAGCACGTAGTTTGCATTCCAGCGTCTGCTGTTGATTCCACTGAAACCTCTGTTCTCATGAAGGAGAGGATTTGGCTCGCTGTGGTTTCTCGTACTTTCACATCTCTGTAGATACAGGGGCAAAAGTCATTGCTGACAGAGCCCTATCTATGTCCTGGAAGTGTGTGTTTCTTGCTTTGAATGCATGTGTGAAGATTATAAAAGCCAAATAGTTTTTAAAGATCTCGGTGCTGAACGACAGTCCCAGTTCCCATTTGTGTCCCATTGTCTTTGTGGTGTCACCCGCACTGTTTGCTTCATTGTCTGGGGAACTTCTGCACATCATGTACTTTGTGCCATTTCTGGGCTCACGTGTCACTCCTAATAGAGCCTCTTAACCAAGACTGCTGGATTGCAGCTGCTTGAGGCAACACAGGAGGTTAGAACATGTCCCGAGGGCTCTGAAACAGTAGGACATCCTGGGTGGGTGGAGCTGGGGAGGGCATGGGCAGGCCAGCTGGCCGAGCTCCTGGCTGGCTCTCCTGAGTCCTCTGGACATGGCTTGTCCCTGTCAGACTGTAGCTCTTCAGGACCTGAGCTCTTCCCGTTCTTGATCTGCTCTTGTGCTGACTGTGCTGGGCTGATGGGTAGGCGCTTGTCCCCAGTGAGTGGCTGTGTCCTCAGGGTGCCCCTCTTCCAGACCAACTGCAGCAAGGCCTGGAGCCTGACTCTAGGTGCAGCCCTTGTGGCTGGAATCCCTTGTGCCACCCAGGGGACTCGGGCCCTGCTCCTCCTGCAGC